>NC_000023.11:56659243-56975299 GCF_000001405.40 Homo sapiens | reverse complement strand
TTTCTGGACCGAATCAATGTGTATCTTAAATGTATTTAAATGATGTCTCATGTCTTCTAAAATGTGTAAAATCAAGCTGCACCCCAACCGCCTTGGGCACATGTTCTCAGGATATCCTGAGGGCTGTGTCACAGGCCATAGTCACTTATATTTGTCTCAGAATAAATCTTTTCAAATATTTTACAGAGTTTGACTCTTTTCCTCCACACTATGCCCCTAGTCACCACAAAAGCACAATCCCCAGCTGTTACCAGAAGGTTCCCCCAATTCTCAGATGGAAAGAGGCCAGGAGAGACCAAAATCCGAGCTAATTTGTTAGTTCTCACCCTTCTGCCCCCATCCCGACCTCCGCACTATTGGTTGTAAGACAAATTTTTGTTTGTGTTTTTTTTCCTTGTCAGCCTTCTAGAAACCCTGCCCGCTGCCTAGACAAGGGAATTGCAATGGAGAAAGAGTAATTCATGCAGAGAAGCTGTGTGGGACACTGGAGTTTTATTATTACTCAAATCTGTCTTTCCAAGCCTTCCCCGGGATCAGAGTTTTTAAGGATAATTTGGTGGGGAGAGGCTTGGGAAGTGGGGTGTGCTGATTGGTCGGGTTGGAGATGGAATCATAGGGGGTCAAAGTGAGTTTCTCTTGCTGTCTTCTGTTCTTGGGTGAAATCGCAGAACTGGTTGAGCCAGGTTACCAGCCTCAATCTGGTTGAGCCAGATTACCAGACCTGGAGTGCAGTGTCTGCAAAATATGTCAATCACTGATGTTAGATTTTGCAATAGTGATGTTATTCACAGGAGCAATTTGGGGAGGTTCAGATACTTGCAGCCAGAGGCTGCATGGCCCCAAACCATAATTTCTAATCTTGTAGCTAGTTTGTTAGTCCTACAAAGACAGACTCAGACTGGTCCCCAGGCAAGAAGGGGTGATTTGTTTTGCTTTCCCCTTTGGGAAAGGGCTATTATTAATTTTGTTTCAAAGTTGAACTATAAACTAAATTCCTTCCCAAGGTTAGTTTGGCCTATGCCCAGGAATGAACAAGGCCAGCTTAAAGGTTAGAAGCAAGATAGAGTCGAGTCAGTTAGGTCTGATCTCTTTTACTGTCATAATTTCCTTAGTTGTAATTTTTGCAAAGGCAGTTTCAGCCTTGCTGGAACAAAGCCTATGATTGTTTTCTTTCTTTCTTTATTATTATTATTATATTTATTATTATACTTTAAGTTCTAGAGTACATGTGCACAATGTGCAGTTTTGTTACATATGTATACATGTGCCGTGTTGGTGTGCTGCACCCATTAACCCGTCATTTACATTAGGTATATCTCCTCATGCTATCCCTCCCCGCGCCCCCTGCCTATGATTGTTTTCAAGGTACCTGACTTACATGGCATTTTTAAACTGACGTGGGCCTGCTTTTCTCCTTCCTCTCTTGTCCTAATAGTTGTATAGGGCCAAAATGTGATAATGTACATTTGCTTTTGTCTTTATCCATTGTCCTTTCTGCTTTTGTGATTAGGATGTAATGAAGTAGTTAGAAGCATTCCCTCACATTTCTCCAATTGGCTTATGCTGACTTTTTATATAAAACCGATATTTGCTCTGCCAGTGCATCTGAAAAATCCACCCGTAGATTTATTTATTTATTTAGTTTTATTATTATTATACTTTAAGTTTTAGGGTACATGTGCACAATGTGCAGGTTTGTTACATATGTATACATGTGCCATGTTGGTGTGCTGCACCCATTAACTCGTCATTTATCATTAGGTATATCTCCTAATGCTATCCCTCCCCCCTCCCCCCACCCCACAACAGTCGCCGGTGTGTGACGTTCCCCTTCCTGTGTCCATGTTTTCTCATTGTTCAATTCCCACCTATGAGTGAGAACATGCGGTGTTTGGTTTTTTGTCCTTGCGATAGTTTTCTGAGAATGATGGTTTCCAGCTTCATCCATGACCCTACAAAGGACATGAACTCACCATTTTTTATGGCTGCATAGTATTCCATGGTGTATATGTGCCACATTTTCTTAATCCAGTCTATCATTGTTGGACATTTGGGTTGGTTCCAAGTCTTTGCTATTGTGAATAGTGCCTCAATAAACATACGTGTGCATGTGTCTTTATAGCAGCATGATTTATAATCCTTTGGGTATATACCCAGTAATGGGATGGCTGGGTCAAATGGTATTTCTAGTTCTAGATCCCTGAGAAATCACCACACTGACTTCCACAATGGTTGAACTAGTTTACAGTCCCACCAACAGTGTAAAAGTGTTCCTATTTCTCCACATCCTCTCTAGCACCTGTTGTTTCCTGACTTTTTAATGATTGCCATTCTAACTGGTGTGAGATGATATCTCATTGTGGTTTTGATTTGCATTTCTCTGATGGCCAGTGATGATGAACATTTTTTCATGTGTCTTTTGGCTGCATAAATGTCTTCTTTTGAGAAGTGTCTGTTCACATCCTTCACCCACTTTTGGATGGGGTTGTTTTTTTCTTGTAAATTAGTTTGAGTTCATTGTAGATTCTGGATATTAGCCCTTTGTCAGATGAGTAGGTTGCAAAAATTGTCTCCATTCTGCAGGTTGCCTGTTCACTCTGCTGGTGGTTTCTTTTGCTGTGCAGAAGCTCTTTAGTTTAATTCAATCCCATTTGTCAATTTTGGCTTTTGTTGCCATTGTTTTTGGTGTTTTAGACATGAAGTCCTTGCCCATGCCTATGTCCTGAATGGTATTGGCTAGGTTTTCTTCTAGGGTTTTTATGGTTTTAGGTCTAACATGTAAGTCTTTAATCCATCTTGAATTAATTTTTGTATAAGGTGTAAGGAAGGGATCCAGTTTCAGCTTTCTACATATAGCTATCCAGTTTTCCCAGCACCATTTGTTAAATAGGGAATCCTTTCCCCATTGCTTGTTTTTGTCAGGTTTGTCAAAGATCAGATAGTTGTAGATATGCAGCATTATTTCTGAGGGTTCTGTTCTGTTCCATTTGTCTATATCTCTGTTTTGGTACCAGTACCATGCTGTTTCGGTTAGTGTTGCCTTGTAGTATAGTTTGAAGTCAGGTAGCGTGATGCCTCCAGCTTTGTTCTTTTGGCTTAGGATTGACTTGGTGATTCAGGCTCTTTTTTGGTTCCATATGAACTTTAAAGTAGTTTTTTCCAATTCTGTGAAGAAAGTCATTGGTAGCTTGATAGGGATGCCATTGAATCTATAAATTACCTTGGACAGTATGGCCATTTTCACGATATTGATTCTTCCTAACCATGAGCATGGAATCTTCTTCCATTTGTTTGTATCCTCTTTTATTTCATTGAGCAGTGGTTTGTAGTTCTCCTTGAAGAGGTCCTTCACATCCCTTGTAAGTTGGATTCCTAGGTATTTTATTCTCTTTGAAGTAATTGTGAATGGGAGTTCACTCATGATTTGGCTCTCTGTTTGTCTGTTATTGGTGGAGAGGAATGCTTGCGATTTTTGCACATTGATTTTGTATCCTGAGACTTTGCTGAAGTTGCTTATCAGGTTAAGGAGATTTTGGGCTGAGACAGTGGGGTTTTCTAGATATACAATCATGTCATCTGCATACAGGGACAACTTGACTTCCTCTTTTCCTAATTGAATGCCCTTTATTTCCTTCTCCTGCCTAATTGCCCTGGCCAGAACATCCAACACTATGTTGAATAGGAGTGGTGAGAGAAGGCATCCCTGTCTTGTGCCAGTTTTCAAAGGGAATGCTTCCAGTTTTTGTCCATTCAGTATGATATTGGCTGTGGGTTTGTCATAGATAGCTCTTATTATTTTGAGATAAGTCCCATCAATACCTAATTTGTTGAGAGTTTTTAGCATGAAGGGTTGTTGAATTTTGTCAAAGGCCTTTTCTGCATCTATTGAGATAATCGTGTAGTTTTTGTCTTTGGTTCTGTTTATATGCTGGATTATGTTTATTGATTTGTGTATGTTGAACCAGCCTTCAATCCCAGGGATGAAGCCCACTTGATCATGGTGGATAAGCTTTTTGATGTGTTACTGGATTCGGTTTGCCAGTATTTTATATTGAGAATTTTTGTATCAATATTCATCAAGGGTATTGGTCTAAAATTCTCTTTTTTTTTGTTTTTTCTCTGTCAGGCTTTGGTATCAGGATGATTCTGGCCTCATAAAATGAGTTAGGGAGGAGTCCCTCTTTTTCTATTGATTGGAATAGTTTCAGAAGGAATGGTACCAGTTCCTCCTTGTACCTCTGGTAGAATTCAGCTGTGAATCCATCTGGTCCTGGACTTTTTTTGGTTGGTAAGCTATTAATTACTGCCTCAATTTCAGAGCCTGTTATTGGTCTATTCAGAGATTCAGCTTCTTCCTGGTTTAGTCTTGGGAGGGTGTATGTGTCCAGGAATTTATCCATTTCTTCTAGATTTTCTAGTTTATTTGCATAGAGGTGTTTATAGTATTCTCTGATGGCAATTTGTATTTCTGTAGGATCAGTGGTGATATCCCCTTTATCATTTTTTATTGCATCTATTTGATTCTTCTCTCTTTTCTTCTTTATTAGCCAGGCGAGTGGTCTATCAATTTTGTTGATCTTTTCAAAATACCAGCTCCCAGATTCATTGACTTTTTGAAGGGTTCTTCGTGTTTCTATCTCCTTCAGTTCTGCTCTGATCTTAGTTATTTTTTGTCTTCTGCTAGCTTTTGCATGTGTTTTATTTTCTTTCCGTAGTTTTTTTAATTGTGATGTTAGGTTGTCAATTTTATACTTTTTTTATACTTTTTATCATTATTTTAGAATATACTACTTCTTATTTTTTAAAAAAACTTTGTATTTTTTGTAGAGGCAGGGTTTCACCATGTTGACCAGGCTGGTGTCGAACTCCTCACCTCAAGCTACCTGGGAGGCTGAGGCAGGAGAATTGTTTGAGCCTGGGAATGGGAGGTGGAGGTTGTAGTGAGCCAAGATTGTGCCACTGCACTCCAGCCTGGGCAACAAAGCTAGACTCTGTCTCAAAAAAATGAATAAATAAAAATTAAAACCTAAAATAAAATTAAAAACTTAGCCATTAAAGAGCCTCAGGCAGGTCTTCAGGAGATATTCCAGGAGAAGCATTTTTATCATAGAAGGTGATAACCTCATGCATGTTATTACCCCTGAAGACCTCCCAGTGAGAAAAGATGTGAAGGCCTGACCCTGTATAGGCCTAGACTAATGTGTGTGTTTCTATCTTACTTTTTTAACACAAAAAGTATGTAAAGTAAATTTTAAAACTTAAAAATGGGAAAATGCTTATCGAGTAATGACATAAAGAAAGAAAATATTTTTGAACACATGTACAGTGTGTTATTGTTTTAAGTAAAGTGTTATTACAAGAGTCAAAAGTTAAAATATTTATAAAGTAAAAATATTACAGTAAGCTAAGGTTAATTTTTTATTGAAGAGAGAAACAATTTTTTAAAATAAATTTAGTGTAGCCTATGTGTACAGTGTTTGTAAAGTCTACAGTAGGGTACACTAATGTTTTGGGCCTTCACCTTTACTCACCATGTACTCACTGACTCAACCAGAGCAACTTCCAGTTCTGCAAGCTTCATTTATGGCAAGTTCCCTATACAGTTGTACCATTTTTCAATAATTTATATCATATTTTTACTGTACTTTTTTATACTTAGATATGACTAGATACACAAATACTTACCATTGTGTTACATTTGTCTATAGTATGCAGTACAGTAACATGCTGCAAAGGTTTGTAGCCTAGGAACAATAGGCTATACTATGTAGGTAGGCTATCCCATCTTGGTTTGTGTAAGTATACTCTGAAATGTTCACACAGTAATGAAATCACCTAACAATGCATTTCTCTGAAAGTATCCGCATCATTGTGACACATGACACTATATGTGTTTGTGTGTGTGTATATGTGTATATATTATGTCTATATAATCAAGTAGTATATAATGGATTATGATGAAAAGCCTGTCGAAAATTATGCCCCAAAGAAAATATTATGCACTGTATCAGCAAACATTTGTCACTAGACTTTCTCTAAAAGATAATTTAAAATGTGTATAAAAGATGCCTGCTAAGAGCAAAGCATACTTCTCTGACTCATACAGGAAAGTATGAAAGGGCTCATCACTGAGTATATGGAGTCACAGATCTGATTAGGAAAACAGATAATGACATTTTGTGTATTTTAATGGGCTATGGGTTTAAAAGTTTCTTCCAATATGTGTTTAAAATTTTAAAATTAAATATACTTTTTAAATGTCTCTTAGGCAATATGAGTCAGAAAACTTGGTATGTAAAGGAGTTTTGCAAGTATATATTTGGCATATTTTGCTTTCCCTAGGAAAGGTAAGTGTTTTAACTTCTCAAGACTGCCTAAAATGATAGAGAAATAAAAAAGCATAGTAAATACCAAACTTGACAAACCTGTGCAATAGACATATCTTTGCATCTTTTAAGATATTCTGCATATTAATCAACTTGGCAAATGCTGATATAGCACTAACTATGTGCCAGATACTTTTGTGAGGATTTCTATATATTAATTTAATTCTCATAGGACATTATGATGTAATTACTATCATTAAGAGGTTACAGTACTGGTTATCTTTTTTTTTTAATTTTTATTTATTTCTTATTTATTTGTTTGTTTATTTATTTATTTATTTATTTATTTATTTATTTTTGAGACGGAGTCTTGCTCTGTTGCCTAGGCTAGAGTGCAGTGGCGCGATCTCGGCTCACTGCAAGCTCCACCTCCCGGGTTCACGCCATTCTCCTGCCTCAGCCTCCCCGAGTAGCTGGGACTACAGGCGCCCGCCACCATGCCCAGCTAATTTTTTGTATTTCTAGCAGAGACGGGTTTTCACCGTGTTAGCCAGGATGGTCTCGATCTCCTGACCCTGTGATCCGCCCGTCTTGGCCTCCCAAAGTGCTGGGATTACAGGCGTGAGCCACCGCGCCTGGCCCTACAGTACTGGTTTTCTATTGCTGCCAGAATACATTGCCACAAATTTGGTGGCTTAAAATGACACTCATTTATCTCATAATTTTGTTGGTCAGAAGCCAGCATCAGCCTGTTGGACTTTTATCTGAGAAGAATCTGCTTCCAAGTTTTTTCAGGTTGTTGGTAGAATCCAGTTTTTTTTCAGTTATAGGACTGAGGTCCCCATTTTCCTTCTGGTTGTCAGTCAGGGTCTCTCTTATCTTCTAGAGGCTTCTCTCTAGTCTTTGCAAATGGCTCCCTACATCTCAGATCCAGCAACATGCATTGAATCCTTATGCTTGTAATATCTTTGACTTCGTCTTCTGCATCTCTCTTTTGCTTTCTTCTTCTACCACCAATTATAAAGTTCTCTGTTTTGGTGACCCCTTCCACCAAGCCTAATTTACCCCACACTCTCATAAAAAACATTCAGGACTGTCAACAGATAACACAAAGATTCTTTGTGGTATCATAAAAAGTTTCTAGGCAAAGTTGCTACTTCTGATACTCAGTGTATTATTCCCTTAACTTTAAGCTGTGTCTTATCACCTGTAATTCTATAAGCAAGTGCTGTTGTCTGACAGAAATAAATTCTAATGTACATCTCTGCTGGCAATTTCAGTTTCCATAAGTTTCCTCAAAGAGAAGTTCCAGGATTCTTTTCTCTAATGGTGAAAACCACTAAAGAGATTGTCATGTAAATAATCAAGAAAAATGTAAAGGTTTTGTCAGGCATGTGCACTGAAGGCAATGTGTGTCTTTTGCATGGTATATATCTTTAGCAAACCTTTGCTTTACTATCATTTATGAGGTTGCTATATGAAACTTTACAAGAGAATGAAAACGTCCTTGAACAGCAATGCAGGATTCTTACCATGGTGATGTCAGATATGCTGCTACAATGTGAAAGTATATCCCATAGGAATTTGGAAAAAACAAACAAACAAACAAACACACAAACAAAAACAGGCTATCTACCTCCTAGCAAGATACAGGGAAATTTGATCAATATCCATCTGTATGTCCTTTTCATACCAATAGCCCACAGTTAAGTAGGCCTCTTGCCTTGGTATCATACACCACCCTGGTAAACCAGAAGCATCCTTTTATGACAGAGGTATACTCAGACAAGTTTATCAAAACACTTCTATGGAACTTATTTTTTGAAATGCCAAACATTGGATGTCTTGACTACCACATATCTTCTGTCTAGAGGAGTATTCAATTTCACTATGAATAGGTCTCTATTAAGTCTCAGTTGTGTTGACATTGGGCCTGATCATTTGACTGAGGACAGGTAAGGGAGAGTGTAATCCAGCTTGCTACTCACCCAGAATAATATGATGTGAGGGGGCAGGGAGTAGGCACCTAGTCATCTGCATGGTTGCAACTTTATCTCTTATAATCTGGCTTGTATTGAATGATCTCCAGTACTACTTGAAATATTTTCTGGATTGCTAGCAGTGCAGATGCTATATTGAAAACATTCACATTTGTGAATGTGACTCAAGACTTAGAATCATTATCAAATGGATTTTTAGTCTGGCATCCAAATAGCAAATGGTCTTACAGCAAGAGCAACAGATACTGGTAAGTTGCTTATTAAGTCAGTTTCCAATACTCACACAATGCAATTAGCTGAGAAGTATTATATCTTTAAAGTTATAATGCCATAATAATGCTACTTATGAAGCAATGATTACCTTTTTCCAATTCCTTTCTGTTAAATAACACCTAAATAATTTTCAGAAAGCACAATCTAGTCATTTGAAACTTTGTGCAGGAAAAAAAAAAATCATAAGAGCCCATGAATCAGTTGAGCCTGTTCTTGTAGCTAAGCTAATTTTTTCTCCATTCATGAAGAGATACATTAATTATGTAGCAAACCATTAATTTTCAAGGTAAAGTCTACTAAGTTGTACTTCTCTTTTAGTTTGGATCACAAGACTATAAATTATATCCTGTAACATCTGTGTGGTCCGTGCCCCTCCCACATTTATAATTACCACTACTGTTAAAGTTAGCTTCAGAGTAACGTATCCAAGAAATTCAGAATTACTCTAATATTTACGAATGTGATTTAAGAACTCTCCTACATCAATCTCGCTACATATGTAAGAACACAAATTTGTTTAAATTACCATCCTGTAACTAATTCATGCTGTATAAAAACCTCAGGGGCCCTTATCTTGAATCAGAAACTTTTGATACCAAAGGCATAGTTAAAATATTTAGTTGGCCCTAAAGCACTTGGATTTCTCCAAGCTTCTCATTCTTACAGTTTACATGAAATTCCCATCTAGAGGCTTAGGTGCAAACTGTCCTTATCACAGGATTTAAAAATCTGATTTGATTCAGATGGTCCAGGTGAGAGGAAAACAAAATGTCTGATCTGAGGGGCTGTGGGGAATACTGGGCCTTTTGAAACCCCATTGTGACTTAGACGTATTGTGGAGACCTGGCTTGTGGAACAAGCAGATACTAGATCATAACTATAGGTATTAAAAGGTGATGACTTTTGGCCCAGAGGCACATGGGATTAGTGACCTGGAATCACTGTTAGAATCTTTGGAACCCAGTGCCATTTTTGATTATAGCGGTCATAAATACTGTCTGTTGACTTTATTTCTAACCATTCTGAACTGGATGGAATATATAAAACCATTATAATTGCAATTTCTTGTGTTTGACAAACATTTTAGTGGACAGGGTTAACCTTTTGATAGTTAAAATCTTCAGTGCATTTAAGGCTCTATCTATGTCTAGGCATCACACACACATACACACACATGCACACTCACACACTAATGCAGTGTTCAGAACATCCTCCACCCTGATATCTTTAGCTGCTGTAATGTCTCTCTCATGAGACTTTTCCCTACTTATTTATTATTGAGTAGAGATGAATGAACGTTTATTGAACTTTTAATGTCAATAATTCTTGGTATTTAGCAGTAAGTGTTTCAACTATTCTAACAAGTCCTCCCTTTAAGAGTTAAAATGCTCAGTATTAACAAGGTCTCCATGCAGGTTTTATTTTTTTCTTCTACCAGAATTACCTATCCCCACTTTCTTGAGCATTTTCTGATGATTCTCTATATACTTCCATTACAGCCATTTAAGTCAAATATATTTTTAATTAAAATTTTGTATTAAAGTTATACATGCACATAGTTTAAAGAGTCAGCTAATTCTACAGAGTATGTGGCTTAGTCCATTCTGGTTGCTATTTAAAAAAGAACTATAGATTGAGTAGCTTATAAACAACAGAAACTTATTTCTCACAGTTCTGGAAGCTGAGAAGTCCAAGATTAAGGTGCGAGAAGATTACATGTCTTCTGAGGGCCATCTTCTGAGACATAGAAGGTATCTTTTCACTGTGACCTCACATGGCAGAAGAAGGAAATAAGCTCCTTTTGGCTCCTTTTATAAACACTCTAATACAAGTGACAAGGGCTTCACTCTACCTAATCACCTCCCAAAAGTCATATCTCTTAATAAACTATTCAGGTCTCAAAATACGAATTTTGAATGGACACAAATATTCAGTCCATAGCAGTGTGTTAAGGCAAACAGCAGTCACCAATCCACCTCTCTCCATTTCCACTTTGAATTTTCTGGTTATTTTATTGTTATGTATCTTTCTTTCAAAATAATAGGCTTATATAGCAACTTACTGGTTTTTCAGTTTTAGGCATAGTTTATCTGCATTTCAACGTGCAAGATGAAGAATCATTTCTCTTTTTTCCCTCTGTGCCTCAATCATCTCTTTGTGCCTCAACTCCTCCTCCCTCCAAATTATAACTTTTGTTAGACAACTGTGTAGTATTTATATGATTATATGTGTATTTTTTTTTTTTTTACAGCTGAGCCATTTGTTAGACTATGATTACTATTTCTTTCCTGCACAACACCTTGTTTTTTCTGGAATTAAGGTTGGCCTTTTCCCCCACGTACTTGATTTTTGTATGTTCTTATTACTTACCCAAAACTAAAGTCTTTGCTAGCTATCAAAGTCTCCTCTCATACAGTTATTCACAGCAGATATTTTAGCACTTTCATTTTCCTTATGTAGTCTCTTCTTAGCCTTCTGACTTGAGGCAATCTGTACTGATTGCCCTCATACCTGATTTTGGATCACTTTTTTTCCTGTAATTGCTGCCTTTCTCTTTCTGAGTCCAATTATTTGCTTTGGTTCCACATGTCCTTCAGGTAATTAATATACTGAGAAAGGCTTAGGGTCTCTGGCTCTTAGGAGCATAACTTTAAGGTATCTCCAGCTCTCCTAAGTAAAAACACAGTTTGGTTTAACGATGGCATAGGAGAAGGTAGCCTCTCAGAAATCCATCTCTGCTGCTGCTTTGTCAAGGATTTTCTGATATATGAATGTAGCTGCTACTCTTTCTTATGTCAATTCTAAAAAATATCTTTTAGAGATTTATGAAATAGCAGTTTTTTTGTTTAAAGGAAAGACTTAGGTGTGTGTATGTGTGTGTGTGCATGCCTGTGAGTATCTTTGTTTTTACTTTTAAAATGTGCCTAAGATTAGTGTTTCTCCAAAATCTAAAAAAAGAAAAATTTAAGACTCTGTTTTATTGTATTTTTACAAAATAGTTTAAACACAAAAGGGAAATCTAGATTATCTTCTCTTATGATAAGAGTTTGTGTGTGTGTGAGAGTGTGTGTGTGTGTGTGTGTGAGTGTGGAAATGAAAGGCTGAGAGGCTTAAAACAGGAAAAAGATGGTTTTCTTTACCTCAAGACTCAAGACATGTGATGGTGTACCTCAAGACGTGGTGGTGTCAAAAATAGATTAAAAACAAACCACATAAACAATTATTTTATTGTAGAGTGGAATTCAGCTTTGCATAATGCAGGATACTCCTCTTTCAGTAAAACTGGATGATATGGTTTGCCTGTGTTTCCCCACCCAAATCCAAATCCTTTTTTTTTTTTTTTTTTTTTTGAGATAGAGTCTCACTGTGTCACCCAGGCTGGAGTGCAGTGGCATGATCTTGGCTCACTGCAACCTCCATCTCCCAGGTTCAAGCAATTCTCCTGCCTTAGCCTCCTGAGTAGCTGGGACTACAGGCACATGCCTCCACCCCCGGCTAATTTTTGTATTTTTTAGTAGAGACGGGGTTTCACCATGTTGGCCAGGCTCATCTCAAACTTCTGACCTCATGATCCCCTGCCTCAGCCTCCCAAAGTGCTGGGATTACAGGCGTGAGCCACTGTGCCCTTCCCCAAATCTCATTTTGTAGCTCCCATAATTCCCATATATTGTGGTAGGGACCCGGTGGGAGATTATTGAATTATGGGAATGGGTCTTTTCCATGCTGTACTCATGATAGTGAGTGGATCTCACAAGATCTGATGGTTTTAAAAACAGAAGTTGCCCTGCACAAGCTATCTCTTTGACTGCTGCCATCCATGTAAGATGTGACTTGCTCCTCCTTGCCTTCTGCCATGATTTTGGGGCCTCCCCAGCCTTGTGGAACTGTAAGTCCAATAAACCTCTTTCTTTTATAAATTGCCCACTCTCAGGTGTGTATTTATCAGCAGCATGAAAACGGACTAATATACTGGACCACCGGGATAAAGAGAGAAAGATACGTTTATATTTAAATTGTTATATGACAGTCAACAATACTAATTGGACAGTATTTGGGTTATGTTGCTTTAAAAATAGTTCTTCTTCACTTTGATACTTGAAATCTAATCTAGAGACAAGGCTTTTAGAATTTTCCCGTAATCCAGGGCTTATTTCTCAGAAGGCAAGACTTTTTTAAAATGTACATTTTTTTCTGCCTTGATTCTTCTATCCAGAACCAATTAAGCCAATGGGGGAAGTGTTAGTTTAGTTTTGTATATTCATTCCTATTGTCATATAATATTATACTACTAATGTATAGTTTTATTCTCATAAATTAATTTTACAATGTTTTGACTTGTTACAAATTATTTTTTGCTTTGTTCATTTGGTTTATTTGTATGGGTACAAAAGGAGGTGATTAATATATAGAAATTCCCATGTGTTACAAAACTGCAGTCATAAGAAATTAATTTTAGAGGATTTGGAAAAGTTTCTAGACTCTTGGCCTAGAGCCATATTTTTATTTTACTTCTATTATAATTTATGTACTTTATTATGAAGGAAATATGTCCCTTGCCCTCATCAGTACATTTATTCCAAGGTCAAGAAACACAAACAATCTAATTTGCTTCTAGCAAGTTTCAACTGTGGTACCTGTATTTAAGAAAATTAAGAACTATGTAAAGGTCTGAGATTTTACCTTATTTGCAAGCTAACAAACTAGCTTGTCTATTTGATACATTCTAGACTCCTACATCCGGGACAAAAGGCATTTATTACTCACAAGAACAGCAGTAGCCAGATTAACATTATGGTGTCAGTTCCCAAACCCGAATTCCCACAGGTATTGCTTGCACACTCAGTGAGGTTTATTTAGGAGAAGAACCATAAGATAAGAAGACCTGATCTTTTTTTCAGCTTTATTGACAAAATTGTATACATTCAAAGTGTAGAAGATGTTTTAATGTGCAGCATACAATATACAATAAATATCTTGATTATCACAAGCTAATTCACAAATCCATCACCTACTTTTAAAAGAAAGTTTTTAAAATGTGATGCAGTAACTACAGCAAATAGTTACCTTTGTGTGAGTGCTGAGAATACTTATTCTCTTAACAAATTTCAAGTATGTACTATATTATTATTAATTATATTGTCATGTTTTATAGTACATCTCCAGAAATTATTTATCTTAGAGCTTCAAGTTTTTACCCTTTGACCAACATCTCCCCATTTCTCATTCCTGATGACCCCTGGTAACCACTGTTCTACTCTGCTTCCATGTATTTGATGTTTTTAGATTTCACATATAGGTGAGATAATACAGTATTTTTCTTTCTGTGCCTGGCTTATTTCACTTAGAATAATGTTCTCCAGAATCATGCATCTTGTTACAAATGACAGGATTTTTTTTTAAAGCTGAATTGTATTACATTGTGTATGGTATTTTATATATATATATATATATATATCACTATATATTTATTACATATTGCATTATGTATAATATATAATACATATTATATATAATATGATGTATTTTATAGAATTGTTATTTTTATGAAAAATCCCATTGAAATTTGATAGGAATTGCATTGATTCTGTAGATCACTTTGGGTAGTATGGACATTTTAATATTATTAATTCTTCCAATCCATGAACATGGGATATTATTTTATTCTTTTTGTGTCCACAATAAACCAGAATTTCTTTATTTATCTATAGACACCTAGGTTTTTTCTGTATATTGGCTGTTGTAAATAATGCTACAAGAAACATAAAAGTGTTAATATCTCTTCTATGTACTGATTTCATTTGCTCTGGATATATACCCATAAGAGGAATTGCTGGATTTTATGGGAGTTCTAATTTTAATTTTGTGAGGAACCTCCATAATATTTTCCACATTGGCTACACTAATTTACATTCTTCCCATCAGCTACAAGGGTTCCCTTTTCCCCATATTCTTACCAACATTTGTTATCTCTTGTCATTTTAATACTAAGCATTCTAAAATGTGAGGGGATATCACATTGTGTTTTTTAGTTTTTTAATTTTTAACTTTTGTGGGTATACAATAGGTGTATATATTTAGTGGGTACATGAGATATTTTGATACAGGCATACAATGTGAAGTAAATACATCATAGAGAATGGGGTATCCATTACTTCTAGGATGTAACCTTTGTGTTACAAACTAATTATACTCTTTTGGTTATTTTTAAATGTACAATTCAATCATTATTGACTATGGTCCGCCTGTTGTGCTGTCAAATAGTAGGTCTTATTCATTCTTTCTATTTCTTGTACTTATTAATCATCCCCATCTCCCCCATAATCCCCCAATACCCTTTCCAGCATCTGGTAATTATCCTTCTACTCTCTATTTCAATGATTCAATTGTTTTGATTTTTGGATCCCACAAATAAGTGAAAACATCCAATATTTGTCTTTATATGCCTGGCTTATTTCACTTAACATAATGATTTCCAGTTCTATCTATGTTGTTGCAAATGACAGGATCTCGTTCTTTTTTATGGCTGAATATTACTGCATTGTGTATAAATATCACATTTACTTTATCCATTCATCTGTTAATGGACGCTTACACTGCTTGCAAATCTTGGCTATCGTGAATAGTGCTACAACCAACATGGGAGTGCAGATATCTCTTCAGTATACTGACTTTATTACTTTTGGGGATATGCCCAGTAGTGGGATTGCTGGATCTAATTGGTAGTTCTGTTTTTAATTTTCTGAAGAACCTCTAAATTTTTTTTCATAGTGGTTGTACACTTGCATCAACAGTGTACAATTGTTCATTTTTCTCCACATGCTCACCAGCATTGTTTATTTCCTATGTTGGATATAAACAATTTTAACTGGTGTGAGATGTTAACCGATTGTAGATTTGATTTGCATTTCTCTGATGATCAATGATGTTGAGCACCTTTTCATATGCCTGTTTGCCATTTGTAGGTCTCCTTTTGAGAAATGTCTATTCAAATTCTTTACCCATTTTTGATCAGATTATTAGATTTTTTCCTATACAGTTGTTTGAGCTCCTTATATATTCTGTAGGTTGTGTCTTCACTTGGTTGGTTGTTTTCTTTGTTCTGCAAAAGATTTCTAACTTGATGTGATCTCATTTGTCCAATTTTGTTTTGGCTGCCTGTGATTCTGGAATATGACTCCAGAAATTTTTGCCCAGAACAATGTCAAGGAGATTTTCCTCAGTTCTTTCTTGTAGTAGTTTCATAAGTTTGGGTTTTAGATTTAAGCCTTTAATCCATTTTGATTTGATTTTTGTATATGGAAAAAGATAGGGGTCTAGTTTTACTCTTCTTCATATGGATTTCCAGTTTTCCCAGCAACATTTATTGAAAAGACTGTCTTTACTGCAGTGTATGTCATTGGCACTTTTGCTGAAAATGTGTTCATTGTAGGTGTGTGCATTTATTTCTGGGTTCTGTATTCTGTTCCATCGGACTATATGTGTTTATGCCAGTATCGTGTTGTTTCCGCTACTATAGCTCTGTAGTATAATTTGAAATGAGGTATTGTAATTCTTCCACTTTTGTTCTTTTTACTTAGGATAGTTTTGGCTATTCTGAACATTTTTTGGTTCCATATAAATTTTCGGATATTTTTTCTATTTCTGTGATTAATGTCATTGGTATTTTGATGGGAATTGCATTGAATCTATAGATTGCTTTTAGTAGTATGGACATTATAAAAATATGGATTCTTCAAATTCATAAACCTGGAATATCTTTCCAATTTTTGGTTTACTCTTTAGTGACTTGCATTAATGTTTTAGTTTTTATTCTACAGATCTTTCACTTCTTTTGGTAATTTTTAGGTATTTTATTTTATTTGTAGCTATTATAAGTGAAATTACTTTTTGGCTTTCCTCTTTATATTGTTCTCTGTTGGAATATAGAAATGTTACTAATTTTGGTATATTGATTTTGTATCTTACAACTTTACTGTATTTGTGAATTCCAATAATTGTTTTTGTTCGAGTCTGCAAGTTTTTCTAAATATAAAATCATACAATCTGCAAATGAAAATAATTCGACTCCTTTCTTCCAATTTGGATGCCCTGCTTTTCTTTCTCTGGTCTCATTGCTCTATCCAGGACTTCCACTACCAAGCTGAATAACCGTGGTGAAAGTGGGCATCTTTATTAGGTTCCAGATCTTAGAGCTGAGGTTTTCAGTTTTTTCCCGTTCACAAATGATACATTTGGGTCTCTCATATATGGCTTTTATTATGTTAAGGTATGCTCGTTCTATACCCAGTATTGTGAGGGTTTTTATTATTAAGGGATGTTGAACTTTATCAAATGCTTTTTCCACATCAATCGAAATGATCATATGGTTTTTGTCCCTTATTCTGATTATATAATGTATCACATTGATTTATTTGCATATATTGATTCATGCTTGCATACAAGGGATAAATCCCATTCAGTCATGATGAATAATATATTCAATATATTGTTGAATTCAATTTGATAGTATTTTTTGATGAATTTGATAGTATTTCATGAAGGATATTTGCATCCATATTCATCAGAGATATTGGTATTTACTTTTCTGTTTTTGATGTTTCTATGGTTTAGGTATCAGAGTAGCTGTGGCTTTGTGGACTAAGTTTGAAAGTATTTCCTTCTCCTGTATTTTTTTGGAATAGTTTGAGTAGGATTGGTAGTTGTTCTTTCTTTTCCTTTTTTTTTTTTTTTTTTTTGCTTTGCTTTTTTGAGAAGGAGTCTCGCTCTGTCACACAGGCTGGACTGCAGTGGCACGATTTTGGCTCACTGCAACCTTTGCCTCTTGGGTTTAACTGATTCTTCTGCTTTAGCATCCCAAGTAGCTGGGACCGTGCCTTAGTGAGCGCCACCACGCCTGGCTAATTTTTGTATTTTTAGTAGAGACGGGGTTTCACCATATTGGCCAGGCTGGTCTCCAATTCCTGGCCTCGTGATCTGCCTGCCTCAGCTTCCCAAAGTGCTAGGATTGCAGGCATAAGCCACCGTGCCCAGCCTGGTTCTTCTTTAAATGTTTGGTATAATTCGGCAAAAACCACTGGGTCCAGAAATTTATTTACTTAGATACTTTTTATTATGGCTTCTATCTTGTTACTCAATTTTGATCTGATCAAGTTTTCAATTTCTCCTTTTCCTTTCTTTTCTTTTCTTTTCCTTCCTTTTCTTTTTTTATTTTCTTTTCCTTTCTCGCTCTCTCTCTTTCTTTTCTGTCTTTTTTTTTTTGACAGAGATTCTGTCTGTTGCCCAAGCTGAAGTGCAGTGGCATGATCTTGGCTCACTGTAACCTCCGCCTCCAGGGTTCAAGCCATTCTTCTGCCTCAGCCTCCCGAGTAGCTAGAACTGTGCCTTAGTGCACGCCACCATGCCAGCTAATTTTTCGTATTTTTAGTAGAGACAGGGTTTTACCATTTCGGCAAGTCTGGTCTCGAGCTCCTGACCTCAATGATGAGCCCTCCCCAGCCTCCCAAAGTGACTGGCCTTAATTTCTCTATTTTTTTTTTTTTTTTTTTTTTTGAGACAGAGTCTCACTCTGTTGCCAGGCTGTAGTGTAGTGGCACGATCTCGGCTCACTGCAACCTCTGCCTCCTGGGTTCAAGTGATTCCCCTGCCTCAGCCTCCTGAGAAGCTGGGAATACAGGAGTGTGTGAAACCATGCCCGGCTAATTTTTTGTATTTTAGTAGAGACGGGGTTTCACCATGTCGGCCAGGATGGTCTCGGTCTCCTGACCTCGTGATCCGCCCGCCTCAGCCTCCCAAAGTGCTGTGATTACAGGCGTGAGCCACCGCACCCAACCTCCTTAACTTCTTTATTGTTCAAAGTTGGTAAGTTTAATTTGTCTAGGCATTTTTCCATTTCTTCAAGATTTTCCAATTTATTGGCATATAGTTGCTCCTAATAGCCACTAAAGATCCTTTTAATTTGGGCATTTCAATATTAATGTCTCATTTTTATCTCTGATTTTATTTATTTGGATCGTCTTTATTTTTTTGTAGTATGGCTAAAGGATCATCCATTTTCTTTATTCAAAAAACAAACTTTTTGTTTTATTGATCTGTTGTATTGTTTTCTTATTTCTGTTCTGATCATTATTATTTTTTTCTACTAATTTTGGGTTTGGTTTGCTCTTGCTTTTCTACTTCTTTAAGATGCATTTTTACGTTTTTTATTTGAAGTTTTTTTTTTTTTTCACGTAGGCACTGATAGATATAAAGTTTCCTGTTAATAGTTCTTTCATTATATCCCATATGTTTTGTTATGTTGTGTTTCCATTATCATCTGTTTCAAGAAAATCTTCTGTTTCTTTGTTAATTTCTTCATTGATGCACTGTTCATCCAGGAGCATATTAATTTCCACGTGTTTGTATAGTTTCCAGAATTCTTTCTTTTCATAGATTTCTAATTTTATTCCATTGGGCTCAGAAAAGATTCTTGATGTTATTTCATAATTTGTAAAGCTTTAAAACTTGTTTATGACCTAAGATATAATCTACTACTGAGAATTACCCATGTGCTTAAGAAAAGAATGTGTATTCTGCAACTATTGGATGAAATGTTCTGTAAATACCTATTAGATTCATTTTGTTATAGTGCAGATTAGGTTCGATGTTTCTTTCTTGATTTTCTATCTGAAAGATCTGTCCATTGCTGAAAGTGGGGTGTTGATGTCTACAGCAATTATTGTAGTGGGGCCTGTTTCTCTCTTTAGCTCTAATAATTTTTGCTTTATACATCTGGGTGCTCCAGTATTGGGTGCATGTGTATTTAAAATTGTTATATACTCTTGCTGAAATGACTCCTTTATTATTATATAGAGTCCTTCTTTGTTTCCACTTATAATCTTTTGTTAAAATTTATTTAGTCAGATGTAAGTATAGCTACACTTGCTCTTTTTGGTTTCCATTTGCATGCAATATTATTTTCTATTTCTTTATTTTTAGTCCATGTGTGTCTCTGTAGGTGAAGTGTATTTCCTGCAGTCATCAGATCAATGGATCTTTTTTATCCATTCAGCCACTCTGTGTCATTTGATGAGAGAATTTAGTTTATTTATATTCAGTGTTATTATTGATAACTAAGGAATTACTCCTGTCATTTTGTTATTATTTTTCTAGTTGTTCTGTGGTCTTCCTTTTTTCTTTCCTGGTGTGTGTGTGTGTGTGTGTGTGTGTGTGTGTGTGTGTGTGTGTGTGTCTGAAGGTGATTCTGTCTGGTGATAGGATTTAGTGTCTTGCTTTAATTTTGTGTGTGTCCATTCTTTGTTTTTTCTGGTTTGAGGTTACCATGAGGATTACAAATACTATCTTATACCTAGTTATGTTAAGCTGATACTATCGGGAGAACCCACCCCCAATAATTCAACGTTATTTCACATAGGTTCTTTTCTATTTCCCTAAGTGTCGGCCAGTCTGAGAAATAAAGGGAAAGAGTACAAAACAGAGAAATTTTAAAGCTGGGTATCCGGGGGAGACATCACATGTCAGCAGGTTCCCTGATGCCCCACAAGCTGCAAAACCAGCAAGTATTTATTAGTGATTTTCAAAGGGGAAGGAGTGTACGAATAGGGTGTGGGTCCCAGAGATCACATGCTTCACAAGGTAATAAAATATCACAAGGCAAATGGAGGCAGGGCGAGATCACAGGACCAGGGTGAAATTAAAAATGCTAATGAAGTTTCATGTCCCACTGAGCACACATTGTCATTGATGACATCTTATAAGGAGACAGGGTTTGAGAGCAGACAACCAGTCTGTCCAAACTTTATTAGGCAGGAATTTCCTCATCCTAATAGGACTGGGAGCACTACAAGAGATCAGGGCTTATTTCATCCCTTATCCGCAACTGTATAAGACAGACATTCCCAGAGCGGCCATTTCAGAGACCTCCCCCTAGGAACACATTCTCTTCCTCAGGGCCGTTCCTTGCTGAGAAAAAGAATTCAGCAATATTTCTCCTATTTGCTTTGGAAAGAAGAAAAATATGACTCTGTTCCACCCGGCTCTCAGGCAGCCAGACCTAATGGTTATCTCTCTTGTTCCCTGAACATTGCTGTTATCCTGTTCTTTTTTCAAGGTGCCCAGATTTCATATTGTTTAAACACATATGCTTTACAAACAATTTGTGCAGTTAACGCAATCATCACAGGGTCCTGAGGTGACATACATCCTCAGCTTATGAAGATGACGGGATTAAGAGATTAAAGACAGGCATAGGAAATCACAAGAGTATTGATTGGGGAAGTGACAAATGTCCATGAAATCTTCACAATTTATGTTCAGAGATTGCAGTAAAGACAGGCGTAAGAAATTATAAAAGTATTAATTTGGGGAACTAATAAATGTCCATGAAATCTTCACATTTTATATTCTTCTGCCATGGCTTCACCCAGTCCCTCCGTTCGGGGTCCCTGACTTCCCGCAACATCTCTCCCTTTTTATATAAATGTGCCATGGTGATGAAGGCTCCTTCGTTCTCTCGATTTTGATGCAGGATTCTTTCACTGGTCTGGCACACTAAAGACAAGCTGATTAAACAGAGAAACATAATTCCAAAATTTACTACAGTTGAGCCCCCAATAGACTTAATCCAAGTCATGGGGTTTAGTCCAGAAAGATTTTTCTGCCACCTGATCTAACGCCTCAGCTCCGGGCACAATGGATAAATGAGGTTGAGAGCCTTCAAAAATTTGTTTCTTTACTTTAGCTATGTCTAATGATAAATTATCTTCCCTACCTAGAAGGTGTCCTTTGACCATTTCCCATGAATGATCAGCCTCGTTATAGGAATACGGGCTGATTCCAATCGCAATGCATTTGCATGCGATGTTCAAGACTCACTACCTGGGGGGGAGGAGCCAAGATGGCCGAATAGGAACAGCTCCGGTCTACAGCTTCTAGCGTGAGCGACGCAGAAGATGGATGATCTCTGCATTTCCAACTGAGGTACCAGGTTCATCTCACTGGGGAGTGCCAGACAGTAGGTGCAGGACAGTGGGTGCAGCACACCATGCACAAGCTGAAGCAGGGCGAGGCATCGCCTCACACGGGAAGCACAAGGGGTCAGGGAATTCCCTTTCCTAGTCAAAGAAAGGGGTGACAGATGGCACATGGAAAATCGGGTCACTCCCACCCTAATACTACGCTTTTCCAATGGGCTTAAAAAACGGCACACCAGGAGACTATATCCCGCACCTGGCTCAGAGGGTCTTACACCCACGGAGTCTTGCTCATTGCTAGCACAGCAGTCCGAGATCAAACTGCAAGGCAGCAGCGAGGCTGGCGGAGGGGCCCCCCCACTGCTGAGTTAGTTATTTGATTAGCTAAACAAAGAAGCCAGGAAGCTCTAACTGGGTGGAGCCCACCACAGCTCAAGGAGGCCTGCGTGCCTTGGTAGGCTCCATCTCTGGGGGCAGGACACTGACAAAACAACAGCAGTAACCTCTGCAGACTTAAATGTCCCTCTCTGACAGCTTTGAAGAGAGTAGTGGTTCTCCCAGCATGCAGCTTGAGATCTGAGAACGGGCAGACTGCCTCCTCAAGTGGGTCCCTGACCCCCGAGCTAATCTCTCGGCAGAAACTCTACAAGCCAGAAGAGAGTGGGGGCCAATATTCAACATTCTTAAAGAAAAGAATTTTCAACCCAGAATTTCATATACAGCCAAACTAAGCTTCATAAGTGAAGGAGAAATAAAATCCTTTACAGCCAAGCAAATGCTGAGAGATTGTATCACCACCAGGCCTCCCCTAAAAGACCTCCTGAAGGAAGCACTAAACATGGAAAGCAACAACTGGTACCAGCCACTGCAAAAACATGCCAAATTGTAAAGACCATCAAGGCTAGGAAGAAACTGCATTGACTAACAAGCAAAATAACCAGCTAACATCATAATGACAGGATCAGATTCACACATAACAATATTAACTTTAAATGTAAATGGGCTAAATGCTCCAATTAAAAGACACAGACTGGCAAACTGGATAAACAGTCACGACCCATCAGTGTGCTGTATTCAGGAAACCCATCTCATGTGCAGAGACACACATAGGCTCAAGATAAAGGGATGGAGGAAGATCTACCAAGCAAATGGAAAACAAAAAAAGGCAGGAGCTACAATCCTAGTCTCTGATAAAACAGACTTTAAACCAACAAAGATCAAATGAGACAAGGCCATTACATAATGATAAAGGGATCAATTCAACAAGAAGAGCTAACTATCCTAAATATATATGCAATACACCCAACACAGGAGCACCCAGATTCATAAAGCAAGTCCTTAGTGACCTACAAACAGACTTAGACTCCCACACAATAATAATGGAAGACTTTAACACCCCACTGTCAACATTAGACAGACCAATGAGACAGAAAGTTAACAAGGATACCCAGGAGTTGAACTCAGCTCTGCACCAAGCACACATAATAGACATCTACAGAACTCTCCACCCCAAATCAACAGAATATACATAATTTTCAGCACCACACCACACCTACTCCAAAATTGACCACATAGTTGGAAGTAAAGCACTGCTCAGCAAATGTAAAAGAATAGAAATTATGACAAACTGTCTCTCAGACCACAGTGCAATCAAACTAGAACTCAGGATTAATAAACTCACTAAAAACAGCTCAACTACATGGAAACTGAACAACCTGCTCCTGAATGACTACTGGGTACATAATGAAATGAAGGCAGAAATAAAGATGTTCTTTGAAACCAATGAGAACAAAGACACAAAATAGCAGAATCTCTGCGACACATTCAAAGCAGTGTGTACAGGGAAATTTATAGCACTAAATGCCCACAAGAGAAAGCAGGAAAGATCTAAAATTGACACCCTAACATCCCAATTAAAAGAACTAGAAAAGCAAAAGCAAACGCATTCAAAAGTTAGTAGAAAGCAAGAAATAACTAAGATCAGAGCAGAACTGAAGGAAATAGAGACACAAAAAACCTTTCAAAACATTAATGCATCCAGGATCTGGTTTTTTGAAAAGATCAACAAAATTGATAGACCACTAGCAAGTCTAATAAAGAAGAAAAGAGAGAAGAATCAAATAGACGCAATAAAAAATGATAAAGGAGATATCACCACTGATCCCACAGAAATACAAACTACCATCAGAGAATACTATAAACACCTCTACGCAAATAAACCAGAAAATCTACAAGAAATGGATAAATTCCTCGATACATACATCCTCACAAGACTAAACCAGGCAGAAGTTGAATCTCTGAATAGACCAATAACAGGCTCTAAATTTGAGGCAATAATC
The DNA here is from genome assembly GCF_000001405.40 of Homo sapiens. NCBI lineage: Eukaryota > Metazoa > Chordata > Mammalia > Primates > Hominidae > Homo > Homo sapiens. Next base: position 56,951,393 of record NC_000023.11, on the reverse strand, counting down.
AATAGCTTACCAACCAAAAAAAGTCCAAGACCTGATGGATTCCCAGCTGAATTCTACCAGAGGTACAAAGAGGAGCTGATACCATTCCTTTTGAAACTATTCCAATGAATAGAAAAAGAGGAAATCCTCCCTAACTCATTTTATGAGGCCAGCATCATCCTGATACAAAGCCAGGCAGAGACACAACCAAAAAAAAAGAATTTGAGACCAATATCCTTGATGAACATCGACACAAAAATCCTCAATAAAATACTGGCAAACCGAATCCAGGAGCACATCAACAAGCTTATCCACCATGATAAAGTGGGCTTCATCTCTGGGATGCAAGGCTGGTTCAACATACACAAATCAATAAAGGTAATCCAGCATATAAACAGAACCGAAGACAAAACCCACATGATTATCTCATTAGATGCAGAAAAGGCCTTTGACAAAATTCAACAACCCTTCATGCTAAAAACTCTCAATAAATTAGGTATTGATGGGACGTATCTCAAAATAATAAGAGCTATCTATGAGAAACCCACAGCCAATATCATAATGAATGGGCAAAAACTGGAAACATTCCCTTTGAAAATGGGCACAAGACAGGGAAGCTCTCTCTCACCACTCCTATTCAACATAGCGTTGGAAGTTCTGGCCAGGGCAATCAGGCAGGAGAAGGAAATAAAGGGTATTCAATTAGGAAAAGAGGAAGTCAAATGGTCCCTGTTTGCAGATGACATGATTGTATATCAAGAAAAACCTATCGTCTCAGCCCAAAATCTCCTCAAGCTGATAAGCAACTTCAGCAAAGTCTCAGGATAAAAAATCAGTGTGCAAAAATCACAAGCATTCCTCTCCACCAATAACAGACAAACAGAGAGCCAAATCATGAGTGAACTCCCATTCACAATTACTTCAAAGAGAATAAAATACCTAGGAATCCAACTTAAAAGGGATATGAAGGACCTCTTCAAGGAGAACTGCAAAGCACTGCTCCATGAAATAAAAGAGGATACAAACAAATGGAAGAACATTCCATGCTCATGGGTAAGAAGAATCAATATCATGAAAATGGCCATACTGCCTAAGGTAATTTATACATTCAATGCCATCCCCATCAAGCTACCAATGACTTTCTTGACAGAATTGGAAAAAACTACTTTAAAGTTCATATGGAACCAAAAAAGAGCCTGCCTCACCAAGTCAATCCTAAGCCAAAAGAACAAAGCTGGAGGCATCACGCTATCTGACTTCAAACTATACTACAAGGCAACACTAACCAAAACAGCATGGTACTGCTCCAAAAGAGAGATATAGACCAATGGAACAGAAGAGAGCCCTCAGAAATAATGCCACATATCTACAACTATCTGATCTTTGACAAACCTGACAAAAACAAGCAATGGGGAAAGGATTCCCTATTTAATAAATGGTACTGGGAAACTGGATAGCTATATGTAGAAAGCTGAAACTGGATCCCTTCCTTATACCTTACACAAAAATTAATTCAAGATGGATTAAAGACTTAAATTTTAGACTTAAAACCATAAAATCCCTAGAAGAAAACCTAGCCAATACCATTCAGGACATAGGCATGGGCAAGGACTTCATGTCTAAAACACCAAAAGCAATGGCAACAAAAGCCAAAATTGACAAATGGGATTGAATTAAACTAAAGAGCGTCTTCACAGCAAAAGAAACTACCATCAGAGTGAACAGGCAACCTACAGAATGGGAGAAAATTTTTGCAACCTACTCATCTGACAAAGAGCTAATATCCAGAATCTACAATGAACTCAAACAAATTTACAAGAAAAAAACAACCCCATCCAAAAGTGGGTGAAGGATATGAACAGACACTTCTCAAAAGAAGACATTTATGCAGCCAAAAGACACATGAAACAATGCTCATCATCACTGGCCATCAGAGAAATGCAAATCAAAACCACAATGAGATACCATCTCACACCAGTTAGAATGGCAATCATTAAAAAGTCAGGAAACAACAGGTGCTGGAGAGGATGTGGAGAAATAGGAACACTTTTACACTGTTGGTGGGACTGTAAACTAGTTCAACCATTGTGGAAGTTAGTGTGGAATTTCCCCAGGGATCTAGAAGTAGAAATACCATTTGACCCAGCCATCCCATTACTGGGTATATACCCAAAGGATTATAAATCATGCTGCTATAAAGACACATGCACACGTGTGTTTATTGTGGCACTATTCACAATAGCAAAGACTTGGAACCAACCCAAATGTCCAACAATGATAGACTGGATTAAGAAAATGTGGCACATATACACCATGGAATACTATGCAGCCATTAAAAATGGTGAGTTCATGTCCTTTGTAGGGACATGGATGAAACTGGAAACCATCATTCTCAGCAAACTATCACAAGGATAAAAAACCAAACACTGCATGTTCTCACTCATAGGTGGGAATTGAACAGTGAGAATACATGGACAAAGGAAGAGGAACGTCACACACCGGGGACTGTTGTGGGGTGGTGGGAGGGGGGAGGGATAGCATTAGGAGATATACCTAATGCTAAATAATGAGTTAATGGGGGCAGCACACCAACATGGCACATGTATACATATGTAACAAGCCTGCAGGTTGCGCATATGTACCCTGAAACTTAAAGTATAATAACAATACAATTTTAAAAAAAGGACTCACTACCTGATCTCCAAGCCAAATAATAGACTGTTTTAAATCATTAATTTGATTAGCCAATTTTTGATCAATGCCTTGTTGAGAATTCCACATTGGGGTGGAATTGGCTTGCCAATCATTACCAAAATGAGCCATTTGAATAGATTGATGTAACGCCATTCTGGCAGTGGTGGCCAGTGCAGTGACTGTAATTAGGCCCATGATCACAGCGATTAAAGTGAAAACAAATCTCTTAGATCTTTTTAGAATTTGCTGTAACACTTCATTAATTAAATGTATTGAGTGGGAGGATTCCCAAGATCTGGGCAAAGTTATCAGAATCCAGATTCCTTCTCGAGCTTGAACCAACATTACACTTTTCCTGGAGTCAAAATGGGAGTTAATACAAGTGTATTAATGACAATTAATGCATTGGACAGTTTGATTGTTCGTCCAAGTTTTGATATTTCCCACTAACAGCATGTAAGGAGGCTTAACACAACTCTGTATGAGAACAGTCAGGTTGGAGGTAAGTAAAGCAGAATATCTGGATCTATGTTGATACTGAGAGATGGGGGCGGTAGCAGGGACAACAGACAGAATAGTTTCCCCTACCCATAATTGCAGTCCAGATATGGCAGTAGCCAATTTCCGAAGTTCTGGGTGTTCTGGGCTCCAAATGGGGCTATCATATGAGGCCTCGGGGAGTGGGGGCCAGTAATGCCTTTATCTTCCCATTTTAAGGGAAGGAATGAGCTGAACCTCCTATGAAAAGTAGAATGATGATTCTCATTCTCCTGATAAGAAAACAAGTAGCCTCCAGGCATTCCCTTCCGCCAAAGGAGCAGTTGTTCTTTAAATAGCCCTTTGGTGCTCAGACTATTACTAAACCATATGAGTCATTTCTTAATATTACTGCATGTGAGTTAACACAATCTTCCCAAATTAAGGTTTTAGATGGGCCCTCAAAACTTTTAGGGCATGGTTTTCCTGCAGGTTTATATTGAAAGTATGGGGTATCTCCCATTACTCCCCCTTTCATTTGTTTTAAAGGAGAAAGGGAGAGGCTGGAGACCAAATGTCCCAGTTCTTCGGTAGCTGATCTCTCCAGAAGATAAGCAGCCCAGATTTGAGTTTCTACCTGGATACAACCAGGTGCATATCCGAGGCACAGAGGGGGGTATTTATAACCCATGGTAACATTAAATGCAGTGCCTTCTCCTGGTTGAGCAGGGCAGCGGTCTTCTTTAGGTCCAGGCATCCACACACTATCGTTAGTGTAGATTTCCACAGGAGCATCCATCCAGGTGAGAGGTCGAATACGTGGAGGAAAAGGCACATAAGCCCAATAAGAATAATTTCGTTTAGCAGGTAAATCAGTATGAGAGGAAACTGGTGAGACAGAAAGCATAAGGAGGAGAATCATTAAATAAAATCTAGTGTAAGTGAGATTGGGTGCTGAAGGAGGACGAGAAGAACAGAAGGATGTTATTTTCAGGCTAATAGAAATGGTCAGATTTTTAGGTTTGTAAGGAGAAAAAGAAAGGTAATCAGGAGAAGTGGCATTAGTTAGATGGGTCTCCATTCCCATCAGGGAGGATTGAATCAGACCCATTGTGATTTGGTGTGCCAACTTCCAAGGAGTTGGCACAGATCTCACCACATCTGAGGGCAGTCTCTGACATGGACGTCTTTTCCCTGTGGTTTTCGTTGTCAGTATTCACCCAAAGCTTGAGTCTCCTGGTGGGTACCCAGACAGGGGATTGATGATCTCCTGGTGAAACACAAGCATATCCTCTTTCCCATGTTATAATTGTGCCAGGTTCCCAGGTATTGGTTTGGGAGTTTTTCCATAACATGGGCTTGCCCTTGTTTAGGGAGAATTTTTTGCCTGTATAATGGCCTTTGGCTGCAGTTAGATTTTTATCTTTAGGAACATTTTAAAAATTTAAAGTACACAATGCCAAATGTAATTGGGAATGGGTGGTAGTTAAATTATGTTTTTGTTGTTCAGACTGTTTGGACAACTGGGTTTTTAAAGTGCGATTGGCCCGTTCCACCACAGCCTGTCCCTGAGGATTGTAAGGGATTCCAGTAATATGGGAAAGTCCTCATTGTTGCATAAATAAATCAAAAGCCTTACTAACATATCCAGGGGTGTTGCCTGTCTTTATTTGATATGGAAGCCCCATAACTGCAAAGCAAGAATACAGATTTTTTTTAATATGTGCCGTGCCTTCCCCAGTTTGGCAAGTAGCCCAGATAAAACCTGAGAAGGTATGTACAGAGACATGCACATATGACAGTCTGCCAAAGGAGCTAACATGAGTCACATCCATTTGCAATAAAGCGTTAGGAGTTAGGCCTCTGGGATTAATGCCAGGTTCCTGATTTGGAAGTACAAAAACTTGGCACTGAGGGCAGCTGTGAACAACAAGCTAGCCTGTTTCCAGGTAAGAGCAAATTTATCTTTTAATCCAGCAGCATTGACATGAATGAGATTATGGAACTCCTGAGCCTCTTGGGTTGCAAAAGAGACCAAACCATTGACTTCATGATTACCAGCAGACATGGGTCCTGGTAAAGTGGTATGAGATCTAATATGTGTGATATAGAAAGGGTGTCTACGTTGGCAAACCGCCTGTTGTAACCTTGAAAATAAAGAAGCCAATTCAGAATTATCAGTATGTTTGATAGTAGCAGTTTCTATATTTTTAGTGGCATGTACAACATAAGCAGAATCAGAGACAATATTTAAAGGTTTGGGGAAATCCTGTAAGGCAGTAATCACAGCAATTAACTCTGCCTTTTGAGCAGAGGTATAAGGGGTAGAAATAAGCTTGCCTGTAGGACCTACCTAACCATCATTGCCATTACTGGAGCCATCAGTGAACACCGTAATGGCCTCAGGAATGGGCTGATCTTTGGTTAATCGAGGGACCACCCAAGATGTCATTTTTATAAAATCAAGCAATTTGTTCTTTGGATAATGATTGTCAATAACGCCAATAAAATCAGCCAAGTGAATTTGCCATAATACTGAATGTTGAAAGGTGACTGATTTAAAGGAACTACGATTAAATTCAGATCAAATCTGGAAATCTTAAGTATTCTACACCGTGCCTGTCCAATTAGAGTGGCCATTTGATCTAGATAAACAAAGTTGTTGACACAGAATGAGGAAGAAAACACCACTCCACTAAGTCATTATGTTGAACTATTAGTCCAGTAGGGGAGTGTAATGAAGCAAAAACCAGAAGCTGAAAAGGCTGAAACAGCTGTACTCTAGATAACTGGGCGGTCAGGATTCTTTCCTCTATGAATTGCAGTTCTAGTGAAGCCTCAGGGGTCAAAGTCCTGGGACTGCGGAGATTGGAATCTCCCCGCAGCATAGAAAACAAGTTAGACAGTGTATAGGTCGGAATACATAAAGTAGGTATTAAATAATTAATGTTACCCAAAAGTTTTTGGAAGTCATTTAAAGTTTTCAGAGAATCTTTCCTAATTTGAAGTTTTTGAGGTTGAATACGTTGTTTATTGACCACCATTCCTAAATATTGAACAGGAGTGGTCAGTCGAATTTTATCCTGAGCAATGTGTAATCCAGCCTCTGTAACATGGTGGCTCAAACTTTAATAACAGTCAATTAATTCTTTATCAGTGGGGACAGCCATTAAAATATCATCAATACAATGAAGAATATAGGCCTGGGGAAATTGGGCTTGAACTGGTGAAAGCACTTGCCCAACAAAAGCTGGCAGATTGTAGGGCTATTTAGCATTCCCTGAGGAAGTACTTTCCATTGATAATGAGCTGCAGGCTCCTGATTATTGATAGATGGTACAGTAAAAGCAAATTTTTCACAATCCGATTTATGTAAAGCAATATGAAAAAAATCTTTAAGATAAATAACTATGAGAGGCCAATTTTTAGGTATTAAAGCAGGAGCAGGCATGCCGGATTGGACGGCCCCCATAGGTTTAATTATTAATTAATTAATGGCCCTGAAATCAGTTACCATCCGCCACTTGCCTGATTTCTTTTTTACTAGAAACACAGGAGAATTCCAGGGGGAAAGAGAAGGTTCCACATTTCCAAGTTGTAACTGTTCAGAAACCAAGTGAGTTAAAGCCTCCAGTTTTTCTTTAGAAAGTGGCCACTGCTCTATCCAAACAGGTGTGTCAGATTTCCATTGTAAAGGGATAGGATCAGGAGGCTTGGCAGTGGCCACCACTAAAAAGGATAACCTAAACCAGCCCTGTCTTATTTTACAGTAATTGGGAGGGGTTTAGTAATCCCTTCATGTTTTGGACCGAGACGGAGTCCAGGAACAAACCCCATGTTTTCTATCATATGCTGACTGGAAGCACTGTGAGAGTTATGTGGAATATTAATTTCAGCCCTGCATTGTGCCAGCAAATCTCTACCCCAAAGATTAATGGGAATTGGCATGATATAGGGCTGAATTGTACCCTTTTGACCATCAGGACCAGTGCAAGGCAAGATAAATGTGCTCTCATAAACTTCCTCAGCTTTTCTGACACCTACTAGTCCCATGTTAGCACGATGTTTAAGCCAGGAGGAAGGCCATAAACTAGAGGAAATAACAGAAACATCAGCCTCAGTACTAGGCCCTCAAACTTTTTTCCTTGTATGTGTATGGTGCAGGTGGGCCATTGTTTAGAAATTATATTAATTCACTAAGCGGCCTTTTCACCACTGGAGCCAATCCCAGTGCCACGTGTCTTATTTCCTTTGTTTAAAATGATATTAGGTAGTAAAAGCAATCGAGCAATTGACTCACCAGCCAGAATGGAAACAGGAACCTTAGCAGACACGACTAATTTAATCTCATCAACGGAATCAGAATTAATGATACCAGTATGAATGGTGATTCCTTTAGCAGAGGTGGATGCCCTACCTAACACCAGGCCCACCGAACCTTGAGGTAAAGGGCCAGTGACCCCCGTGGGGACAATTAAAGGCAAAGAGTTAAGTAGAAAATTTAGAGGAATAATACTACAGAGATTGACCGTCCTGCCACCTACCGTGGAGGTGGACAAGCACTGTACTGAGACAGAAGGAGAGGCTGGGACCCATTTGGGTTGGCTGTAGGTAAACTTTTTTGTCCTGGGGGCTGCACTGGGACCACCCAAAGCGGAAACACAACATTGGTATGAGTCTGAAGTGTCCCATTTGATATTGGGGCCTGGGACCAGCCCCGCTCCCCATTGTGGCAGGGGGTTTCCATCTATATCATACTTAGAGCAGCAATTACTTGCCCAATGTTTACCTTTGTGACAACATGGGCAAACAGTAGCAGCAGCATTTGGCCGTGTTTGTTGAGCCAGCTTGGCCACTTTTAAGTTTTTAACAGTGCAGTTTTTTCTAGTATGACCAAATTGACAGCAATTATAGCAGGCTCCAAGAAAAGAATTAGTGGGACCAGTTTGGTTGGTGTCCTTCATGGCCCATGCCAACAGAATAGCTTTGTGGGTGTCTTACCCAATGCCTTCACAAGCTTTAATATATACAGGCAACACCTCCTGATCAGGTAAATTTTGTCGTTGGACAGAAGGCATGGCCATTTTACACTCATGGTTCGCATTTTCAAAAGCTAACGAAGGAGAATACCTTGAGTGCGCTCATCAGAGACAGATTTTTCAACAGCATCTTGTAATTTAGCTAAGAAATCAGGGTATAATTCAGAGTGACCTTGTTTAACTGTGGTGAAAGAAACAGGAGCTTGGCCTGGAGTGCGTAATTTATCCCAAGCTCTCATACACACCTTTGTTACTTGTTCCGTGGTAAGAGCATCAAAGTTTAATTTGGCATAAGCATCAGAGAAACTATTGAAGCCTGTGAGCTGAGCCTGAGTAATGAGAATGTCATTAGTCCGATTTAGCTGAGCCTGCAAATGGGCCTCTTCTGACCACCAGGTACGAAATTGTAAATGCTGAGATGGGGTTAGAACAGCTTTTGCCAAAAGGTCCCAGTCTAAAGGAAGCAAAATGACCTCAGTATAAAAAGTTTGTAATACCATTTTAACTAAGGAGAAGTAGGACAATATTGAGTACAAGCATCCTTAAATTCTTTTAAAAAGGTAAGATTAAGAGGTACATGTTGATGCATTTGTACCCCTTGGAAGTTAGGTGGGTCTAGCATGACCGGGTAAGTTCATGCATCTAATTCACTTGTTTCTTTGTTTTGGCGTAATAAGCATTGCATTGAAGTTTCAAGAGTAGACATCTGAGATGGAGTAGGCATAGAAGTGACAGGAAAAGCATGTGTAGATAAGGGAAACTGAGGGTGAGGTTGTCAGACCGCAATGAGAGAATGCCACAAAGATACTCCCCAAGAAGAGCAACTCCAAACACATAATGTCAGATTCACCAAAGTTAAAATGAAGGAAAAAATGTTAAGGGCAGACAGAGAGAAAGGTCGGGTTACCCACAAAGGGAAGCCCATCAGACTAACAGCAGATCTCTTGCCAGAAACTCTACGAGCCAGAAGAGAGTGGGGACCAATATTCAACGTACTTACAGAAAATAATTTTCAACCCAGAATTTCATATCCATCCAAACTAAGCTTCATAAGTGAAGGACAAATAAAATACCTTACAGACAAGCAAATTCTGAGAGATTTCGTCACCACCAGGCCTGCCCTAAAAGAGCTCCTGAATGAAGCACTAAACATGGAAAGGAACAACCAGTACCAGCCACTGCAAAAACATGCCAAAATGTAAAGACCATCAAGGCTAGGAAGAAACTGCGTCAACTAACGAACAAAATAACCAGCAAACATCATAATGACAGGACAAAATTCACACATAACAATATTAACTTTAAATGTAAATGGGCTAAATGCTCCAATTAAAAGACACAGACTGGCAAATTGGATAAAGAGTCAAGACCCATCAGTGTGCTGTATTCAGGAAACCCATCTCACATGCACAGACACACATAGGCTCAAAATAAAGGGATGGAGGAAGATCTACCAAGCAAATAGAAAACAAAAAAAAAGGCAGGGGTTGCAATCCTAGTCTCTGATAAAACAGACTTTAAACCAACAAAGATCAAAAGAGACAAAGAAGGCCATTACATAATGGTAAAGGGATCAATTCAACAAGAAGAGCTAACTATCCTACATATATATGCACCCAATACAGGAGCACCCAGATTCATAAAGCAAGCCCTTAGTGACCTACAAAGAGACTTAGACTCCCACACGATAATAATAGGAGACTTTGACACCCCACTGTCAACATTAGACAGATCAATGAGACAGAAAGTCAAAAAGAATACCCAGGAATTGAACTCAGCTCTGCACCAAGTGGACCTAATAGACATCTACAGAACTCTACACACCAAATAAACAGAATATACATTTTTTTTCAGCACCACGCCACACCTACTCCAAAATTGACCACATAATTGGAAGTAAAGCACTCCTCAGCAAATGTAAAAGAACAGAAATTATAACAAACTGTCTCTCAGACCAGAGCGCAATCAAACTAGAACTCAGGATTAAGAACCTCACTCAAAACCGCTCAACTACATGGAAACTGAACAACCTGCTCCTGAATGACTACTGGGTACATAACGAAATGAAGGCAGAAATAAAGGTGTTCTTTGAAACCAACGAGAACAAAGACACAAAATAGCAGAATCTCTGGGACACATTCAAAGCAGTGTGTAGAGGGAAATTTATATCACAAAATACCCACAAGAGAAAGCAGGAAAGATCCAAAATTGACACCAAAACATCACAATTAAAAGAACTAGAAGAGCAAGAGCAAACACATTCAAACCCTAGCAGAAGGCAAGAAATAACTAAAATCAGAGCAGAACTGAAGGAAATAGAGACAAAAAAAAAAAAAACTCTTCAAAAAATTAGTGAATCCAGGAGCTGGTTTTTTGAAAAGATCAACAAAACTGATAGACCGCTAGCAAGATTAATAAGAAGAAAAGAGAGAAGAATCAAATAGACACAATAAAAAATTATAAAGGTGATATCACCACCGATCCCACAGAAATACAAACTACCATCAGAGATTACTACAATCACCTCTATGCAAATAAACCAGAAAAATCTACAAGAAATGGATAAATTCCTCGACACATAAACCCTCCCAAGACTAAACCAGGAAGAAGTTGAATCTCTGAATAGACCAATAACAGGCTCTGAAATTGTGGCAATAATCAATAACTTACCAATCAAAAAAAGACCAGGACGAGATGGATTCACAGCCAAATTCTACCAGAGGTACAAGGAGGAGCTGGTGCCATTCCTTCTGAAACTATTCCAATCAATAGAAAAAGAGGGAATCCTCCCTAAGTCATTTTATGAGGCCAGCATCATCCTGATACCAAAGCCTGGCAGAGACACAACAAAAAAAGAATTTTAGACCAATATCCTTGATGAACATTGATGCAAAAGTCCTCAATAAAATACTGGCAAACCGAATCCAGCAAGACATCAAAAAGCTTATCCACCATAATCAACTGGGCTTCATGCGTGTGATGCAAGGCTGGTTCAACATTCGGAAATCAATAAACGTAATCCAGCATATAAACAGAACCGAAGACAAAAACCACATGATTATCTCAATAGATGCAGAAAAGGCCTTTGACAAAATTCAAAAACCCTTCATGCTAAAAACTCTCAATAAATTAGGTATTGATGGGACTTATCTCAAAATAATAAGAGCTATTTATGACAAACCCACAGCCAATATCATAATGAATGGGCAAAAACTGGAAGCATTCCCTTTGAAAACTGGCACAAGAGAGGTATGCCCTCTCTCACCGCTCCTATTCAACATAGTGTTGGAAGTTCTGGCCAGGGCAATTAGGCAGGCGAAGGAAATAAAGGGTATTCAATTAGGAAAAGAGGAAGCCAAATGGTCCCTGTTTGCAGATGACATGATTGTATATCTAGAAAACTCCATCGTCTCAGCCCAAAATCTCAAGCTGATAAGCAACTTCAGCAAAGTCTCAGGATACAAAATCAATGTACAAAAATCACAAGCATTCTTATACACCAATAACAGACAGAGAGCCAAATCGTGAGTGAACTCCCATTCACAATTGCTTCAAAGAGAATAAAATACCTAGGAATCCAACTTACAAGGGATGTGAAGGACTTCTTCAAGGAGAACTACAAACCACTGCTCAATGAAATAAAAGAGGATACAAACAAATGGAAGAACATTCTATGCTCATGGGTAGGAAGAATCAATATCGTGAAAATGGCCATACTGCCCAAGGTAATTTATAGAGTCAATGCCATCACTATCAAGCTACCAATGACTTTCTTCACAGAATTGGAAAAAACTACTTTAAAGTTCATATGGAACCAAAAAAGAGCCCACATCACCAAATCAATCCTAAGTCAAAAGAACAAAGCTGGAGGCATCACGCTACCTGACCTCAAACTATACTACAAGGCTACACTAACCAAAACAGCATGGTACTGGTATCAAAAAAGAGATATAGATCAATGGAACAGAACAGAGCCCTCAGAAGTAATGCCACATATTTACAACCATCTGATCTTTGACAAACCTGACAAAAACAAGCAATGGGGAAAGTATTTCCTATTTAATAAATGGGGCTGGGAAAACTGGCTATCCATATGTAGAAAGCTGAAACTGGATCCCTTCCTTACACCTTATACAAAACTTAATTCAAGATGGATTAAAGACTTACATGTTAGACCTAAAACCATACAAACCCTAGAAGAAAACCTAGCCAATACCATTCAGGACATAGGCATGGGCAAGGACTTCATGTCTAAAACACCAAAAGCAATGGCAACAAAAGCCAAAATTGACAAATGGGATCTACCTAAACTAAAGAACTTCTGCACAGGAAAAGAAACTACCATCAGAATGAACAGGCTACCTACAGAATGGGAGAAAATTTTTGCAACCCACTCATCTGACAAAGGGCTAGTATCCCGAATCTACAATGAACTCAAACAAATTTACAAGAAAAAACAAACAACCCCATCCAAAAATGGGCAAAGGATATGAACAGACACTTCTCAAAAGAAGACATTTATGCAGGCAAAAAACACATGAAAAATTGCTCACCATCACTGGCCATCAGAGAAATGCAAATCAAAACCACAGTGAGATACCATCTCACACCAGTTAGAATGGTGATCATTAAAAAGACAGGAAGCAACAGGTGCTGGAGAGGATGTGGAGAAACAGGAACATTTTACACTGTTGGTGGGACTGTAAACTAGTTCAACCATTGTGGAAATCAGTGTGGCGATTCCTCAGTGATCTAGAACTGGAAATACCATTTGACCCAGCCATCCCATTACTGGGTATATACCCAAAGGATTATAAATCATGCTGCTATAAAAACACATGCACACGTATGTTTATTGCGGCACTGTTCATAATAGCAAAGACTTGGAATGGACCCAAATGTCCAACAACGATAGACTGGATTAAGAAAATGTGGCACATATAAACCATGGAATACTATGCAGCCATAAAAATTGATGAGTTCATGTCCTTTGTAGGGACATGGATGAAGCTGGAAACCATCATTCTCAGCAAACTATGACAGGAACAGAAAACCAAACACTGCATGTTCTCACTCATAGGTGGGAATTGAACAATGAGAACACATGGACACAGGAAGGGGAACATCACACTCCAGGGACTGTTGTGGGGTGAGGGGAGGTGGCAGGGATAGCATTAGGAGATATACCTAATGTTAAATGATGAGTTAATGGGTGCAGCACACCAACATGGCACATGTATACATATGTAACAAACCTGCACATTGTGCACATGTACCCTAAAAGTTAAAGTGTAATAACAATATAATTAAAAAGGAAAAAAAAAGAGCTAACTATCCTACATATAAATCCACCCAATACAGGAGCAGCCAGATTCATAAAGCAAGTCCTTAGAGACCTACATAGAGACTTTGACTCCCACACAATAATAATGGGAGAGTTTAACACCCCACTGTCAACATTAGGCAGATCAATGAGACAGAAAGTTAACCAGGATATCCAGGAATTGAACTCAGCTCTGCACCAAGCGGTCCTAGTAGACATCTACAGAACTCTCCACCCCAATTCAACAGAATATACATTCTTCTCAGCACCACATCGCACTTATTCCAAAATTGACCACATAGTTGGAAGTAAAGCATTCCTCAGCAAATGTAAAAGAACAGAAATTACAAGAAACTGTCTCTCAGACCACAGTGAAATCAAATTAGAACTCAGGATTAAGACACTCATTCAAAACCGCTCAACTACATGGAAACTGAACAACCTGCTCCTGAATGACTACTGGGTACATAACGAAATGAAGGCAGAAATAAAGATGTTCTTTGAAACCAATGAGAACAAAGACAAAACACACCAGAATCTCTGGGACAAAACGAAAGCAGTGTGTAAAGGGAAATTTATAGCACTAAATGCCCACAAGAAAAAGCAGGAAAGATCTAAAATTGACACCCTAACATCACAATGATAAGAGCTAGAGAAGCAAGAGCAAACATATTCAAAGGCTAGCAGAAGGCAAGAAATAACTAAGATGAGAGCAGAACTGAAGGAAATAGAGACACAAAAAATCCTTCAAAAATCAATGAATCCAGACGCTTGTTTTTTGAAAAGATCAACAAAATTGATAGACCACTAGCAAGACTAATAAAGAAGAAAATAGAATAATCAAATAGATGCAATAAAAAATGATAAAGGGGATATCACCACTGATCCCACAGAAATACAAACTACCATCAGAGAATACTATAAACACCTCTATGCAAATAAACTAGAAAATCTAGAATAAATGGACAAATTCCTTGACACATACACCCTCCCAAGACTAAACCTGGAAGAAATTGAATTCCTGAATAGACCAATAACAGGCTCTGAAATTGAGGCAATAGTTAGTACCCTACCAACCAAAAAAAAGCCCAGTAAGAGACAGATTCACAGCCAAATTCTACCAGAGCTACAAGGAAGAGCTGGTACCATTCCTTCTGAAACTATTCCAATCAATAGAAAAAGGGGGAATCCTCCCTAAGTCATTTTATGAGGCCAGCATCATCCTGATACCAAAGCCTGGCAGAGACACAACAAAAAAAGAGAATTTTAGACCAATATCCCTGATGAACACTGATGCAAAAATCCTCAATAAAATACTGGCAAACCAAATCCAGCAGCACATCAAAAAGCTTATCCACCATGATCAAGGGGCTTCATCCGTGTGATGCAAGGCTGGTTCAACATACGCAAATTAATAAACATATTGCAGCATATAAACAGAACCAAAGACAAAAACCACATGATTATCTCAATAGATGCAGAAAAGGCCTTTGACAAAATTCAACAACCCTTCATACTAAAAACTCTCAATAAATTAAGTATTGATGGGACGTATCTCAAAATAATAAAAGCTATCTATGACAAACCCACAGCCAATATCATACTGAATGGGCAAAACTGGAAGCATTTCCTTTGAAAACTGGCACAAGACAGGGATGCTCTCTCTCATCACTCGTATTCAACATAGTGTTGGAAGTTCTGGCCAGGGCAATCATGCAAGAGAAAGAAATAAAGGGTATTCAATTAGAAAATGGGAAGCCAAATTGTCCCTGTTTGTAGTTGACATGATTGTATATTTAGAAAACCCCATCGTCTCAGCCCAAAATCTCCTTAAGCTGATAAGCAACTTCAGAAAGTCTCAGGATACAAAATCAATGTGCAGAAATCACAAGCATTTTTATACACCAGTAAAAGACAAACAGAGAGCCAAATCATGAATGAACTCCCATTCACAATTGCTTTAAAGAGAATAAAATACCTAGGAATCCAACTTACAAGGGATGTGAAGGACCTCTTCAAGGAGAACTACAAACCACTGCTCAACGAAATAAAAGAGGACACAAACAAATGGAAGAACATTGAATACTCATGGATAGAAGAATTAATATCGTGAAAATGGCCATACTGCCTAAGGTAATTTATAGATTCAATGCCGTCCCCATCAACCTACAAATGACTTTCTTCACAGAATTGGAAAAAACTACTTTAAAGTTCATATGGAACCAAAAAGAGCCCTCAGTGCAAAGACAATCCTAAGCCAAAAGAACAAAGCTGGAGGCATCACACTACCTGACTTCAAAGTATACTACAAGGCTACGGTAACCAAAACAGCATGGTACTGGTACCAAAACAGAGTTATAGACCAATGGAACAGAACAGAGCCCTCAGAAATAATACCACCACATCTATAAACATCTGATCTTTGACAAACCTGACAAAAAGAAGCAATGGGGAAAGGATTCTTGGTGCAGAGCTGAGTTCAATTCCTGGATATCCTTGTTAACTTTCTGTCTCATTGATCTGTCTAATGTTGACAGTGGGTTGTTAATGTCTCCCAGTATTATTGTGTGGGAGTCTAAGTCTCTTTGTAGGTCTCTAAGGGCTTGCTTTATGAATCTCGGTGCTCCTGTATTTTGTGCATATATATTTAAGATAGTTAGTTCTTCTTGTTGAATTGATCCCTTTACCATTATGTAATGGCCTTCTTTGTCTACAAGAGTCTACAGAGGCAGGCAGATTTTCTTGAGCTGCAGTGGGCTCCACCCAGCTCGAGCTTCCCAGTCACTTTGTTTACCTACTCAGGCCTCAGCAATGGCGGCAGCCCCTCCCCCAGCCTCGCTGCCAGGTTGCAATTCAATCTCAGACTGCCGTGCTGGCAGTGAGTAAAGCTCCATGGGTGTAGGACCCTCTGAGACATGTGCGGGATATAATCTCCTGGTGTGCCGTTTGCTAAGACCATTGGAAAAGCGCAGTATTAGTGTGGGTGTGACTCGATTTTCCGGGTGCTGTTTGTCACCCCTTCCCTTGCTTAGGAAAGGGAATTCCCTGACCCCTTGTGCTTCCCGGGTGAGGTGATGCCTTGCCCTGCTTCAGCTCATGCTCGCTTTGCTGCACCCACTCTCCTGCAGCCACTGTCTGACAATCTCAGTGAGATGAACACAGTACCTCAGTTGGAAATGCAGAAATCACCCGTATTCTGCTTCACTCATGCTGAGAGCTGTAGACTGGAGCTGTTCCTATTCAGCCATCTTGGAACTGCCCCCCAGCACTTGTATACCTATGTAAAAAACCTGCACATTCTGCACATGTACCCCAGAACTTAATGTATAATAATAATTTTTAAAAATCAAAAACTTTTGTATTTTCTCTTTTGACCCTATTTTCTTGATCCTGTATTCATGCTTTGTTGTTTTTTATTCTTTCTTCTTTTGTCTCTGACTGTGTATTTTTTCTTTTATCATATTTTTTTTCTGAAATGGAGTCTTGCACTGTGGCCTGGGTGGGAGTGCAATGACATAATCACTGTGTATTTTCAGAAAGCCTGTCTTCAAGCTCACTACTTCTTTCTTCTGCGTGATCAATTCTCCTATTGAAAGTCTCTAATGCATTCCTCACTATTCCTACTGCATTTTTCAGCTCCAGTATTTTTGATCGATTTTTTAAAATTATTTTAATCTTTTGGTTAAAATTATCTGATGGAATTCTGAATTTCTTTGTTATTTTGAATTTGTATTTTAGTTTCCTCAAAACAGCTATATTAAATTATCTGTGTTAAATGTTGGATATTTCTGTTTCTCCAGAACTGGTGCCTTGTGGCTTATGTAGTCCCTTTAGTGAAGTCATGTTTTCCTGGATTTTCTTGATATGCATAGATGCTCTTCTTTTTCCGTGCATTGAAGAATTAGGTATTTACCATACGCTTTGCAGTCTGGATTTGTTTATACCCATGCTTCTCATGAAGGCTTTCCAGATATTTGTAAAAACTTGGATGTTGTAATCTAGGCTGTATCTACTTTAGTGGGCACCCAAAGCACAGTAACCCTTTGGTTATTTCAGACTTTCAGAAGTACCATCTTCATAATCTTGGAGATCTGGGAGAATTCTCTGCATTACCAGGCAGAGACTGTTTTTTTCTCTTACTTTCTTCTAAACAAAAAGGATCTCTCTCTCTCTCTCTCTGTCTGTCTGTCTGTCTCTCTCCCAACCCACCTAAAGCTGGAGGTGGAGTGACACAAGCTTCCCTGTGGCCACCAGCACTGTGACTGCACTAGTCTAGAACTGAAACCTGAACAGCACTGGGTCTTGCTGAAGGACTGCTGTAACCACTTTCTGGCTACAGCTTATTTTCATTCAATGCCCTGGTCCTTACAATCAGCAGGTGGCAAAGGTAGCCAGGCTTGTGTTTTTCCCTGCAGTTCTCCGAGTTCCACAAAGCTCCACATGGGTCCCATGGTGCCATATGGGAGCCAAGGATTAGATTCAAAACCTTAGAATTTTACCTGATTTTCTATTTTCCTGTGGCTTAGCTGGCAACCAAACCACAAGATGCAGTTTTTCCCACTCTTCCCTCCCATTTCAGTAGACAGAAGAGTCTCACCCTGTGGCCACCACTACCAAGGGCCCATGGGTGGTACTGTCAAACCAATGCCACTGCTCCCTTAAGGCTGAAGTGCTCTTGTGTCAACTTGTGATGAATGCTGCCTGGCCTGAGACTCACTTTTTTGGACAGTGTGCTCCCCTCTGGCTCAGGGCTGGCTCAGAAATGCTGCCCAAGAGCCAAGCTGTGAAACCAGGGTTCCTAAGGGTCCACTTGGTGCTCTACCTTCCTGTGGGTGAGCTGGTACCTGAAGCCAGAATGTCACCAGTTCTCACCCAAAGCCCTTGACAGTACCTGTGTATCACTGCTGTTTATTCAGGGCCCAAGAGTTCTTTCATTAGCAGGTGATTAATGCTACCAGGGCTGGATTCTTTCTTTCCAGGCAGTGGTTTGCCTTCTGGCCCAGAGTTTGTTTGTCTAGTATTGTTATCCAGAAGCTAGAGCCTGGAAAGGGGCCCTCAGGACTTTGACCATTGCCTTGTCCTGCTGTGGCTGAGCTGGTATCCAAAATGCAAAAAAATGTCCTCCCCATGCTTTTCTCTCCTTTGCTAAAGCGGATTGAAGGGGACTGCAGGTCTTTGGGAGCTTCAAACTATACAGTTTGGGCTTAGGGGAGGGCTGATGCCAGCTCTCTCTTAGCCACCCCAGTTGATGTCTCAGTAAGTTATGTGCCATGCATTCTACTTGTTCTGGGACTAGTTTGACACTAAAATTCATCCAGGGGTTACATTTATTGTGGCATAGAGTGACTTTTGAGTTTATTTAGAGCCCCGGAGCACTTTAGCCCTGGTGTTGAGGTTTGCAGAACTCAAGTTTGGACAACTGGGATCAACCATTCTCCTCTGGCTAGGGCTGGTTTCAATGCTCCCTCCATAAGAGCATTTATACAACCAGTCCAGTTGTTGGGGGTCTGGTTTTTCTTTCTGGTCTAACAATACACCACTGAGTTAGATGTTTCACAATTACTGAACACTCTTTCATCCAGTCCGCAGAAAACCTCTCCACATCACACCACTGCTGCTGGGAGGTTGATGAAGGGTGGTTTCAGTGATTCAAACCTTTTTTTTTTTTAATGATTTCAGTGCCTCTTTTAGCAACAGAAAGTTAAAACCAGGTACTGTGAGTGCTCACCTTATTATTGATTCTTATGAAGGTGCTTTATTGTGTAGATTTTTTTTTTTTTGAGATACAGTCTCACTCTTCCCCAGGCTGGAGTGCAGTGGGACAGTCTCAGCTCACTGCAACCTCAGCCTCTCAGGTTCAAGTGGTTCTCTTGCCTCAGCCTCCTGAGTAGCTGGGACTACAGGCACGTGCCACCACACCTTGCTAATTTTTGTATTTTTAGTAAAGATGGGGTTTCAGCTTGTTGGCCAGGCTGATCTCAAACTTTTGACTTCAAGTAATCTGCCCACCTCAGCCTCCCAAAGTGCTGGGAATACATGCATGAGCCACAGCACTTGGCCTATTGTGTAATTATTAAATTGGTGTTCTTTCCAGGGGGATGATCAGTGGAGCCTTCTATTCCACCATCTTGCTCCACCTCTCTCTCTTCTCTCTTGCTCTGCCTTTCTTTCTCATTGTGGTTTATCAAATATTTTCTCCAAATCTGTAGGTTACCTTTTTATTTTGTTGACCATTTTTTCTCCTGTGCAGTTTTTTTTAGTTTGATGTAGTTCCATTTGTTTATTTATGCTTTTGTTGCCTTTACTTTTGTTGTCATATACAAATAGTCACTACTAAGGCCAAAGTCAAGAAATTTTTTCCTATGTTTTCTCCTAGAAGACATATAATTTCAAATCTTATATTTAAATCTTTAATTCAGTTTTTAATTTTTTGTGGTGTAAGATAAGCGTCTAATTTTATTCTTTTGCATAGAGATATCCAGTTTCCCAGTACCATTAATTAATGAGATCTTTTTCACTGTGTATTCTTGATGCTCTTGTTGAAAATTAGTTCACTGTGTAAAAGGAAAATAAGACTCGGGACCCCCAAATCAGTAAGTTAAAGGAAAAAGTTAACCTGGGAACTGCATTGGGAAAACCTGCCTCTCATTCTATTTCTAAATACGATAGCTACAAAGATAAAGAAACTACAGCGGGGTGCGGTGGCTCATATCTGTAATCCCAGTACTTTGGGAGGCCAAGGCGGATGGATCACTAGGTCAGGAGTTTGAGACCAGCCTGACTAACATGGTGAAACTCCATCTTTACTAAAAATACACAAATTAGCTGGGTGTGGTGGTGCACGCCTGTAATCCCAGCTGCTCAGGAGGCTGAGGCAGGAGAATCACTTGAACCCAGGAGGCAGAGGTTGCATTGAGCCGAGATTGTGCCACTGAACTCCAGCCTGGGCAACAGAGTGAGACTGTCTCAAAAAAAAAAAAAAAAAAAAAAAAAAAAAAAAAAAAAAAAAAAAAAAAAAAGACGCTACCTACCTCCCTCACAATTTGCACACAAGGAATTTCCTTGTGGACAAAGGACAGCAGAATGCAGTCATCCCTCTGCTTGATTGAGACAAATTCTTATCTAATTTCTCTTTTTACCCTATTATTTCACTACACCAGACTAAGGTATAAGTGACAATTTTTATAAATTGTGTATTCAGTGACAGGCTAATCAGAAACTCAAAAGAATGCAAATGTTTGTTTCTTATCTACCTATGACCTAGAAAACCCTTCCTGCTTAGAGCCTGTCCCACCTTTCCAGACCAAACCAGTGTACATCTTATTTATACTGATTGATATCTCATGTCTCCATAAAATGTATAATAGCAAGCTGTGCCCCAACGACCTTGGGCAAATGTCGTCAGGACCTCTTGAGGCTGTCATGGGCATGTCTTTAACCTTGGCAAAACAAACTTTCTAAATTTATTAAGAATTGTCTCAGATATTTGTTGGTTTACAACTGTATATGGTGGGCTTATTTCTGGCCTCTGTGTTCTGTTCCATTTGGTGTATTTGTCTGTTTTCATGCCAATATCATACTGTCTTGATTACTATAGCTTTGTAATATAATTTGAAATTAGGAAGTGTGATTTCTGCAACTCTTTTCTTTTTTTCTCAAGATTGCTTTAGTATTTGGGACCTTTTTTTGTTCTTTTTATATTTTGGAGTTTTTGTTATTTCTGTGAAATATGCCATTGGAATTTTGATGGAGATGGAATTAACTCTGTAGATCACTTTGAGTGGCATGGGCATTTTAATATTAGTTCTTCCAATTCATGAACATGGGATATAATTTTACTTCTGCATTCTACATTTTCTGTCATTAATGTTTTATAGTTTTCAATGTGGAGATAGTTCACCTCCATGGTTAAACTTATTTGTAAAAATTTTATTCTTCATGAAGAAGCAATCAACAGACACTGAGGTTTACTTGAATGAGGAAGGTGAGAGGAGGGAGAGGAGTGGAAAAGATAACTATTGGGTACTGTGCTTAATATCTGAGTGATGAAATAATATGTTCAACAAGCCCCCAAGGTACGTGTTTACCTGATGTAACAAACCTTCACATGTAACTTCAAATGTAATATAAATGTTAGAGAAAAAATTATTCCTTTAGATGCTATCCTGAACGAGATATTTTTAAGTTTTCTTTTCAGATACATCCTTATTGGTGTCAAGAAGTGCATCTGATTTTTCTGTGTTGATTTTGTAACCTGAAACTTTACTATATTCATTGATTTGTTTTGACAGTTTTTTGCTGGAGTCTTTAGTGTTTTCTACATATAGGATTATGTTATGTGAAACAAGCATACTTTTACTTCTTCCTTTCTGATTAGGACGCCTTCCTTTTTTGCTTTTCTTATTGCTATTGCTAGTACTTTCAATACTATGGTAAATAGAAGTGGTGAGAGTGCATAACCTTACATTTTACCAAATCTCAGAGGGAAACCTTTCCATTTTTTTAATTGATTGTAATATTACCTGTGGGCTTTTTATATGTAGCTTTTATTGTGTTCAGTAAATTTTCTTCTATGCTTATTTTGTTGAGTGGCTTTATGTTGAACTTTGTCAAATATTTTTATGCATCTGTTGAGATGATTGTGTGGCTTTTACCTTTTAATTTGTTAACATAAGGTATCTAATGGATTGATTTGCATGTGTCCAACCGCCTTTGCATCCAAGAGACAAATCTCACTTGCTCATGGTGTATAAATTTTTTGGAGTGTTGTTGAATTTGATCTGCTAGTGTTTTTTTCAAGGCTTTTTGCATCATTGTTCATCATATATATTGGCCTGTAGTTTCCTTTTCTCATGGTTTCTTAGTCAGGATTTGGTGTCAGGGTAATGCTGGCCTTCTATAATATAATTGGAAGTATTCCCTCTACTTCTAATTTTTGGAATGATTTAAAGAAACTGTGGACTTGAACAACACTATAGACCAAATAAATGTAACAAACATACACAGAAATTTTTGCCCAACAGCAGAAGAATATAAATTTATCTCAAGTGCTAATGGAACATTCTCTAGGATATTTTACATGTTAGGTCACAAAATGAGCCTTAAAGAATTTAATATTGAAACCATACCAAGCATCTTTTCCAAGCACAAGAACGAAGCTGGAATTCACTAACACCAAAAGAATGAGTAAATTAACAAATATGCTGAAATGAAATAACACACTCTTTTTTTTTTTTTTTTTTTTTTGAGAAGGAATCTTGTTCTGTCACCCAGGCCGGAGTGTAGTGGCGCGATCTCGGCTCACTGCAAGCTCTGCCTTCCAGGTTCATGACTTTCTCCCACCTCAGCCTCCCGAGTAGCTGGGACTACAGGCGCCCACCAACATGCCCGGCTAATTTTTTTTTTTTTTTTTGAATTTTTTAGTAGAGATGGGGTTTCACTGAATAACACACTCTTAAATAACCACTGGGTGAAAGAGGAAATTTAAAAAATAATTTTAAAATATCTTGAGATGGAAAAGAGTAAAAGCATAACTTCCCAAAACTTACAGGATTCAGCAAATGCAATAAACATTTACAGTGTAAACACCTACATTAAAAAAGATGTCAAATAACCTAACTTTATACCTCACAAAACTAGAAAAAGAATAATAACCTAAACCCAAAGTTATCAGTAAAAAAGAAATAATAAAGCTCAGAACAGTAGAGGACAGAAAAAAACTTTTAAAAAAACTGACCAAATTAATAGTTGGTATTTTGAAGATATAAACAAAATCAATGAACTCTTAGCTAGACTAATAGAAGAAGGAAGGGAGGTGGGTCAAGACGGTAGACTAAAAGCTGCTAATGTGCACCACTTTTATGGAGAGAAATAAAAGGGATGAGTAAATACTCCACCATCAACTGAAACATTCGGGTGCATGTTTTGAGATTCATTAAGGAAACAACTCAACTCACGGAGAATAAAGAGGAGCAAGACAGGATGACCGCCCACCCAGAAGCAACATGAAGCCAAGGTAGCCTTTGTCAACCAGGGAAATAGTGAGATAGTAAGAGTAAGAGACCCTGAAAACCCATACTTCTTCCATGGATTTTTGCAACTCAGGGATCAGGAGAACCCCTCACAAACCTACTCCATCAGGGCCTTGAATCTGACACAGAAAGCTACATGGTCTTGGCAGAGTTGCTGCTCAGGCACACACAAGTCCTGGGAGCCTTGGATTCCCAGGCATCCCAGCAATAGCAGCTGCATCTCTGGCAAAGGGGATGGTTATGCTCCCATACATGCACCCAGGAAAGGGGCTGAATCCAAAGAGCTGAGCAATGACAGTCTACAGGCCCCACATACACAGCACCTCGCAGGATAAGATTCTCTGGCCTGTGACTCCAGCCAGCCTCCAATAGCAGCCTTCCCCGAGATGGAGCTCCCAGAGGGAGGGGTGGGCCACTGTCTTTGCCGTTGGCTGTTGCTGCAGCTTCTCTAGGAAAAACGGCCAGTTTTTGTGCATGAGTTCCTGATCCTGTTTCTCCTCGCTGGGTGGGACCTCCCAAAGTTGGTCTCCAGCCACCATATCTGCCAGTGTTTTTGGACCAGCAGCAGCTCTTGTATTTCCCTGGGATGGAGTTACCAGAAGAAGGGCACACCGCCATTTTGGGGTTCTTACAGACTTAGCTGTTATTCCCCTCAGGGTCTAGATGGTCCAGAGATGAATAGGGAATGTAGCAGACCTCCAGAACAGTGCAGCTGCTGTACATAATAGTGGCCACAATTTTTTTTTTTTTTTTTTTTGCTAAAGTCCCGCTACCATTTCTTTTTACTAGGTGGGACCTCCCGACCAGGGTCTTCAGTCACCTCGTGCCAATGTTTTTGGATGAACGGCAGCTCTGTATCTCCCTGGGAGGGAGCTCCTAGAAGGAGGGATGAGCCGCCATCTTTACAATCTCGCAGCCTTAGCTGTTGTTGCCCTCAGGCTCTAGAGAGTCTACAGATAATTAGGGATAGGAACAGACCCTCAGCACAATGCAGCTGCCATACAAAAATCAGGCAGACTGATTTTTCACATGAGTCTCTTATCCCGTTTTTCTTCACTAAGCAGGACCTTCCGACCGGTGTCTCTAGCCAGCAACTGACAGTGTTTTCCAGCTGGCAGCAGCTCCATACTTTCCTGGGATGAAGCTCCCAGAGGGAGGGGAGGGCCACCATCTTTATTGCTTTGCAGTGTTCACTGTTGTTGCCTTCAGGCACTGGAAAGTCTGAGGTGACTAGAGACCGAAGTGGACACCTAGCATAGTGCAGCAGCCCTACAGAAAAACAGCCAGATTTTTTTTATGTGGGTCTCCCATCCCGTTTCTCCTGACAAGATGGGATCCCAGCAAGTAGCCTCTCTGTATCTCCCTGAGACAGAGCTCCCAGTGGGAAGGGTGGTGTGCTATCTTTGTTGTCTCACAGTCCCCGCCTTTGAAGTCTCTGGGCTCTGGAGAGTCTGCAGTGACCAGGGTCTCATACAGATCCTGATCACAGAGCAGATGCCTCATGGAAAAATTTTCAGATTGTCCTCTATGCATATCCTGGTCCTCACTTCTCACTGGGCAGGGCTGCTTGACCTGGGACTCCAGTACAACCACCTTTCCCCTGTCTGATAACTTCAATCAGAGGCAGCTCAGTATCTCTCTGAGGGAAAACCTAAAGTTAACCCACAACCCCTACACCATTGCAGTTGCGGTGGTACTGCCCATGGTCTGAGGAAGGAACAAAGGGACTAGCTGCTATGCTGGTTCCTCCAGCACACAGCAGCCATCATACAAAAAGGAGTCTGGTCCCTCTACCCTGGGAACCCCCACCCCCTACTCTTTACTAGGCAGAGCCCCCAGCACAGAAACACAGAACAGATGCCCCACTCACGGCTGAGCATGCCCACTGGCAGTGGCTCTGAGTTTCCCTGGGGAGAGGCTCCCAGAGGCAAACAACAGCCCCTGTGCCTCTGCACAGCAGCAGTCCTGACCCTGCTTTCCTCTGTCTGGGGAAGAAACAAGGAGCCTGAAGCCTACACCTGAGATTACAGCACACCAAAATCACTATATAGAGAGAAGGCCAGTCTCTCCTCTATGTGAGGTCTTGACATCTCGCTCTCCAACAAGCAGAGCCACTAGTGCACACCAGCAGTGCAGCTGTCCCACTCACCTGGCTGAACACTTACAGTAGCAGCAGCTCCACGTTTCTTGGAGATGGAACCCCCAAGGGCAACCAAAAGCCCTTCTGCCACTGCCTCTGCAGTGGTACTACCCTTGCTATCCTCAGACTGGTGAAGGAGCAAAGACTCTAATTGCCTTGTTCACATCTCCAACAAGCTGCAGTATACCCAAACAGAGGAGGCCATTCTGTCTCCCATGGGTTCCACCCACCTTTTCTGCTCATCACCAGGCAGGGCCGCCTTGTTTTCAGCCCACATCAGTGACACCCCCATCTTGACCTGACTGCCCTGAGCAGTCGCTGCTCTGCAACTCTCTGAGGTGAAGCCTCAGGAGACAAGCGAATGACTCTTGGCTACAACCACTGCTAAGATACCTTCTTCTTCTTCCTACCAGTTGGGCAGGGAATTGAAACCCTGAGATTGCCCCAGAGCTATGGTGGACAGCACAGGAGTGTCAAGCTACAGTGAGTACTCAAGTGGGAGAGAAGGCCACACCTTGAGAGCATTGAGAGAGAGCACTGATGGAACTCTGAAGAAGTATAGGGGAGCCATGTAACTGATCATGAGCCTACTTACTGACCACTACATGTAAGCATCATACACCAAACCATCAACACCAAAAATACTTTACTAATATACACCTTTATGAAATCAAAGACAAGAAGTTAGCTATAAATAAATATGCTGCAATATGCCTCAACCCTGTGAAAATTCCCAGAAAAAAAAAAGGCTACTGACTGTATT
This sequence comes from Homo sapiens, assembly GCF_000001405.40. Taxonomy (NCBI): domain Eukaryota; kingdom Metazoa; phylum Chordata; class Mammalia; order Primates; family Hominidae; genus Homo; species Homo sapiens. Next base: position 56,924,947 of record NC_000023.11, on the reverse strand, counting down.
CAAACTACACTACAGTTAAAGGAACACCCACACAAAGAGATGATAAAGAACCAACACAAGAACTCTGGCAACTCAGATGGCCAGTGTCTTATGTCCTCCAAACGACTGCAATAGTTCTCCAAAAAGTGTTCTTAACAGGGCTGAGTTGGCTGAAATGACAGAAATAAAACACAGACCATGGATAGTGTATTAGTCCATTCTCACACTGTTATAAAGAACTACCTAAGACTGTGTAATTTATAGAGGATAGAAGTGTTTAATTGCCTCATGGTTCTGTAGGCTGTACAGACTTCTTCTTCTAGGGAGGCCCCAGGAAACTTACAATTATAGTGGAAGGCAAAGAGGAAACCGATACATCTTCACATGGCTAGCAGGAGAAAGAGAGACAGCAAAGAGGGGAGTGTTACACACTTTGAAACAACCAGATCTCATGAGAACAGCAAGGAGGATATCTACCCCCATGATCCAGTTACCTCCTACCAGGTCTCTACCCCAATATTGGGGATCAGAGTTCAGCATGATATTTGGGTGGGGACAGAGAACCAAACCATATCAGATAGGAATGACGATTATTGAGATTCAGGAGAATTTAAAAACCCAATCCAAGAAAACTAAGAATCACAATAAAAATGATAATGGACATGACAGACAAAATAGCCATTATAAAAAAGAATCTAACTGACCTGATAGAGCTGAAAAACACACTACAAGAATTTCACAATGCAACCACAACTATTAACAGCAGAACAGACCAAGCTGAAAAAAAACTCTGAGAACGTGAATACTGGCTCTCTGAATAAGACAGACAAAAATAAAGAAAAGAAATTTAAAAATAATGAAAAAAACTTTTGAGAAATATAGAATTATGTAAAGAGGCCAAATCCACAAGTCACTGGTGTCCCTGAAAGAGACGAGGAGGAAGCAAACAGATTGGAAAACATACTTCAGGATAATATTTATGAAATCTTTTCCAACATTGCTATGGAGAGCAGTATTCAAATTCAGGAAATATTGAGAACCCTGGCAAGATACTACACAAGAAGATTATCCCCAAGACACATAATTATCAAATTTTTCAATGTCTAAATGAAAGAAAATGTGTTAAAGGCAGCCTGAGAGAAAGGACAGGTGATCTATAAAGGGAATGCCATCAGGCCAACAACACAATTTTCAGCAGAATCTCTATAATCCAGAAGACATTAGGGGTCTATATTCAACATTTTTAAAAAACAAAATGTCCAACCAAGAATTTCACATCCAGCCAAAATAAGATTCCTAAGTGAAAGAGAAATAAGATTATATTTAGACGAGCAAATGCTGAGGGACTTTATTACCACCACACCCATCTTACAACAGGTCTTTAAAGGAGCATGAAATAAGGAAAAGAAACACCTTTACCACCCAATACAATATCACATGTATGTATATAAACCAGGGACACTGCAAAGAAACCACATAAACAAGTCTGAATAATAATCGGCTAACAACACAACGAGAGGATCAAATTCACACATATGAATACCAGCCTTAACGGCTAAATGCCCCAATTAAAAGGCACAGAATGGCAAGCTGGATACAAAAGCAAGACCCAACGGTGTGCTACTTTTAAGTTACCAGCCTCATATGCAATGACACCTATAGCCTCAAAGTAATGGAATGGAGAGAAATCTATCAAGCAAATAGAAATTACAAAAAACAAAAAGCAACAGGGTTTGCGATCCTAATTTCAGACAAAAAAGACTTTAATCCAACAAAGATAATGAAAGGCAAAGATTATACAAGATGGACACATAACCAAATTGTGCGAGATGTACAAAGAAGAGTTGATACCTTTTCTACTAAAATTATTCCAAAAAATTCAGGAGGGAGACTCCTCAAAATGATTCTATGAGGACATCCTCATCCTGAAACTAAAACCTGTCAGAGACACACACACACACACAAATAAAACTTCACGCCAATATTCTGCATAAACATAGATGCAGAAATCATAAAAAAAAACTAGTGTATTATTTCATTCTCACACTGCTATAAAGACATACCTGAGACTGGGTAATCTATAAAGAAAATAAATTTAATTGACTCACAATTCTGCCAGCTGTGCAGACTTCTGCTCCTTGAAAGGCCACAGGAAACTTACAAACATGGGGGAAGGCAAAAGGAAAGCACATACATGTTTTCACATGGCCAGCAGAAGAGAGGTGGGGGAGGTACTACACACTTTTAAACAAGCAGATCTTGGGAGAACTCAGTCACAAAAACAGAAAAGGGGAAGTTTACCCCGTGATTCAATCACTTCCTACCTGGCCCCTCTTCCAACATTGAGGATTACAATTTGACATGAGATTTGAGTGGAGACACAGAACCAAACCATATTATTTTACCCCTGGCTCCCCCCAAATCTCATTTTCTTCTCACATTTCAATACACAATTGTGCTTTGCCAACAACCCCTCAGTGTGTTAACTCATTTCAGCATTAACCTAAAAGTCCAAGTCAAAAGTCTCATTTGAGACAAAACAAGTCCCTTCCCCCCATGAGCCTGTAAAATCCAAAGTAATTTAGTTATTTCTGAGATACAATGGGGGTACAGGCATTGGGTAAACGCTCTTGTTCCAAAGGGGAGAAATTGGTCAAAGCAAAGGGGTTACAGGCCCAATGCAAGTCCAAAACCCAGCAAGGCAGTCATTAAATCTTAAAGCTCCCAAATAATCTCCTTTGACTCCATGTCTCACATCCACGCCACACTGATGCAAGAAGTGGGCTCCCAAAGCCTTGGACAGCTCTGCCTTTCTGGCTCTGCAGGGTATAGCTTTTGCAGTTGCATTGATGAACTGGCGATAAGCATCCATGGCTTTTCCTGCTGCATGGTGCAAGCTGTTGTTAAATCTCTTATTCTGTGTTCCAGAGGATGGTGATATTCTCACAGCTCTACTAGGCAAAGACCCAGTGGGGACTTTATGTTTGGGCTTCAACCCAACATTTCCCCTCTGCATTTCCATAGTAGAAATTCTACATGAGGGCTTTACTCCTGCAGCAGACTTCTGCTTGTAAATCCAGGCATTTCCATACATCTTCTAAAACCCAAGCAGAGACTCCCAAGCCTCATCTCTTGCCATCTGCACATCAGCAGTCTTAACTTCACATGGAAGACTTCACAGCATCCAGCTTGCACCCTCTGGAGCTGTGGCCTGAGATGTATCTCGGGCCTTTTTAGCAACAGCTATAGCTGAAACAGCTGGTATACAGGTTGCTATGTCCTGAGGCTGCACAGAGTAGTGGGGCCATGGGCCTGGCCCATGAAAACATTAGATCTCTAGAGCGGGGAATGACACAAGTCTTTTTACTAAGACATAAAGTAAACTTAACTCCAATTTCCAATAAGTTTCTCATCTCTATCTCAGATGTCCTCAGCCTGGCCATCTCTGTCCATATCACTGTCAACATTTTGGTCAAAATTATTTATCAACTCTCTAGGAAGTTTCAAACTTTCCCATATCTTCCCGTATTCTTCTGAGGCCTTCAAATTTTTCCAAATTCTGCTTGTTCCCCAGTTCCAGAGTTGATTTCATGATAGCCATGCCCCATTTCTCTGGTACAAATTTTTTGTGTTAGTCTGTTCTCACACTACTATAAAGGCATATCTGATTCAGGGTTCTAAGATGGCCAAATAGAAACAGCTCCAGTCTGCAGCTCCCAGCGGAATTGATGCAGAAGATGGGTGATTTCTGCATTTCCAACTGAGGTACCTGGTTCGTCTCACTGGGACTGGTTGGACAGTGGGTGCAGCCCACGGAGGGCTAGCCGAAGCAGGGTAGGGAGTCGCCTCACCCAGGAAGTGCAAGGGGTTGGGGGATTTCCTTTTCCTGGCCAAGGGAAGCCATGACAGACTGTACCTGGGAAAAATGGGACACTCCACCCCATATACTATGCTTTTTCAATAGTCTTAGTAAACTGCGGACCAGGAGATACTATCCCATGCCTGTCTTGGTGGGTCCCATGCCCACGGAGCTTTGCTCACTGCGAGTGCAGCAATCTGATATCAAACTGTGAGGTAACAGCCTAATGGGGGGAGGGGTGTCCACCATTGCTGAGGCTTGACTGTGTGAACAAAGCAGCCTGGAAGCTCAAACTGGGCAGAGCCCACCACAGCTCAGCTAGGTCTGCTGCTTCTGTAGACTCCACCTCTGGGGGGTAGGGCATAGCTGAACAAAGGGCAGCAGAAACTTCTGCAGACTTAAACATTCCTGTCTGACAGCTCTGAAGAGAGCAGTGGTTCTCCCAGCATGGTATTTCAGCTCTGAGAATGGACAGGCTGTCTCCTCAAGTGGTTCCCTGGCATCTGTGTAGCCTAACTGGGAGACACCTCCCAGTAGGAGATGACTTACACCCCATACATGCGAGTGCCATTCTGGGACAAAGCTTCCACAGGAAGGATCAGACAGCAGTATTTGCTGTTCTGCAATATTTGCTGTTCTGCAGGCTCCGCTGGTGATAGCCAGGCAAATAGTGTCTGGAGCAGACCTCCAGCAAACTCCAACAGGCGGGCAGCTGAGGGATTTGACTGTGAGAAGGAAAACTAACAAACAGAAAGGAATAGCATCAACATCAACAAAAAGGACATCCACAACACAACCCCATCTGTAGATAACCAACATCAAAGACAAAAGGTAGATAAAACCACTAAGATGGGGAGAAACCAGAGCAGAAAAGCTGAAAATACTAAAAGCCAGAGCACCTCTTCTCCTCCAAAGGATTGCAGCTCCTCACTAGCAAAAGAACAAAGCTGGACAGAGAATGAATTTGATGAGCTGAGAGAAGCAGGCTTCAGAAGGTCGGTAATAACAAACTTCTCTGAAATAAAGGAGGATATTTGAACCCATGGCAAGGAAGTTAAAAACCTTGAAAAAAGATTAGACAAATGGCTAACTAGAATAAAGAGTGTAGAGAAGACCTTAAATGACCTGATGCAGTTGAAAACCATGGCACAAGAACTTCATGATGCAGGCACAAGCTTCAGTACCTGATGCGATCAAGTGGAAGAAAGGGTTTCAGTGATGGAAGATCAAATTAATGAAATAAAGTGAGAGGAGAACTTTAGAGAAAACAGAGTAAAAACAAATGAACAAAGCCTCCAAGAAATAGTGGATTATGGGAAAAGACTAAATCAATGTTTGATTGGTGTACCTGAAAGTGATGGGGAGAATGGAAGCAAGTTGGAAAACGCTCTTCAGGATATTATCCAGGAGAACTTCCCCAACCTAGCAAGGCAGACCAACATTCAAATTCAGGAAATACAGAGAACACCACAAAGATACTCCTCGAGAAGAGCAACGCCAAGACACATAATTGTCAGATTCACCAAGGTTAAAATGAAGGAAAAAACGTTAAGGGCAGCCAGAGAGAAAGGTTGGGTTACCCATAAGGGGAAGCCCATCAGACTACCAGTGGACCTATCGGCAGAAACTGTACAAGCCAAAAGAGAGTGAGGGGCAATATTCAACATTCTTAAAAAAAATAATTTTTAACCCAGAGTTTTATATCCAGCCATATGAAGGATCATAAGTGAAGGAGAAATAAAATCCTTTACAAGCAAGCAAATGCTGAGAGATTTTGTCACCACCAGACCTGCCTTACAAGAGCTCCTGAAGGCAGCAATATACATGGAAAGGAAAAACCGTACCAGCCACTGCAAAACGATGCCAAATTGTAAAGGCCATCAATGCTATGAAGAAACTGCATCAATTAATGGGCAAAATAACCACCTAACATCATAATGTCTGGATCAAATTCACACATAACAATATTAACCTTAAATGTAAATGGGCTAAATGACCCAATTAAAAGACACAGACTGGCAAATTGGATAAAGAGTTAAGACCCATAAGTGTGCTGTATTCAAGAGACCCATCTCACATGCAGAGACACACATCAGCTCAAAATGAAGGGATGGAGCCAGATCTACCAAGCAAATGTAAAGGAAAAAAAATCAGGGGTTGCAATCCTAGTCTCTGATAAGATGGACTTTAAACCAACAAAGATCAAAAGAGATAAAGAAGGTCATTACAAAATGTTAAAGGATTAAATCAACAAGAAGAGCTAACCTAAATATATATGCACCCAATACAGGTGCACACATATTCATAACACAAGTCTATAGAGACCTACAAAGAGACTTAGATTCCCACACAATAATAAGGAAAGATTTTAAAAACCCAATGTCAATATTAGACAGATCAACAAGACAGAGGGTTAACAAGGATATCCAGGACTTGAACTCAGCTCTGCACCAAGCAGATCTAATAGGCATCTACAGAACTCTCCATCCCAAATCAAAAGAATATACATTCTTCTCAGTGCCACATCACACTTATACTAAAATTGACCACATAGTTTGAAGTAAAGCACTCCTCCACAAATGTAAAAGACCAGAAATCACAACAAACTGTCTCTCAGACCACAGTGCAATCAAATTAGAACTCAAGATTAAGAAACTCACTTAAAACTGCACAACTACATGGAAACTTAACAACCTGCTCCTGAATGACTGCTACTGGGTAACTAACAAAATGAAGGGAGAAATAAAGATGTTCTTTGAAACCAATAAAAACAAAAACACAATGTACCAGAATCTCAGGGTCACATTTAAAGCAGTGTGTAGAAGGAAATTTATAGCACTAAATGCCCATAAGGGAAAGGAGGAAAGAGCAAAAATCGACACCTTAACATCACAACTAAAAGAACTAGAGAAGCCAAGGCATACACATTCAAAAGCTAGCAGAAGGCAAGAAATAACTAAGATCAGAGCAGAAATGAAGGAGATAGAGACACAAAAAAACCCTTCAAAAAATCAAGGACTCCAGGAGCTGTTTTTTGAAAAGATCCACAAAATTGATAGACGGCTCACAAGACAGATAAAGAAGAAAAGAGAAGAATCAAATAGACGCAATAAAAAATGATAAAAAGGATATCAACACCAATCCCACAGAAATGCAAACAACCATCAGAGAATACTTTAAACACCTCTATGCAAATACACTAGAAAATCGAGAAGAAATGGATAAATTCCTGGACACATAGACCCTCCCAAGACTAAACAAGGAAGAAGGTGAATCCCTGAATGGATCAATAACAGGCTCTGAAATTGAGGCAATAATTAATGGCCTACCAACCAAAAAAAAGTCTAGAAACAGAAGGATTCACAGCCAAATTCTACCACAAAAAAAGCGAATTTTAGACCAATATCCCTGATGAACATCGATATGAAAATTCTCAATAAAATACTGACAAACAAATCCAGCAGCACATCAAAAGGCTTATCCAGCAAGATCAAGTCAGCTTCATCCCTGGGATGCAAGGCTGGTTCCACATATGCAAATCAATAAACTTAATCTATCACATAAACAGAAACAAAGACAAAAACCAGGTGAGTGTCTCAGTAGATGCAGAAACGGCCTTTGACAAAATTCAACAGCCCCTTCCTGCTAAAAACTCTCGATAAACTAGGTATTGATGGAAACTATCTCAAAATAATAAGAGCTGTTTATGACAGACCCACAGCCAATATCATACTGAATGGGCAAAAACTGGAAGCATTCCCTTTGAAGACCAGCACAAAACAGGGATGCACTCTCTCAGCACTCATATTCAACATATTGTAGGAAGTTCTGGCCAGGGCTATCAGGCAAGAGAAAGAAATAAAGGGTATTCAATAAGGAAAAGAGGAAGTCAAATTGTCCCTGTTGCAGATGACATGATTATATATTTAGAAAACCCATCATCTCAGCCCAAAGTCTCCTTAAGCTGATGAACAACTTCGGCAAATTCTCAGGATACAAAATCAATGTGCAAAGATCACAAGCATTCCTATACACAAATAACAGAAAAACAGGGAGCCAAATCTCGAGAGAACTCCCATTCACAATTGCTAAAAACAGAATAAAATACCTAGGAATCTAACTTACAAGGGATGTGAAGGACCTCTTCAAGGAGAACTACAAACCACTGCTCAATGAAATAAAAGAGGACACATACAAATGGAAGAAGATTCCATGCTCATGGATAGGAAGAATCAATATCGTGAAAATGGCCATACTGTCCAAGGTAATTTATAGATTCAATGCCATCCTCATCAAACAACAATGACTTTCTTCACAGAATTGGAAAACACTACTTTAAAGTTCATGTGGAACTAAAAAAGAGCCCACATTGCCAAGACAATCCTAAGCAAAAAGAACAAAGCTGGAGGCATCACGCTACCTGACTTCAAACTATACTACAAGACTACAGTAACCAAAACAGATATATAAACCAATGGAACAGAACAGAGCCCTCAGAAATAACACCACACATCTACAATCATCTGATCTTTGACAAACCTGACAAAAACAAGCAATGGGGAAAGGATTCCCCATTTAATAAACGGTGCTGCGAAAACTGGCTAGCCATGTGTAGAAAGCTGAAACTGGATTCCTTCCTTACATTTTACAGAAAAATTAATTCAAGATGGATTAAAGATTTAAATGTTAGACCTAAAACCATAAAAACCCTAGAAGAAAACCTAGGCAATACCATTCAGGACATAGGCATGGGCAAGGACTTTGTGAATAAAACACCAAAAGCAATGGCAACAAAAGCCGAAATAGACAAATGGGATCTAATTAAACTAAAGAGCTTCTGCACAGCAAAAGAAACTACCATCAGAGTGAACAGGCAACCTACAGAATGGGAGAAAACTTTTGCAAACTACCCATCTGACAAAGGGCTACTGTCCGGAATCTACAAAGAACATAAACAAATTTACATAAAAAAATCAAACAACCCCATCAAAAAGTGGGCAAAGAGTATGTACAGATTCTTTTCAAAAGAAGACAATTATGCAGCCAACAGACTCATGAAAAAATGCTCATCATCAATGGTCATCAGAGAAATGCAAATTACAACCACAATGAGATAAACGAGATACCATCTCACACCAGTTAGAATGGCAATCATTACAAAGTCAGGAAACAACAGGTGCTGGAGAGTTTGTGGAGAAACAGGAACATTTTTATACTGTTGGTAGGAGTGTAAACTAGTTCAACCATTGTGGAAGACAAGTGTGGTGATTCCTCAGGGATCTAGAACTAGAAATACCATTTGACCCACCATCCCATTACTGGGTACATACCCAAAGGATTATAAATCATGCTACTATAAATTCACATGCACACACATGTTTATTGCGGCACTATTCACAATTGCAAAGACCTGGAACCAACCCATATGTCCATCAATGATAGACTGGATTAGGAAAATGTGGCACATATACACCATGGAATACTATGCAGCCATAAAAAAGGATGAGTTCATGTCCTTTATAGGGACATGGATGAAGCTGGAAACCATCATTCTCAGCAAACTATCGCAAGGACAGAAAACCAAACACCATGTATTCTCACTCATAGTTGGGAATTGAACAATGAGAACACTTGGACACAGGGCAGGGAACATCACACACCAGGGCCTGTCATGGGATGGGGGGATGGGGGTGGGATAGCATTAGGAGAAATGCCTAATGTAAATGACGAGTTAATGGGTGCAGCAAGCCAACATGGCACATCTATACATATGTAACAAACATGCACGTTGTGCATATGTACCCTAGATCTTTTTTTTTTTTTTTTTTTTTTTTTTTTTTTTTTTTTTTGAGACGGAGTCTCGCTCTGTCGCCCAGGTCGGACTGCGGACTGCAGTGGCGCAATCTCGGCTCACTGCAAGCTCCGCTTCCCGGGTTCACGCCATTCTCCTGCCTCAGCCTCCCGAGTAGCTGGGACTACAGGCGCCCGCCACCACGCCCGGCTAATTTTTTGTATTTTTAGTAGAGACGGGGTTTCACCTTGTTAGCCAGGATGGTCTCGATCTCCTGACCTCATGATCCACCCGCCTCGGCCTCCCAAAGTGCTGGGATTACAGGCGTGAGCCACCGCGCCCGGCCCCTAGATCTTAAAGTATAATAAAAAAAAAGAAAAAGAAAAGAAAATGTGGCACATATACACCGTGGAATACTGTGCATCCATAAAAAAGGATGAGTTCATGTCCTTTGCAGGGACATGGATGAAACTGGAAACCATCATTCTCAGCAAACTATCACAAGGACAGAAAACCAAACACTGCATGTTCTCACTCATAGGTGGGAATTGAACAATGAGAACACTTGGACACAGGGCAGAGAACATCACACACTGGGGCCGGTCATGAGGTGGGGGCTGTGGGAGGGATAGCATTAGGAGAAATACCTAATGTAAATGATGAGTTGATGGGTGCAGCAAACCAATATGGCACGTATATACCTATGCAACAAACCTGCACGTTGTACACATGTACCCTAGAACTTAAAATATAATTAAAAAAAAAGACATATCTGAGACTGGATAATGTATAAAGAAAGGAGGTTTAATTGGCTCATAATTTTGTGGGCTGTATAGGCTTCCATTTCTGGGGAGGCCTCAGGAAAATTACAGGCATTGCAGAAGGCAAAGGGGAAGCAGGTACACCTTCACATAGCTGGCAGAAGTTGGGGAGGGCGGTGCTACACACTTTTCAACAAGAATATCATGGGAGAACTCCATCATAAGAATAGAAAGGGGGATGTACGCCCCCATGATTTGATCACCCCCAACCAGGCCCCACCTCCAAATATAAGGATTATAATTTGATATGAGATTTTATTGGAGACACAGAGCCAATCCATATCAACTAACAAACTGAATCCACTAGCACTTCAAAATGGTAGTGTGCCATAATCAACTAGGCTTTATATCTAGGATGCAAGGTTGGTTCAGCAGATGAAAATCAATGAATGTGATTCATCACATAAAACTAAAGACAAAAACCACATGATTATCTCAACAGATGCAGAAAAAGCTTTTGATAAAGTTGAACATCTTTTCATATTAAAAACTGAATAATCTAAATATCGAAGGGACATACCTCAAAATAATAAGAGCCATCTATGAGAAACCCACAGCCTACATCATACTGAATGGAGAAAAGCTGGAAGGATTTACCTTGAAAACTAGCACAAGACAAAGATGCACACTCTCACTGCTTCTGTTCCACATGGTATTCAAACTCCTAGCCCGTGGAATCAGAAAAGAGAATGAAATAAAAGGCATTAGAGTAGGAAGAGAGAAGGTCAAACTATCACTGTTTGCAGAAGACATAACTTTATATCGAGAAATTCTCATAGTCTTGGTCCAAAAGCTGATTGAGATGATAAACAACTTCAGCAAAGATTCAGGATACAAAATTCACATTCACTTAACTTCAAAATTCATTTCTACATTGGAGGTACATAAATGTTAATTGACTCTGTGAAGTAAGTTTGAACTTTGGCATTAAAACCACCTTCTTCTGGAATCTTCTCTACAACTCAGACAGAAATCCTAGGACAACATTTTTCAGAATTTCTTCTCCATCTGCTTCCATAAAAGGGAAGGAAGTTTATGTTTCCGAGCGGCAGTGGTAGGCAGAAATGCAGGTAACTCGTAGACCAGTGTGTAAGGAAGCAGTTGCGACCATCTCAGCAGTTCTCAGGCAAGTTTCTATACAGCTGCTGCATTAATGTCTCTAAAATGAGAATTTTAAACCACTGCTTAAAGAAAGCAGAGATGATACAAAGAAATGGAAAAACATTCCATGCTCATAGATAGGAAGAATCAATATCACTCAGGAAGAATCAATATCACTAAAATGTCCATATCACCCAAAGAACTTTATAGATTCAGTGCTATTTTTATCAATCTACCAAATACATTTTTCACAGAACTAGAAAAAAAGTATTTTAAACTTTATTTGAGGAAAGGACAGGCAAGATGGCTGAATAGCAACAGCTCTGTTCTGCAGCTCCCAGCGAGATCCACACAGAAGGTGGGTGATTCCTGCATTTCCCACTGAGGCACTTGGTCCATCTCATTGGGACTGGTTGGACAGTGGGTACAGCCTAGGGAGCGTAAGCCAAAGCATTGCAGGGCATCACCTCACCCAGGAAGAACAAGGGGTCAGAGGATTTCCCTTTCCTAGCCAAGGGAAGCCATGAGAGACTGTACCGGCAGGAATGGTACACTCCTGCCCAGATACTCTACTATTCCCATGGTCTTCACAACTAGCAAACCAGGAGATTCCCTCCGGTGCCTGGCTTGGTGGGTCCCAAGCCCATGGAGCCCACTAGGCTAAGATCCATTGGCTTCAAATTCTCCCTGCTAGCATAGCAGTCTGAGATTGACCTGGGATACTCGAGCTTGCTGGGCAAAGGGGCATCCACCATTGCTGAGGTTTGAGTAGGTGGTTTTATGCTCACAATGTAAACAAACCTGCCAGGAAATTTGAACTGGGTGGAGCCCAACACAGCTCAGCAAGGCCAACTGCCCCTTTAAATTCCATTTCTGTGGGCATAGCATCTCTGAACAAAAGGGAGCAGCCCCGGTCAGAGACTTACAGATAAATCCCCCATCTCCTTGGGACAGAACACCTGAGAGAAGGAGCAGCTATAGGCATAGGTTCTCAGACTTAAATATCCCAGCCTGACAGTGCTGAAGAGAGCAGTGGTTCTCCTAGCACAGCATTTGAGGTCTGATAATGGACAGACTACCTCTTCAAGTGGGTCCCTGACACCCATGTAGCCTGACTTAAACAGACCTGCCAGTAGTGTTCGACACACACCTCATACAGGAGAGCTCTGACTGGCATCTGACAGGCGGCCCTCTGAAACAAAGCTTCCAGAGAAAGGATCAGTCAGCAATAGTTGCTGTTCTGCAGCCTCTGCTGGTGATACCCAGGCAAACAGGGTCTGGAGTGGACCTCCAGCAAACTCCAACAGACCTGCAGCTGAGAGGCCTGAGTGTTAGAAGGAAAGCTAACAAACAGAAAGTAATAGCATCAACATCAACAAAAAGGAAGTCCACAACAAAACCCCATCCGTAGGTCACCAACATCAAAGACCAAAGGTAGATAAAACCAAAAAGATGGAAAGAAACCAGTGCAGAAAGGCTGAAATTTCTAAAAACCAGAATGCCTCTTCTCCTCCGAAAAATCACAACTCCTTGCCATCAAGGGAACAAAACTGAACGCAGAATGTGTTTGACAAATTGACCAAAGTAGGCTTCAGAAGGTGGGAAATAACAAACTCCTCAAAGCTAAAGAAGTATGTTCTAACCCAATGCAAGGGAGATAAGAACCTTTGAAAAAAGGTTAGATGAATTGCTAACTAAAATAAGCAGTGTAGAGAACATAAACGACCTGATGGAGCTGAAAAATGCAGCACAAGAACTTGATGATGCATACACAAGTAGTAATAGCTGAATCAATCAAGCGGAAGTAAGGATATGAGTGATTGAAGATCAACACGATGAAATAAACCCAGAATACAAGATTAGAGAAAAAAAGAGTGAAAACAAACAAAGCCTCCAACAAATATGAAACTATGTGAAAAGACCAAATCTTCATTTGATTGGTGTACCTAAAGTGACAAGGAGAATGGAACCAAGTGGGAAAACACTCTTCAGGATATTATCAAGGAGAACTTCTCCAACCTAGAAAGGTAGGCCAACACTGAAATTCAGGAAAAACAGAGAACACCACAAAGATATTCCTTGAAAAGTGCAATCCCAAGACATATAGTAGTCAGATTCACCAAGGTTAAAATGAAGGAAAAAATGTTAAGGGCAGCCAAAGACAGGTCGGATTACTCACAAAGGGAAGCCCATCAGACTAACAGCAGATCTCTAGCCAGAAGAGAGTGGGGGCCAATATTCAACATTTTTAAAGAAAAGAATTTTCAACCCAGAATTTCATATCCAGCCAAACTAAGCTTCATAAGTGAAGGAGAAATAAAATCCTTTACAGACAAGCAAATGCTGAGACATTTTGTCACCACCAGACCTGCCTTAAAAGAGCTCCTGAAGGAAGCAATAAACATGGAAAGGAAAAACCTGTACCAGCCAATGCAAAAACATGCCAAATTGTAAAGACCATTGATGCTATGAAGAAATTGCATCAACTAATGGGCAAAATAACCAGCTAGCATCATAATGACAGGATCAAATTGAAACATAACAATAATAACCTTAAATGTAAATGGGCTAAATGACACAATTAAAAGACAGAGACTTGCAAACTGGATAAAGAGTCAAGACCAATTGGTGTGCTGTATTCAGGAGATACATCTCATGTGCAAAGACACACATAGGCTCAAAATAAAGTGATGGAGGAAGATTTACCAAGGAAAAGGAAAGCAAAAAAAAAAAAAAGCTGGGGTTGCAAACCTAGTCTCTGATAAAACAGACTATAAACCAACAAAGATCAAAAGAAACAAAGAAGGGCATTACATAATGGTAAAGGGATCAGTGCAGCAATAAGAGCTAACTATCCTAAATATGTATGCACCCAATACAGGAGCACTCAGATTCATAAAGCAAATTCTTAGAGAAATGCAAAGAGACTGAGACTTCCACACAATAATAGTGGGAGACTTTCATACCCCACTGTCAATATTAGACAGATCAATGAGATAGAAAATTAACAATAATATCCAGGACTTGAAATCAGCTCTGGACAAAGCAGACCTAAAAGACATCTACAGAACTCTCCACTCCTAATCAACACAATATAGATTCTTCTCAGCACCACATTGCACTTATTCTAAAATTAACCACATAATTGAAAGTAAAGTGCTCCTCAGCAAATGGAAAAGAACAAGAATCACAACAAACTTTCGGACCACAGTGCAATCATATTAAAACTCACGATTAAGAAACTCACTCAAAACTGCACAACTACATGGAAATTGAACAACCTGCTCCTGAATGACTACTGGATAAATAACGAAATGAATATAGAAATAAAGATGTTCTTTGAAACCAATGAGAACAAAGACACAACATACCAGAATCTCTGGGACACATTTAAAGCAGTTTGTAGTGGGAAATTTGTAGCACCAAATGCCCACAAGAGAAAGCAGGATAGACCTAAAATCAACACCTTAACATCACATTTAAAAGAACTAGAGAAGCCAGAGCAAACAAATTCAAAAGCTAGTAGAAGACAAGAAATAAATAAGATCAGAGAAGAATTGAAGGAGATAGAGATACAAAAATCCCTTCAAAAAAATCAATGAATCCAGGAGCTGGTTTTGTGAAAAGATAAACAAAGTAGAGAGACCACTAGCCAGACTAATAAAGAAGAAAAGAGAGAAGAATCAAATAGACACAATAAAAAATGATAAGAAGGATATGACCATCAATCCCACAGAAATAAAAACTACCATCAGAGAATACTATAAACACCTCTACACAAATAAGCTAGAAAATCTAGAAGAAATTGATAAATTGCTCAACACATACACCCTCCTAAGACTAAATCAGGAAGAAGTCGAATCTCTCAATAGACCAAAAACAGGTTCTGAAATTGGGGCATTAATAGCATACCAACCAAAAAAAGTCCAGGACCAGACGGATTCACAGCCAAATTATACAAGAGGTACAAAGAGGAGCTAATACCATTCCTTCCGAAACTATTCCAATCAATAGAAAAAGAGGGAATTCTCTCTAACTCATTTTATGAGGCCAGCAATATCCTGATACCAAAACCTGGCTGAGACACAACAACAACAAAATTTTAGGCCAGTATGACTGATGAACATCAATGCAAAAATCCTCAATAAAATACTGGCAAACCAAACCCAGCAGTATATCAAAAAGCATATCCACCACGATCAAATCGGCTTCATCCCTGGGATGCAAGGCTGGTTCAACATACGCAAATCAATAAACATAATCCATCACATAAGCAGAACCAATGACAAAAACCACATCATTATCTCAATAGATGCATAAAAAACCTTTGACAAAATTCAACAGCCATTCGAGCTAAAAACTCTCAATAAAGTAGATATTGATGGAATGTATCTAAAAATACTGAGAGCTATTTATGACAAACCCACAGCCAATACCGTACTGAATGGGAAAAAGCTGGAAGCATTCCCTTTGAAAACTGGCGCAAGACAAGGATGCACTCTCTCACCACTCCTATGCAATGAAGTGTTGGAAGTTCTGGCCAGGGCAATCAGGCAAGAGACAGAAATAAAGGGTATTTAGATAGGAAGACAGGAAGTCAAATCGTGTCTGTTTGCAGGTGACATGATTGTATATTTGGAAATCCCCATCGTCTCAGCCCAAAATCTCCTTAAGCTGATAAGGAACTTCAACAAAGTCTCAGGATACAATATCAATGTGCAAAAATCACAAGCATTCCTATACACCAAGAACAGACAAACAGAGAGCCAACTTATGAGTGACCTCCCATTCACAATTGCTACAAAGAGAATAAAATACCTAGGAATCCAACTTACAAGGCACATGAAGGACCTCTTTAAGGAGAACTACAAACCACTGCTCAATGAAATAAAAGAGGACACAACATTATGGGAGAACATTCCATGCTCATGGATAGGAAGAATCAATATTGTGAAAATCACCATAGTGCCCAAAGTAATGTATAGATTCAATGCTATCCCCATTAAGCTACCACTGACTTTCTTCACAGCATTCGAAAAAACTACTGTAAACTTCATATGAAACCAAAAAGGAGCCCACATAGCTAAGACAATCCTAAGCGAAAAGAACAAAGCTGGAGGCATCATGCTACCTGACTTCAAACTATACTACAAGGCTAGAGTAATCCAAATAGCATGGCACTGGTACCACAACAGAGATATAGACCAATGAAACAGAACAGAGGCCTCAGAAATAACACCACACGTCTACAATCATCTGATCTTTGACAAACCTGATGAAAGCAAGAAATGGGGAAATGATTCCCTATTTAATAAATGGTGCTGGGAAAACTGGCTAGCCACATGCAGAAAGCTGAAACTGGATTCCTTTCTTACACCTACTACAAAAATTAACTCAAGGTGGATTAAAGACTTAAACATAAGACCTAAAACCATAAAAAACCCTAGAAGAAACGCTATGCAATACCATTCAGGACATAGGCATGGGAAAAGACTTCATGACTAAAACACGAAAACAATGGCAGCAAAAGCCAAAATAGACAAAAGGGATATATTTAAACTAAAGATCTTCTGCACAGCAAAATAAACTATCATCAGAGTGAACAGGCAACCTACAGAATGGGAGAAAAATTCTGCAATCTGTCTACCTGACAAAGGGCTAATATCCAGAATCTACAAAGAACTTAAACAAATTTACAAGAAATAAACAAACAACTGCATCAAAAAGTGGGTGAGGGGTTTGAACAGACACTTCTCAAGACCTTTATGCAGCCAACAAACTTATGAAAAAATGTTCATTATCACTTGTCTTTAAAGAAATGCAAATGAAAACCACAATAAGATACCATCTCACGCCAGTTAGAATGGCGATTATTAAAAAGTCAGGAAACAACGAATGCTGGAGAGCTTCTGGAGAATAGGAATGCTTTTACACTGTTGGTGGGAGTGTCAATTAGTTCAACCATTGTGGAAGACAGTGTGGTAATTTCTTCTACTATAAAGACACATGCACATGTATGTTTATTGCAGCACTGTTTACAATAGCAAAGACTTGGAACCAACCCAAATGCCCATCAATGATAGACTGGGTAAAGTAAATGTAGCTCATTTACATCATGGAATACTAAGCAGCCATAAAAAAGGATGAATTTGTGTCCTTGCAGGGACATGGATGAAACTGGAAACCATCATTCACCATAAAGTAACACAAGAAGAGAAAAACCAAACATCACATGTTCTAACTTATAAGTGGGAACTGAACAATGAGAACACACAGACACGGGGAGAGGAACATCACACAACAGTGTCTGTTGTGGGGGTGGGAGGCTGGGGGAGAAATAGCATTAGCAGAAATATCTAACGTAAATGAAAAGTTGATGGGTGTAGCAAACCAATATGGCACATGTATACCTATGTAAGAAACCTGCACGTTCTGTACATGTACTGGAGAATTTAAAGTATATTTAGAAATTAATTAATTAATTAATTAATTAAAGCAAATCAAACCAACATGGCACATGTATACCTATGTAACAAACCTGAACATTCTGCGCATGTAAGGGAGATCTTAAAATACAATTAAAAATAAATAAGTAAATAAATTAATAAAATAAGATAAAATTCATTTGAAATGAAAAAAGAGCCCAAATAGCCAAGGTAATCCTAAGCAAAAAGAGCAAACCTGGAGGCACCATGCTACCCAAATTCAAACAATGCTACAGGGCTACAGTAATCAAAACAGCATGGTAAAGGTACAAAAACAGGCACATAGACCAATAGAAAAGGACAAAGAGCCCAGAAATACTGCCCAGAAATACTTTACTTAAGAAAGTAAAGAAATCAAAGAATGGCTACTTTTACACGGAGCAGCCTCAAGGGTTGCTTGCTACTTATTTTTATGGTTATTTCTTGATGATATGCTAAACAAGGGTGGATTATTCGTACTTTTCCTTTTTAGACCATATGGGGTAACTTCTTGTCATTGCCATATGCATTTGTAAACTGTCATGTTGATTGTGAGAGTGTAGCCGTGAGGACGACCAGAGGTCAATCTTGTCACCATCTTGATTTTGGTGGGTTTTGGTCAGCTTCTTTACTGCAACCTGTTTTATCAGCAAGGTGTTTGTGACCTGTATCTTGGGCTGACTTTCTAACTCATCCTGTGACTTAGAATGTTTTAACTGTCTGGGAATGCAACCCAGTAGTTAACAGCCTCATTTTCTCCAGACCTCATTCAAGGTGAAGTTTCTCTGGTTCAAACACCTCTTACGTCTCCCCCCTCCCTTTTGTAAGAGAACCCTTAATCCTAAGGGTTGCAGAGGGTTGAAAGTCCATTTTCTGTAACCTCTTCAGGCTGAATAAGGGCAATGATATTTCTGCCTAACTATGAGATTCTCTTGTATTCAGGGTAGAGAGGAGCTCAGTCAGGAAGCATCAGTATGATAAGGGCCATTTATAATTCTTGAGTTATGACAAAAGGCGGTATCTGGAAGATTAATAATGCTTGAATTAAGAAAACACTTATTAAGTTTGTTCTGCATTTCCATACAAAGTGTGAAACAGCAATGTGTTTCACAATAGAAAAACAAAATAAGTAAAATTATCCGAAGTAATCTAAAATTCGAAGGCTTTACATGAACTGGGCAACTGTTGGAACCATGCTGATATGGGTTTGCTAGCTAATTCCAATGAGGCAAGAATTAAAATATTGATTCAGATTTTTACCTTACTCATTACTCTTGTTTCTTCTGAGCAGAAGCCTGAGATCACTGCTTGGTTCGCAGAAATTGGCAGAGGTAGTCTAAATTGCAGGAAATGAACCTCAAAAACAACTGATGAAACTAGAATTTAATAACAAGTGTAACATAATTTTTGAAACACAATTTTTTCTCTCCAGTTTCCCATTTTTACTAAAGACAAATCATGATAAGACTGATTTGTTTTATTTATTTACTTATTTATTTATTTATCTATCTATTTTTTTGAGATGGAGTTTCACTCTTGTCACCCAGGCTGGAGTGCAGTTTTGTGACCTTGGCTTACTGCCACCTCTGTCTCCCAGGTTCAAACAATTCTCTTGCCTCAGCCTCAACAGTAGCTGGGACTACAGGTGCCCCCCACCATGCCCAGCTAATTTTTTTTTTTTGTATTTTTAGTAGAGATGGGGTTTCACCATTTTGGGCAGGCTGGTCTCGAACTGCTGACCCTAGGTGATCTGCCCGCCTCAGCCTCCCAAGTTGTTGGGATTACAGGTGTGAACCACTGCATTCAGTCCTGATTTACTTTATGATACTTGTC
This sequence comes from Homo sapiens, assembly GCF_000001405.40. Lineage (NCBI taxonomy): Eukaryota > Metazoa > Chordata > Mammalia > Primates > Hominidae > Homo > Homo sapiens. The sequence goes on along the minus strand of NC_000023.11, from coordinate 56,905,099 downwards.
CCGATTATTTGTATAAAGTGCAACAATAATAGTTACTTTTCACATAAGCTCTTTTTAAATTGGCTTTAATGGAACTCTGCTCCATAGAGGAAATCTCAGATAAGACTTTTTAAAAGCGCAGCCCTGCCATGGGTTTGTACCCTCAAATACCTATGAGTTTGGTAAATTCCTCTCCTCTTGAGGTTCCAAGATAACTTCAGTCTCCCAGGCCTTTTAGAAAGTGACATTCTTTGCTTACCACAGATCAGGAAATTTGTACAGAGACTGTTGCAGATGAAGTATAAAGCCAGCTTTCCCAAGAAGCTTGTATTGGCTCTACAAGTCAAGTTTGATTTCTTAAAGAAAAGCATGCCATTCCAGTCAAAGCCTTGGTAAAATAACCATTTTATCCAATTGTGTCCCATTGCAAAAGAAAACAGATTGTGATTGCATTTATGCAAATAACTATATTGCCATAAATTAAGAATACTCACAAATAATTTTTAAATTTTAAAATAGGTAGAAACAAATATGCTCCAAATTTTGTTCACGTGTGGAAGTATACATTACTGAATTGTTAAAAGTTGTAAATAGCTCAAAAGAAAAGTTTGCTTGACTTTGAAAAACAGAAGACCAGGAACGTTTTAAGCAAAAAGTTAAAAATATTATTTTAGACTCCTGCTAGTTTAGTCTATGCAGTTAACTTCTGTTTGATATTTGTACTACTTCATTGTCATGCTGCTGATAAGGAAATACTGAGACTGGGCAATTTACAAAAGAAAGAGGCTTAACGTACTTATAAATCCACTTGGTTGGGAAAGCCTCACAATCATGGCAGAAGGTGAAAGCCATGTCTCACATGGTGGCAGACAAGAGAATAATGAGAGCCAAGTGAAAGGGGTTTCCTCTCATAAAATCATCAGATCTTGTGAGACATATTTACTACCATGAGACCAGTATGGGGGAAACTGGCCCCATGATTCAATTCTCTCCCACTGGGTCCCTCCTGCAACATGAAGGAATTATGGTACCTACAATTCAAGATGAGATTTGGGTGGGGACATAGCCAAACCATATCAATTTTTATGAATATTTCAGCTATGTTTGAGAGTTCTGAAAGTATTTTTCCTCTATTCCAATGTTACAGTCTCCAACGTTATCAGGAACCTGCATTTAAGAACAACTCTTAGAGATCTATAACTGACTATAAACAACCTTTAGAAGAGGATCAAAACAAGTCAACAATTGTTTGAGGATGACAAAACATCTTAGGACAGCCACAGACAAAAACACAATTTACAGAGGAATTTGGTTACCTCTGTGGCATACAATGATTTTATGTAACAATTATACCTATTAATAACACACTAACTCATATCAGAATTACAGGAGTTTCCAATTATTCTGGAACACATCCCAATAACATATTTATACAAATATAACCCAAAGAAAGCCAAACACTATTTCAGGTTTGACAATGCTTCCTGTATGATTTTTATACTAAATAAGCCAAATGTCACTGTTGCATTAGTGCATTATTCATGTCAAACTCAATTCTTAATAAAAAAACTTTATAGACAAGTGTATTCAATCTTAATCAGTTTAATCATAAGACAAGATTTTTATAAACCTTTACAAATTTTTGTTAAAGACCAGATTATAAGCAGGTTTTTGCTTTAAGAAAAACCTGTTGTAATTTTATCCCAATGTTTATTGAAAAATTGAATACCAATTTAACTTTAGCCAGTATGCTCACACACAGAATCTCTTACAATTTTTTTTTTACAAAACTTCCACAACTTGATTAAACCTTTAGTGTTATCCTAACTTAAAACACAATCCTTTAACCCTGTAAACTGAGACACAAAATCCACATTCCCATGCCTTCTTAGAATATTTTACAAAAAGTACATTCTACTTTTATTACATGCCTTGCAAGTAGAACTGTTTTTCAGTAGTCTCAAATACATGTTACACTGTTAACTCTCAGCAACTTTTACTTTCAATAAAAATATTGATAAGTATCAGATTTTATTTATAGACTAAGTGTGGAGCCTAGGACACAGAAAGTAGTGCAGATAAGGTCTCAATTTTCCAGCATCTAACTCCATGCCTCCCAGGCCTTAGCTACCTGTAAAGTAGGCAAGTTGTACAGTTAAGAGTCATAATGGCATTTTATGAAAAATTTAGGAGGCCTAACAACCTTTAGATTGCTTATTTCTTGCATATATTTCTTTTCAAATTCTCTTTTTTTAAAATTATACTTTAAGTTCTGGGATACATGTGCAGAATGTGCAGGTTTGTTACATAGGTATATGTGTGCCATGGTAGTTTGCTGTACCCATCAGCCTGTCATCTACATTAGGTATTTCTCCTAATGCCCCCTCCCCTTATCCTTTCTCCACAACAGGCCCCAATGTGTGATGCTTCTACCCCTATGCCCATGTGTCCTCATCGTGCAACTCCGACTTATGATTGAGAACATGCAGTGTTTGGTTTTCTCTTCCTGTGTTAGTTTGCTGAGAAATATGGTTTCCAGTTTCATCCTTGTCCCTGCAAAGGACATACACTCATTCTCTTTTATGGCTGCATAGTATTTCATGGCGTATATGTACCACATTTTCTTTATCCAGTCTATCATTGATGGGCATTTGGGTTGGTTCCAAGTCTTTGCTATCGTGACTAGTGCCACAATAAACATACGTGTGCATGTGTTTTTATAGTAGAATAATTTATAATCGCTTGGGTATATACAAGGTAATGGGATTGCTGGGTCAAATGATATTTCTTGTTCTAGGTCCTTGAGGAATCATCACAGTGTCTTCCACAATGGTGTAACTAGTTTACACTCCCACAAACAGTGTAAAAGCATTTCTATTTCTCCACGTCTTTTCCAGCGTCTGTTTTTTCTTCACTTTTTAATGATCGCCATTCTAATTGGCATGAGATGGTATCTCACTGTGGTTTTATTTGTATTTATCTCATGATCAGTGATAATGAACTTTTTTTATATGTTTGTTGGCTGCATAAATGTCTTTTTTCATAAGTGTCTTTTCATATCCTTTGTCCACTTTTTGATGGGATTGTCTGTTTTTCCTTGTAAATTTGTTTAGGTTCCTTATAGATTCTGAATATTAGCCCTTTGTCAGATGGCTAGATTGCAAAAATTTTCTCCCATTCTGTGAATTGCCTGTTCACTCTGATGATAGTCTCTTTTTCTATGCAGAAGCTCTTTAGTTTAATTAGATCCCAATTGTCACATTTGGCTTTTGTCGCCATTGCTTTTTGGTGTTTTAGTCATGAAATCTTTGCCCATGCCTCTGTCCTGAATAGTATTGCGTAGGTTTCTTTCTACAGTTTTTACGGTTTTAGGACTTACATTTAGGTCTTTAATCCATCTTGAGTTAATTTTTGTATAAGGTGTAAGGAAGGGGTCCAGTTTCAGTTTTCTGCTTATGGCTAGCCAGTTTTCCAACACCATTTATTAAATAGGGAATCCTTTCCCCATTGTTTGTTTTTGTCAGGTTTGTCAAAGATCAGATGGTTGTAGATGTGTGGTTGTATTTCTGACGCCTCTGTTCTGTTCCATTGGTCTATATATCTGTTTTGGTACTAGGACCATGTTGTTTTTTTCTAATTCTGTGAAGAAAGTCAATGGTAGCTTGATGGCAATAGCACTGAATCTATGAATTACTTTGGGCACTATGGTTGTTTTCACTATGTTGATTCTTCCGATTCATGAGCATGGAATGCTTTTCCGTTTGTTTGTGTCCTCTCTTATTTCCTTGAGCAGTGGTTTGTAGTTCTTCTTGAAGAGGTCCTTCACATCCCTTGAAAGTTGTATTCTTAACTATGTTATTTCCTTTGTAGCAATTGTGAATGGGAGTTCACTCTTAATTTAGCTCTCTGTTTGTCTACTATTGGTGTATAAAAATGCTTGTGATTTTTGCACATAGATTTTGTATCCTCAGACTTTCCTGATGTTGTCTAGCAGCTTAAAGACTTTTGGGGCTGAAATGATTGGGTTTTCTAAATATACAAACATGTCATCTGCAAACAGAGACCATTTGACTTCCTCTCTTCCTATTTGAATACGCTTTATTTCTATTCTTGCCTGAATGCCCTTACCAGAACCTCCAATACTGTGTTGAATAGGAGTGGTGAGAGAGGGCATTCTTGTCTTGTGCTGCTTTTAAAAGAGGATGCTTCCAGCATTTAGCCATTCAGTATGACATTGGCGCTGTGTTTGTCCTAAATAGCTCTCATTATTTTGAGAAATATTCCATCAATATCAAGTTTATTGAGAGATTTTAGCATGAAGAGGTGTTGAATTTTATCAAAGCCCTTTTCTACTCATTGACATAATTATGTGGTTTTTGTCATTGGTTTTATTTATGTGATGGATTACAATTATTGATTTGCATATGTTGAACCAACATTGCATTACAGGATTGAAGCCGACTTGATCGTGGTGGATAAAGTGTTGATGAGCTACTGGATTCAGTTTGCCAGTATTTTATTGAGGATTTTTTCTCAATGTTCATCAGGGATATTGGCCTGAATTTTTCTATTTTTGTTGTGTCTCTACCAGGCTTTTGTATCAGAATGATACTGGCCTCATAAAATGAGTTAGGGAGGAGTCGCTCTTTTTCTATTGTTTGGAATAGTTTCAGAAGAAATGGTAGCAGCTCTTCTTCGTACAACCGGTAGAATTCTGCTGTGAATCTGTCTGGATCTGGGCTTTTTTTTTTTTTTTTTGATTGGTAGGCCATTAATTACTGTGTCAAATTCAGAACTTCTTATCGGTCTATTCAGGGATTTGATTTCTTCCTGGTTTAGTCTTGGGAGGGTGTATGTGTCCAGGAATTTATCCATTTCATCTAGATTTTCTTGATTCCTGTTTCTTTTTTTCTTTCTTTCTTTTTTTTTTTTTTTTTTGCGTAGAGGTGTCTATACTATTCTCTGATAGTAGTTTGTATTTCTGTGGCATCAGTGGAAATATCCTCTTTATTATTTTGTATTCGGTCTATTTGATTCGTCATTCTTTTCTTCTTTTTTTTATTATCCTTTAAATTTTATGGAACATGTGCACAACGTGCAGGTTTGTTACATATGTATACATGTGCCATGTTGGTGTGCTGCACCCATTAACTCGTCATTTAACATTAGGTATATCTCCTGATGCTATCCTTCCCCCCACCCCCAACCCCACCACAGGCCCCGGTGTGTGATGTTCCCCTTCCTGTGTCCAAGTGCTCTCATTGTTGAATTCCCACCTATGAGTGAGAACATGCGATGTTTGGTTTTTTATCCTTGTGAGAGTTTACTGAGAATGATGGTTTCCAGCTTCATCAATGTCCCTACAAAGGACATGAACTCATCATTTTTTATGGCTACATAGTATTCCATGGTGTCTATGTGCCACATTTTCTTAATCCAGTCTATCATTATTGGATATTTGGCTTGGTTCCAAGTCTTTGCTATTGCAAATAGTGCCACAATAAACATACATGTGCATGTGTCTTTATAGCAGCATGTTTTATAATCCTTTGGGTATATACGCAGTAATGGGATGGCTAAGTGAAATGGTATTTCTAGTTCTAGATACCTGACGAATCGCCACACTGTCTTCCACAATGGCTGAACTACTTTACAGTCCTGCCAACAGTATAAAAGTGTTCCTATTTCTCCACATCCTCTCCAGCACCTGTTGTTTCCTGACTTTTTAATGATGGCCATTCTAACTGGTGTGAGATGACATCTCATTTTGGTTTTGATTTGCATTTCTCTGATGGCCAGTGATGATGAGCATTTTTTCATGTGTGTTTTGGCTGCATAAATGTCTTCTTTTGAGAAGTGTCTGTTCATATCCTTCACCCACTTTTTGATGGGGTTGTTTGTTTTTTTTCTTGTAAATTTGTTTCAGTTCTTTGTAGATTCTGGATATTAGCCCTTCGTTAGATGAGTAGATTGCAAAAACGTTCTCCCATTCTGTAGGTTGCCTGTTCACTCTGATGGTAGTTTCTTTTGCTGTGCAGAAGCTCTTTAGTTTATTTGCATCCCATTTGTCAATTTTGGCTTTTGTTGCCATTGCTTTTGGTATTTTAGACATGAAGTCCTTGCCCATGTCTATGCCCTGAATGGTATTGCCTAGGATTTCTTCTAGGGTTTTCAAGGCTTTATGTCTAATATTTAAGTCTTTAATATATCTTGAATTAATTTTTGTATAAGGTGTAAGGACAGGGTTCTGTTTCAGCTTTCTACATATGGCTAGCCAGTTTTCCCAGCACCATTTATTAAATAGGGAATCCTTTCCCCATTGCTTGTTTTTGTCAGGTTTGTCAAAGATCAGATAGTTGTAGATATGCGGCATTATTTCTGAGGGCTCTGTTCTGTTCCATTCGTCTATATCTCTGTTTTCATACCAGTACCATGCTGTTTTGGTTACTGTAGCCTTGTAGTATAGTTTGAAGTCAGGTAGCATGATGCCTTCATCTTTGTTCTTTCGGCTTAGGATTGACTTGACAATGCAGGCTCTTTTTTGGTTCCATATGAACTTTAAAGTAGCTTTTACCAATTCTGTGAAGAAAGTCATTGGTAGCTTCATGGGGATGGCTTGAATCTGCAAATTACCTTGGGCAGTATGGCCATTTTCATGATATTGATTCTTCCTACCCATGAGCATGGAATATTCCATTTGTTTGTATCCTCTTTTCTTTCATTGAGCAGTGGTTGGTAGTTCTCCTTGAAGAAGTCCTCCACATCCCTTGTAAGTTGGATTCCTAGGTATTTTATTCTCTTTGAAGCAATTGTGAATGGGAGTTCACTCATGATTTGGCTCACTGTTTATCTCTTATTGGTGTATAAGAATGCTTGTGATTTTTGTACACTGATTTTGTATCCTGAGACTTTGCTGAAGTTGTTTATCAGCTTAAGGAAATTTTGGGCTGAGATGATGGTGTTCTCTAGATACACAATCATGTCATCTGCAAACAGGGACAATTTGACTTCCTCTCTTCCTAATTGAATACCCTTTATTTCCTTCTCCTGCCTGAATGCCCTGGCCAGAACTTCCAACACTATGTGGAATAGGAGTGGTGAGAGAGGGCATCCTTGTCTTGTGCCAGTTTTCAAAGGGAATGCTTCCAGTTTTTGCCCATTCAGTATGATATCAGCTATGGGTTTGTCATAGATAGCTCTTATTATTTTGAGATACGTCCCATCAATACCTAATTTATTGAGAGTTTTTAGCATGAAAGGTTGTTGAATTTTGTCAAAGGCCTTTTCTGCATCTATTGAGATAATAATATGGCTTTTGTCATTGCTTATGTTTATATGTTGGATTATGTTTATTGATTTGCATATGTTGAACCAGCCTTGCATCCCAGAGATGAATCCCACTTGATCATGGTTGGTAAGCTTTCTGATGTGCTGCTGGATTCGGTTGGCCAGTATTTTATTGAGGATTTTTGCGTCAATATTCATCAGGGATATTGGTCTAAAATTCTCTGTTTTGGTTGTGTCTCTGCCAGGCTTTGGTATCAGGATGATGCTGGCCTCATAAAATGAGTTAGGGAGGATTCCCTCTTTTTCTATTGATTGGAATCGTTTCAGAAGGAATGGTACTAGCTCCTCCTTGTACCTCTGGTAGAATTCAGCTGTGAATTCATCTGGTCCTGGACTTTTTTTGGTTGGTAAGCTATTAATTATTGCCACAATTTCAGAGCCTGTTATTGGTCTATTCAGGGATTCAAGTTCTTCCTGGTTTAGTCTTGTATGGGATTGTATGTGTCGAGGAATTTATCCATTTCTTCTAGATTTTCTAGTTTATTCGCATAGAGGTGTTTATAGTATTCTCTGATGGTAGTTTGTATTTCTGTGGGATCGGTGATGATATCCCCTTTATCATTTTTTTATTGCATCTATTTGATTCTTCTATCTTTTCTTCTTTATTAGTGTTGCTAGCAGTCTATCAATTTTGTTGATGTTTTCAAAAAACCAGCTCCTGGATTCATTTATTTTTTTGGAGGGTTTTTTGTGCCTCTATTTCCTTCAGTTCTGCTCTGATCTTAGTTATTTCTTCCCTTCTGCTAGCTTTTGAATGTGTTTGCTGTTGCTTCTCTAGTTCTTTTAATTGTGATGTTTTGGTGTCAATTTTAGATCTTTCCTGCTTTCTCTTGTGGGCATTTAGTGCTATAAATTTCCCTCTACACATTGCTTTGAATGTGTCCTGGAGATTCTGGTATGTTGTGTCTTTGTTCTCGTTGGTTTCAAAGAATATCTTTATTTCTGCCTTCATTTCGTTATGTACCCAGTAGTCATTCAGGAGCGGGTTGTTCAGTTTCCATGTAGTTGAGCAGTTTTGACTGAGTTTCTTAATCTTGATTTCTAGTTTGATTGCACTGTGGTCTGAGAGACAGTTTGTTATAATTTCTGTTCTTTTACATTTGCTGAGGGGTGCTTTACTTCCAACTATGTGTTCAATTTTGGAATAAGTGTGGTGAGGTGCTGAAAAGAATGTATATTCTGTTGATTTGGGGTGGAGAGTTCTGTAGATATCTATTAGGTCCGCTTGGTGCAGAGTTGAGTTCAGTTCCTGGACATGCTTGTTAACTTTCCTGTCTCATTGATCTGTCTGATGTTGACAGTGGGGTGTTAAAATCCCCCATTATGATTGTGTGGTAGTCTAAGTCTCTTTGTAGGTCTCTAAGGACTTGCTTTATGAATCTGGGTGCTCCTGTATTGGGTGCATATATTTTTAAGATAGTTAGCTCTTCTTGTTGAATTGATCCCTTTACCATTATGTCATGGCCTTCTTTGTCTCCTTTGATCTTTGTTGGTTTAAAGTCTGTTTTATGAGAGACTAGGATGGCAACCTCTGCCCTTTTTATTTTCCATTTGTTTGATAGATCTTCCTCCATCCCTTTATTTTGAGCCTATGTGTGTCTCTGCACGTGAGATGGATTTCCTGAATACAGCACACTGATGGGTCTTGACTCTTTATCCAGTTTGCCAGTCTGTGTCTTTTAATTGGAGCATTTAGCCCATTTACATTTAAGGTTAATATTGTTATGTGTGAATTTGATCCTGCCATTATGATGTTAGCTGTTTAGTTTGCTCGTTAGTTGATGCAGTTTCTTCCTAGCCTCGATGGTCTTTACAATTTGGCATGTTGTCGCAGAGGCTGGTACTTTTTGTTCATTTCCATGTTTAGTGTTTCCTTCAGGAACTCTTTTAGGGTAGATCTGGTGGTGACAAAATCTCTCAGCATTTGTTTGTCTGTAAAGGAGTTTATTTCTCCTTCACTTATGAAGCTTAGTTTGGCTGGATATGAAATTCTGGGTTGAAAATTCTTTTCTTTAAGAATGTTGAATATTGGCCCCCACTCTCGTCTGGCTTGTATTGTTTCTGCCGAGAGATCAGCTGTTAGTCTGATGGGCTCCCTTTGTGCGTAACCCGACCTTTCTCTGTGGCTGCCCTTAACATTTTTTCCTTCATTTCAACTTTGGTCAATCTGACAATTTTGTATCTTGGAGTTATTCTTCTCGAGGAGTATCTTTATGGTGTTCTCTGTATTTCCTGAATTTCCATGTTGACCTGCGTTTCTAGATTGGAGAATTTCTCCTGGATAATATCCTGGAGAGTGTTTTCCGACTTGGTTCCATTCTCCCCGTCATTTTCAGGTACACCAATCAGAAGTAGATTTGGTCTTTTCACATAGTCCCATATTTCTTGGAGGCTTTGTTCATTTCTTTTTATTCTTTTTTCTCTAAACTCCTCTTCTCGCTTCATTTCATTCATTTGATCTTCCATCACTGATATCTTTTCTTCCAGTTGATCAAATTGGCTACTGAGGCTTGTGCATTCATCACGTAGTTCTTGTGCCATGGTTTTCAGCTCCATCAGGTCCTTTAAGGGCTTCTCTGCATTGGTTATTCTAGTTAGCCATTCTTCTAATTGTTTTTCAAGGTTTTTAACTTCTTTGCCATTGGTTTGAACTTCCTCCTTTAACTCGGAGTAGTTTGATCATCTGAAGCCTTCTTCTCTCAACTCATCGAAGTCATTCTCCATTGAGCTTTGTTCCGCTGCTGGTGAGGAGCTGCGTTCCTTTGGAGGAGGAGAGGTGCTCTGATTTTTAGAGTTTCCAGTTTTTCTGCTCTGTTTTTTCCCCATCTTTGTGGTTTTATCTACCTTTGGTCTTTGATGATGGTGACGTACAGATGGGGTTTTGGTGTGGATGTCCTTTCTGTTTGTTAGTTTTCCTTCTAACAGTCAGGACCCTCAGCTGCAGGTCTGTTGCAGTTTGCTGGAGGTCCACTCCAGACCCTGTTTCCCAGCAGCAGAGGCTGCAGAACAGTGGATATTGGTGAACAGCAAATGTTGCTGCCTGATAGTTCCTCTGGAAATTTTGTCTCAGTGGAGTACCGGGCTTTGTGAGGTGACAGTCTGCCCCTACTGTGTGGTGCCTCCCAGTTAGGCTACTCAGGGGTCAGTGACCCACTTGAGGAGGCAGTCTGTCCGTTCTCAGAACTCCAGCTACATTCTGGGAGGGCCACTACTCTCTTCAAAGCTGTCAGAGAGGGACATTTAAGTCTGCAGAGGTTTCTGCTGTCTTTTGTTTGGCTATGCCCTGCCCTCAGATGTGGCATCTACAGAGGCAGGCAGGCCTCCTTGAGCTGTGGTGGGCTCCACCCAGTTCAAGATTCCTGGCGCTTTGTTTACCTACTCAAGCCTAGGCATTGATGGGCGCCCCTCCCCCAGCCTTGCTGCCGCCTTGCAGTTTGATCTCAAACTGCTGTGCCAGCAATGAGCGAGGTTCCATGGGCATAGGACCCTCTTAGCCAGGTGCAGGATATAATCTCCTGGTGTGCCATTTGCTAAGACCATTGGAAAAGTGCAGTATTAGGGTGGGAGTGACCCGATTTTCCAGGTGCCCTCTGTCACCCATTTCTTTGACTATGAAAGGGAATTCCCTGACCCCTTGCACTTCCCAGGTGAGGCAATGCCTTGCCCTGCTTTGGCTCCTCCTCGGTGTGCTGCACCCAGTGTCCTTCACCCACTGTCCAACACTCCCCAGTGAGATGAACACAGTACCTCATTTGGAAATGCAGAAATCACCCATCTTCTGCATCACTCATGCTGGGAGCTGTAGACTGGAGCTGTTCCTATTTGGCCATCTTGGCTCCACCTGCCATCTTTTCTTCTTTATTATTCTGGCTAATGGTCTATTTTGTTAATCTTTTCAAAAAACCTGCTCCTGGATTCAGATTTTTTGAAGGCTGTTTTGTATCTCTATCTTTTTCAGTTATGGTCTGATCTTAATAATTTCTTGTCTTCTGCTAGCTTTTGAATTTTTTTGCTACTGTTTCTCTAGTTCTTTTAATTGTGATGTTAGTGTGTTGATATTAGATCTTTCCTGCTTTCTCTTGTGGGCATTTAGTGCTCTAAACACTGACCTCTAAACACTGCTTTATCTGTGTCTCAGAGATTCTGGTATGTTGTGGCTTTGTTCTCATTGGTTGCAAAGAAGTTATTTACTTCTGACTTAATTTCGTTTTTTACCCACTAGTCATGCAGGAGCAGGTTGTCCAGTTTCCATGTAGCTTTCAGGTTCGAGTGAGTTTCTTAAATCTGAGTTCTAATTTGATTGCTCTGTGGTCTCAGAGACTGTTTTTCATGATGTCCATTCTTTTACATTTGCTGAGTTGTGTTTTCCTTCCCATTATGTGGTCAATTTCAGAATAAGTACTATGTGGTGCTAAGAAGAATGTATATTTTATTGATTTGGGGTGGAGAGTTCTGTAGATGGGGTGTATAGTTCTGTAGATGTCTGTTAGGTCTGCTTGGTCCAGAGCTGTGTTCAAGTCCTAAATATTCCTGTCAATTTTCTCTCCAGTTGATCTTTCTAATATTGACAGTGGTGTGTTAAAGTCTCCCATTATTATTGTGTGGGAGTATAAGTCCCTTTTTAGGCCTCTAGGAACTTGCTTTATGAATCTGGGTGCTCCTGTATTGGGTGAATATATATTTAGAATAGTTAGCTCTTGTTCCATTGATCCATTTACCATTATGTAATGCCCTTTTTTTGTCTTTTTTTTAATCATTGCTGGTTTAAAGTCTGTTTTATCAGAGATTAGGATTGCAACCTCTGCTTTTTTTTTTTTTTTTTTTTTTTTTTTGCTTTCCATTTGCTTGGTATATATTCCTCCATCCCTTTATTTTGAGCCTATGTGTGTCTTTGCACATGAGATATGTCTCCAGAATATTGCACACTGTTGGGTTTTGACTCTTCTTCCAGTTTGCCAGTCTGTGTCTTTTAATTGGGGCATTTAGCCCATTTACATTTAAGGTTAGTATTTTTATGTGTGAATTTAATCCAGTCATTATTATGCTAGCTGGTTGATCCAGTTTCTTCACAGCATCATTGGTCTTTATATTTCAGTATGTTTTTGAAGTGGCTGTTACCAGTTTTTCGTTTCCATATTTAGTGCTTCCTTCAGGAGCTCTTATAAGGCAGACCTGGTGGTGACAATATCCCTCACCGTTTGCTCTTCTAGAAAGAATTTTATTTCTCCTTTGCTTTTAAAGCTTAGTTTGCCTGGGTGGGCAATTGTTTTTTGGGTGAAAAATTCTTTTCTTTAAGAATGTGGAATATTGGACCTCAGTCTCTTCTAGCTTGTAGTGTTTCTGCAGAGATATCTGCTGTTAGTCTGATGGGCTTCTATTTGTGGGTAACCTGAACTTTGTCTCTGGCTGCCCTTAAAATTTTTTCCTTTGTTTCAACCTTGGTGAACCTGATTATTATGTGTCTTGTGATTGCTCTTCTCGAGAAGTATCTTAGTGGTGTTCTCTGTATTTCCTGAATTTGAACATTGGCCTGCCTTGCTATGTTGGGAAAGTTCTTCTGCTGTAATAGCGTGAAGAGTGTTTTCCAACTTTGTCCCATTTCCCCCATTACTTTCAGGCACACCAATTAATCGTAGGTTTGGTCTTTTCACATAGTCCCATATTTCTTGGAGGCTTTGTTCATTCCTTTTTATTCTTTCTTTTCTAATTCTGTCTTCACGTTTTATTTCATAAAGTTGATCTTCAATCTCTGATATATTTTCTTCTGCTTGATTGATTCGGCTATTGATACTAGTGTATGCTTCATGAAGTTCTTGTGCTGTGTTTTTCAGCTCCATCAAGTCATTTATGTTTTTCTGTAAACTGGTTATTCTAGTTAGCAGTTCTTGAAGCCTTTTATCAAGGTTCTTAGCTTTCTTGCATTGGGTTAGAACATGTTCCTTTAGCTCAGAGAAGTTTGTTATTACCCACCTTCTGAAGCCTACTTCTGTCAATTCATCAAACTCATTCTCTATCTAGTTTTGTTCTCTTGCTGGCAAGGACTTGGGATTATTTTGAGGGGAAGAGGCATTCTGGTTTTTGAAATTTTCAGCATTTTTGCGCTGTTTTTTTCTCATCTTCCTGGATTTATCTACCTTTGGTCTTCAATGCAGATGACTTTAAGATAAGGTTTTTGCATGGGCATTCTTTTTGTTGATGTTGATATTACTGTTTTCTGTTTGTTATTTTTTTTCTAACAGTCAAGCCCCTCTTCTGCACGTCTGCTGGAGTTTCCTGGAGGTCTACTGCAGACCCTGTTTGCCTGGGTATCACCAGGGGAGGTTGCAGAACAGCAAAGATTGCTGCCTGCTCCTTCCCCTGGAACTTTCGTCCCAGAGGGGCACTCACCAGATGCTAGCTGGAGCTTTCCTATATGAAGTGGCTGTTGACCCCTGCTGGGATGTGTCTCCCCATCAGGAGGCATGGGTGTCAGACACCCACTTGAGGAGGCAGTCTTTCCCATAGCAGAGCTCGAGTGCTGTGCTGGGAGATCTGCTGTTCTCTTCAGATCCAGCAGGCAGGAACATTTAAGTCTGCTGAAGCTGTGTCCACAGCCGCTCCTTCCCCCACGTGGTTCTTCCATGGAGATGAGAATTTTATCTATAAGCCCCTGACTGGGCTGCTGCCTTTCTTTAAGAGACGTCCTGCCCAGAGAGGAGGAATCTGGAGAGGAAGTCTGGCTACAGTGGCTTTGCCATACTGTGGCAGGCTTCACCGAATCCAAATTTTCAGCATCTTTGTTTACACTGTGAGGGGAAAACCACCTACTCAATCTTCAGTATTGGCAGATGCCATTCCCCCCACCAAGCTCAAGCATCTCAGGTCGACTTCAGACTGCTGTGGTTGCAGCGAGAATTTCTAGTCTGTGGATCTTAGCTTGCTAGACTCTGAGGAGGTGGGACCCATTGAACAAGAACACTTGGCTTTCTGGCTTCAGCCCCCTTTCCAGGGGAGTGAATGGTTCTATCTCATCGGGATTCCAGGCACCACGGGGTACAAACATAAACTCCTGCAGCTAGCTTGGTGTCTGCCCAAACAGCTGGCCAGTTTTGTGCTTGAAATCCAGGGCCCTGGTGGTGTAGGCACCTGAGGGAATCTTTTGATCTCCAGGTTGCAGAAACTGTGTGGAAAGTACAGCATCCGGGCCTGATAGCACCATCCCTGATGGCACAGTCCCTCAAGGCTTCCCTTGGCTAGGGGAGGGAGTTCCCCAATCCCTTACACTTCCCGGGTGAGGTGATGCCCCATCCTGCTTCTGCTTACACTCTTTGGTCTACACCCACTATCTAGCCAGTCCCAATGAGATGAAACATGTACCTCTGCTGGAAATACAGAAATCACCCACCTTCTGTGTTGGTCTCACTGGAAACTCCAGACTGGAGCTGTTCTTATTCAGCCATCTTGCCAGATCCACAAATTCTTTAGTGACTTACACAGACTATCTACAACATTATTGGACTTTCTGACTTTTCCTAAACATTCCTCTTACTAAACAACCAGTAATTTTACTTTAGGAAAATAAATTAACATAAAACATCCTTTCTTATATAAAATCCCTTTTCTTTATTACCTCCTTTGCATAGCTAGGGAACATGGCTAATTCCACATGTCCCCAGACCTTGTCTAGTATCTAATGTCTCCAAGGTAGATAAATTGAAGTTTTCAAAAGTCAAAGAAATAGTTTATGATCTTAAAGTGTTTAGCAAACTTAATAACTGACCTGCCTAATTTAGACAAAATGTCATTATTTTATCAATAATCAGTAAAGCTGCTTTCATTTCCCAGAAATTACTTAAGTCATATGAACCAAAAGGCATTACATTTTTTACTTTTCTGGCAAAATATTTTATTTAAGCTCTTCTTATTAGTAAACCAATTAATCAAGGTTCTTTTATATATAAACATCACACACAGGTCGAGCATGGTGGCTCTCACCTGTAATCCCAGCACTTTGGGAAGCCAAGGCAGGCAGATCACGAGGTCAGTAGCTTGAGACCAGCCTGGTCAACATAGTGAAACCACATCTCTACTAAAAATACTACAAAATGGGAGAAAATTTTCACAACCTACTCATCTGACAAAGGGCTAATATCCAGAATCTACAATGAACACAAACAAATTTACAAGAAAAAAACAAATAACCCCATCAAAAAGTGGGTGAAGGACATGAACAGACACTTCTCAAAAGAAGACATTTATGCAGCCAAAAAACACATGAAAAAATGCTCACCATCACTGGCCAACAGAGAAATGCAAATCAAAACCACAATGAGATACCATCTCACACCAGTTAGAATGGCAATCATTAAAAAGTCAGGAAACAACAGGTGCTGGAGATGATGTGGAGAAATAGGAACACTTTTACACTGTTGGTGGGACCGGAAACTAGTTCAACCATTGTGGAAGTCAGTGTGGCGATTCCTCAGAGATCTAGAACTAGAAATACCATTTGACCCAGCCATCCCATTACTGGGTATATACCCAAAGGACTATAAATCGTGCTGCTATAAAGACACATGCCCACGTATGTTTATTGTGGCACTATTCACAATAGCAAAGACTTGGAACCAACCTAAATGTCCAACAATGATAGACTGGATTAAGAAAATGTGGCACATATACACCATGGAATACTATGCAGCCATAAAAAATGATGAGTTCATGTCCTTTGTAGGGACATGGATGAAATTGGAAATCATCATTCTCAGTAAACTATCACAGGGAGAAAAAACCAAACACCGCATGTTCTCACTCATAGGTGGGAATTGAACAATGAGAACACATGGACACAGGAAAGGTAACGTCACAACCGGGGACTGTTGTGGGGTGGGGGGAGGGGGGAGGGATAGCATTAGGAGATATACCTAATGTTAAATGACGAGTTAATGGGTGCAGCACACCAGCATGGCACATGAATACATATGTAACTAACCTTCACATTGTGCACATGTACCCTAAAACTTAAAGTATAATAATAAAATTAAATAAATAAATAATTAAATACAAATACAAATACAAAAATTAGCCAAGCATGGTGGTGAGCACCTGTAATCCCAGCTACTATGGAGGCTGAAGCAGGAGAATCACTTGAAACCCGGAGGCGGAAGTTGCAGTGAGCCAAGATCACACCATTGCACCCCACACTGAGTGACAGAGCAAAACTCCGTCTCAAAAAAAAAAAAAATTACGCACACAACACATATAAATACACTGATAGAAGATAAAGGACTCATTGCCTCAGCTGAGAATTGGACCCTGAACCCAGGCCACCTTTGTGAAAAGAGAAAGCATGGCCACATGATTACAAGGTGAAGCTCTCAAGGACATAGAAGACAAGAAGGAACCCCATCCAGTTTTTTCAGTGACCTGCAGCAAAGTTTGTAACTGACAAGTTTGCTGGGCTATGTTGAACAGCAGGCTTACAGTTGTTCTAGGCTCGCATTCAATTCTTAGGTACTCTTCTCCATTATAGAACACAGAAAGACACTCTAAGAACACCAGATTCACTACAGCTTAAAATTAGCTTCATGAATCTTTTTTCCTATTAATCAAAATTTTACAAGGGATAAACAGTGATTTTTACCATTCATTCAACCAGCTTGCACAGAGAGAGAAAGAGAGAAGAAGAAAGCATTTCCTGAGGCAGGGTGGGGAAGGCAAAGCACTCAGGGAAGCCAGAGAAAGATTATCCCATGGCTCAAAAGTTCAGGCGGCTGCTTGTCAGTCATGAAGAGATCTTTTGCGGCAGTCTCAACAGCTCTCAAGTTTCCACTTTTAGGGAGGAAAAAATTTTCCATATCCCATGATTCTGTACATGCGTAATCCTGTCACCCACAGCAGTCAGCAAAGAGTGCAAGGCAGATTAATCCAAAGAGAATAGCAACTTTATCGAGAAAGGAACTTTATCGAGAGGGGTCTCTAACCCCTTAAATCTTAGAAGGGACTCTAATCCTTCTAAGTTGGGCCTCTAACCCAAAGTCAGTCAAGCTTCACTGACTTTTATTAAGAGGGTTTTTAAACTCACTATGTCTTAGGAGAGACTCTAAGTCCCCCACGTTGGGCCTCCAACCAAAACCCATTCTTTACCTGGGTACCCTACCACTTACCTAAAGTCAACCAATCAGTACTGTAGTCTATTTCCTTTAGGTTGGGGGGTTTCTTTCGTATCATCTTTTTGTGGTTTTCCAGAAAGATGTTACCTGCACTCACAACTTACCCAAAGTTAGCCTTTAGGTCAGGGGTTTTTGCACTATAGTTCCTTCTATGGTCACCAGAAAGATACTACTGGAAGAGAGTCCCAATCCAGACCCCAAGAAAGGGTTTTTGGATCTCACACAGGAAAGAATTCAGGGCAAGTCCATACTGTAAAGTGAACACAAGTTTATTACACAAGTAAATTAATAAAAGAATGACTACTCCATAGATGGAACAGCCCCGAGGGTTGCTGGTCACCCATTTTTATGGTTATTTCTTGATGATATACTAAACAAAGGGTGGATTATTAATGCCTCCCCTCTTTATACCATATAAGGTAAATTCCTGTCATTGCCATGGCATTTGTAAACTGTTATGGCACTGATGAGAGTGTAGCAGTGAGGACAACCAGAGGTCACTCTCATCTCCAGCTTGGTTTTGGTGGGATTTGGCCAGCTTCTTTATTGCAACCTCTTTTATCAGCAAGGTCTTTATGACCTGAATCTTGTGTTAACCTTGTATCTTATCCTGTGACTTAGAATGCCTTAACCATCTGTGAATGCAGCCCAATAGGACTCAGTCTCATTTTACCCAGCCCCTATTCAAGATGTAGTTGATCTTGTTCAAATGCCTCTGACACTTACATTTGTCTTATCTAAGTTTCTTCCTCGGGGAACCAACATTCAAGCAAGGAATGGAAACTCATCAGATAACTGCATCCAGACAATGAGACACCAGACCCTTTATTTGTCAACATTGCTTGCTTACATCTTCATAATTTATCTCCACATGTACCAACATCCCTTCTCTGACTATATAAACCCCGCATTTTTAGTGAGTCAGTAAGATAAATATGAAGTTGATCTCTCATGCTCCTCAGCTGCAGCACCTAAACAAGCCTTTTTTCCTGGCAATAGTCATTGTCTAGTGATTGACTTTCTGTGAAGTGAGCAACAGAACCTAGACCAAACCTCTGGCATTTCAGTAACAGCTCTTGGTTCTCTGCTGGTAGCTCCTCTCCCATAGGCCAAGAGAGTCTCAGAAGCCCTCCTAAAGGGCTTCTCTGACATTTTTTGGTCAGAAGTGTGTTTCAGTCTTTCTCTCTGAACCTGCCATTGCCAACCCCAGCTGCATTCCTGATTGCCCAGAATAAAAGGTCTTTGAAATTTGATATTTGCAGCCAGATAGGTGATTGTCTTTTGTGGGTTCAGACAGCAGGATCTGCTTCTCTGAATTTGTGAAATTTTAAAGGAATTTCCATTTGCAGGTTGAACAATCCTGACTGACTGAGAGAGGGAAACACCCTGATTGTTTCAGTTTGAACACTCTTGGGTGCTTGTTAGTAATTGGTTTTGTGTGTGTGTGTCTGGAGAAGTGAATGTCTTTTGTGAGTACTGCACAGTGGGATTGGCTCCTCTCAATTTGGGAAATTTTGAAAGAATTTCTCTTTGCATGTTAAACAAACTCAACTTAACTGCAGTAGGGGAGCACCCTAACTGTTTCATTTGGATACTCAGGGCTTGCTAGTCATTACTGCAGTTAGATTGTATTTTGATAATTGTTTTTTTTCTGTATGTGTCAATGTAGTCATGGGAACTCAGAATTTGATCTCAGAATATAGCCCACTTGAGTGTATCCTTCAAAATTGGTCTGCATATAGTTATAAGCCAATGAATAAATGGAAAATGATATTATTATGTAACACTGTTTGGCCCCAGTGCTTTTTAAGTATAGGGAGAATTAGACTTTCCAGAGGTCTTTGAATTATAGTGCTTTCTTACAAGTGGATTCATTTTGTGGATGAATTATAAAGCAGGATGGAGTTCCATGAATCAAGGCTTTTATGCTGCTGTTCTAAGAAAGGTCAAGCATGGTTACTATGTGATGTTCTTCTGTGGTGTGTTTGACCCCAGTGTTCTTTGGAGTTTGGGGAGGTTTGGGCTTTAAATATTGAACTACCATGAAAAGTACTTTACCCAAAATTTTGTTTAATGGCCTTCATTGGATTACTTATCAGGGCAAACAAAGTTTAGCCATGTGAACATGTTCATAAACTGGTGATTTTGTGTTTCTCTCATGGTTAGTTCTGAGGTAAAAGCTATTGGATCTTTGTTCATTTGTGTGTATACATGTTTAGTTGTGTTTATGTGTATGTACATTTAATATATTATACATTGTATCTACAGGGTAACAAATTAGTTTTTAAAGTAAATTGTCCAAGCATTTCTTAAGTTCCAAAAATTTAAGTAAACATTTTTCTGAGACAGGGTCTCATTCTGTCACCCAGGCTGGTGTGCAGTGATTCGCTCACTGCTCACTGCAGCCTCAACCTCTCAGATTCAAATACCAAAAGTCTAAAATATTTGATATCACAAAATAGGACCACGTAATATTTACTTAGCTAAGACAATCATTTAAATATTTCAAAAAACATAAAACCTTTCTTATTTGATAGAAAGGTTTCGCAAACAACAAGACCTATTAGAGATAGCATGAGGCCAACTAAATATCTCTCTTCCCCCTCTCCTATTTCCCCTGCAGTTTACTCACAAGATTAACAAAACTCTTCTTTTTATTTCACTAATATTATATGAATTTTTTTCAAAAGAGAAAATCAAATTTTATCTCTGGTGTCTTATGTTAAAGCTTATTTTAACATAGGGTTGCTAAGAACACAAATTCTCTCTCTGTGCCTCATGGCCAGTGCTGGGGGAGGGGTGGCATCGGTGATGCAAGATTGTCTTTTAAGTTTATGTGGGACCCCAGAGTACTTCAGCCTATCGTGTAAGGCACTGAACACAAGCTGACAGAATAGATTTTGACCTTTAACTGAATATAAGCATTGGCCTGGCAGAAACTTGTATGGACTGGTGGTGGTGATGGCCATTAGGAGATGCTCCTCTTCCTGTGGAAAGGAGAGGAACCAGTGGGAAGGACTTTGGATTGCGTTTTGAGTGCTAGGTTACCTTCAGTAGAATAAAACATCAAGTTTTTAGTCCAATCACTGACCCCCAGACACCATCTCTGAATATGCCCAGGACCTAGGGAAACTCACTGCCCTGAAGGGAAGGGCCTTGGGCAAGACCCAGTGCTGTGCTGGCTTCCAGTGTGACTCATTGCCATCCCATTAGTGGTGGCTGCAGGAGTGTTTCAATCACTACACCCTAAGTCCCAAGTGGTTCAGAGAGAGAAAGAGTTTACTTGAGAAAAAGTAAAGGAAAACACCAGCAGTCTCTACATGTTAATCCAGGGAAGTCTTCCAGATCTTATCCAACACTACCAAGGCAATATCTCTAAGAGTCATTATAAACCACAGCATTATAGGGCTTGGGACCCAAGTCCCTTTGAATACCTGGAAAGCCTTCTGAAGAAGGACAGGCATATAGAAGCCCAGACTGTGAAGACTACAAAAAATACCTAACTCTTCAATGCCAAAACACCAAAAAACATCTACAAGCGTCAACACCATCCAAGAAAACATAATCTCAGCAAATGAACTAAATAAGGTACCAAGGACTAATCCTAGATAAATAGAGATATATGATCTTTTAAAAAGAGAACTCAAAATAGGTGTTTTGAGGAAACTCAAAGAAATTCAAATAACACAGAAAAAGAATTCAGAATTTTATTAGATAAAATTTTAAAATATTAAAATTATTAAAAAGAATCAAGCAGAAATTCTAGAGTTTAGAATTGCAACTTTTATGCTGAAGAATCCATCAGAGTATCTTAATAACAGAATTGATCAAGCAGAAGAAAGAATTAGTGAATTTGAAGACAGCCTATTTGAAAATACATAGTCAGAGGAGACAAAAAAAAAGAATTTAAAACACTGCATACAAAACCTAGAAACAGCCTCAAAAGGGTGAATCTATGAGTTATTGGCATTAAGAGGAGGTAGAGAAAGAGATAGAAGTAGAAAGTTTATTCAAAAAGATAATAGCAAAGAACCTCCCAAACCTAGAGAAAGATATCAATATCAAAGTATAAGAAGGTTGTAGAACACCAAACAGATTTAACCCAAAGAAAACTACCTCAATGCATTTAATAATCAAACTATCAAAGGTCATGGATAAAGAAAGGATTTTAAGAACAGCAAGAGAAAATAAACAAAAACCATACAATGGAGCTCTACTACATCTGGCAACAGACTTTTCCATGGAAACAATACAGGCCAGGACATAGTGGCATGACATATTTAAAATGCTGAAAAAATTACTCTGGAACAGTGTATTTATTGAAAATATTATTTAAGTATGAAGGAGAAATAAAGACTTTCCTAGACAAACAAAAGCTGATGGACTTCGTCATCACCAGACTTGTCCTACATGAAATCATAAAGGTAGTTCTTCAATCTGAAAAGATGTTAATGAGCATGAAGAAATCATCTGAAAGTACATAACATACTAGTAATTGTAAGCACACAGAAAAACGCAAAATAGTATAACACTGTAATTGTGGTTGTAAACTACTCTTTCCTTATGTAGAAAGACTAAGTGAAGAATAAACCAAAAATAATGACTGCAACAATTTTTCAGGGCATAGGACAATAACACATACAGAAAATTTAAAGGTGGGGGGACAAAGTTAAAGTGTATAGTTTTTATTAGGATTCTCTTTCTCATTAACATCTTTTCATCTTTTATATATTTACAATTAGAGTTAAATTGTCACTAGTATAAAATAATGGGTTATAAGATAGTATTTGCAAGCATCACGGTAACATCAAATAATAAATAATAAATAAATAAATAAATAAATAAATAAATAAATAAAAACAGTAAAAAAATGAAAAGCCAGAAATTAAAGCCTACCACCAGAGAAAATCACCTTTATTAAGAGGAAGACATGAAGAAAGGAAAGAAGGAAGAGAAGGCTGCAAAACAACCAGAAAATAAATAAGAAAATGGCAGAAGTAAGTCCATAGTTATCAACAGTAATATTGAATGTAAACGGACCAAATTCTCCAATCAAAAGACATACAGTGGTTGAATGGATGAAAATACAAGACCCAATGATCTGTTGCCCAGAATAAAAAAACTTCCCTGATAAAATGTATACATTAACTAAAAATAAAATAATGGATAAAAATATTTCATGCCAATAAAAAGACAAACAAAAAAGCAGGAGTAGTGTACTAGGTTGTTCTTGTATTGTTATAAAGAAATACCTGAGACTGTGTTATTTATAAAGAAAAAAAATTTAATTGGCTTATGGTTCTACAGTCTTCTTGGGAAGCATGGTGCTGACCTATACTTGGCTTCTGGTGAGACCTCATGAAGCTTACAATCATGGCAGAGGGTGAAGGAGTGTATGCATGTCACATAGCAAAAGCAAGAGAATAGAGAGAGGGGGGATGTTACACACTATTTTAAAAGACCAGATCTCATGAGAACTTACTATTGTCAGGACTGTACCAACGGTATGGTTATAAGCCATTCATGAGAAAACCACCCTCATGATCCAATCACCTCCCACCAGGCCCCCCCTTTAACATTGGGGATTACATTTCAACATGAGACTTGGGCAGGGACACACATTCAAACTATACTAAGTAGTTATATCAAACAAAATATATTTCAAGACAAACGCTGTAAGAAGAGATAAAGAATTTCATTAAATCATGATCAAGAAATCAACTCAGCAAGAGGATATTACAATTTTTTTTTTTTTTTTTTGAGATGGAGTCTCACTCTTTTGCCCAGGCTGGAGTGCAGTGGCACTGTCTCTGCTCACTGCAAGCTCTGCCTCCCAGGTTCACACCATTTTCCTGCCTCAGCCTCCCGAGTAGGTGGGACTACAGGTGCCCACCACCACACCTGGCTAATTTTTTGTATTTTTAGTAGAGACGGGGTTTCACCATGTTAGTCAGGATGGTCTCGATCTCCTGACCTCGTGATCCACCCGCCTTAGCCTCCCGAATTGCTGGGATTACAGGCGTGAGCCACCATGCCCGGCCCGAGGATATTACAATTTTAAATATATATGTACCCAACACTGGAGCACCCAGACATATAAAGCATATATTATTAGAGCTAAAGAGAGAGGCAGACCGCAATACGATTATAGCTGAACACTTCAACACTCCACTTTCAGTTTTGGAGGGATCAATCAGACAGAAAATTAACAAAAATTTATGGAATGATTTATTTATGGAATATTTACAGAACTATTTGTTCAACAGCTGCAGAATACATTTTTCTCCCCAGCACATGAGTAATTCTCAAAGACAAACCCTGTGTTAGGTCACAAAACAAGACTTAAAACATTCAAAAATATTGAAGTACTATCAAGCATCTCCTCTGACCCCAATGGACTAAAAGTAGAAATCAATAACAAAAGGAATTTTGGTAACTATACAAGCACATAGAAATAATATACTCCCAAATGACCAGTGGGCCAATGAATATATAAAGGAAATTGAAAAATTTTTTTAAACAAATAATAATGGAAACACAACATACCAAAACTTACGGGATACAGTAAAAGAAATACTAAAAGGGAAATTTATAGCTATAAGTTCCTACATCAAAAAAGAAGAAAAATTTCCATTGAATAACCTCATAATGTGTCTTAAGGAATTAGAAAAGCAAGAATAAATCATACCCAAAATTAGTAGAAGAAAAGAAACAATGAAGATTAGAGTAGAAGTAAATGGAACTGAAATGAAGAAAACAATACAAAAAATCAATGAAACGAAAAGTTTGTTTTGTGAACAGATAACCAAAATGAACAAATGAACTAACAATAAAGAAAAAAGACCTAAATAACTAAAATTAGAGATTAAAAGGGAGACATTACAACTGATCCAATAGATGTTCAAAGGATTATTAGAAGCTACTATGAGCAACTATATGCCAATAAACTGGAAAATCTAGAAGAAATACGTAAATTTCTACACACATGCAACCTGCCAGGAAATCCAAAATCGGAACAGACCAATAACAGATAATGAGATTAAAGCCACAATAAAAAGCCTCCAAGCAAAGGAAAGGCCAGGACCTGATAATTTCATTGCTGAATTCTACCAAACATTTAAAGAAGAACTAATATGAATTCTACTCAAACCATTCCAAAAAATAGAGGAGGAGGGAATACTTGTGAATTCATTCTATGAAGCCAGTATTAACCTGATACTAAAATCAGACAAAGACACATCCAAAAAAGAAAACAACAGGCCAATGTCTTGGATAAATATTGATGCAAAAATTTTCAACAAAATACTGGTAAACGAAGTTTAGCACTACATTAAAAACATTATTCATCATGACCATGTGAGTTTTTTTCAGGTGAGCAAGTATAGTTCAACATATGCAAATCAAACAATGTGATGCATTATTTCAGCCAAAGGAAGGACAACACTATAAAATCCTTTAACTGATGCTGAAAAAAAGCGTTTATAAAATGTAACATTTTTTATGATAAAAACTCTCAGAAAACTGAGTAGAGAAGAAACATACCTCAGCCCTCAGAAATAACGCCACATATCTACAACTATCTGATCTTTGACAAACCTGAGAAAAACAAGCAATGGGGAAAGGATTCCCTATTTAATAAATGGTGCTGGGAAAACTGGCTAGCCATATGTAGAAAGTTGAAACTGGATCCCTTCCTTACACCTTATACAAAAATTAATTCAAGATGGATTAAAGACTTACATGTTAGACCTAAAACCATAAAAACCCTAGAAGAAAACCTAGACATTACCATTCAGGACATAGGCATGGGCAAGGACTTCATGTCTAAAACACCAAAAGTAATGGCAACAAAAGCCAAAATTGACAAATGGGATCTAATTCAACTAAAGAGCTTCTGCACAGCAAAAGAAACTACCATCAGAGTGAACAGGCAGCCTACAAATTGGGAGAAAATTTTTGCAACCTACTCATCTGACAAAGGGCTAATATCCAGAATCTACAATGAACTCAAACAAATTTACAAGAAGAAAACAAACAACCCCATCAAAAAGTGGGTGAAGGACATGAACACACACTTCTCAAAAGAAGACAATTATGCAGCGAGAAAACACATGAAAAAATGCTCACCATCACTGGCCATCAGAGAAATGCAAATCAAAACCACAATGAGATACCATCTCACACCAGTTAGAATGGCAATCATTAAAAAGTCAGGAAACAACAGGTGCTGGAGAGGATGTGGAGAAATAGGAACACTTTTACACAGTTGGTGGGACTGTAAACTAGTTCAACCATTGTGGAAGTCAGTGTGGCGATTCCTCAGGGATCTAGAACTAGAAATACCATTTGACCCAGCCATCCCATTACTTGGTATACACCCAAAGGATTATAAATCATGCTGCTATAAAGACACATGCACATGTATGTTTATTGCGGCACTATTCACAATAGGAAAGACTTGGAACTAAGCCAAATGTCCAACAATGATAGACTGGATTAAGAAAATGTGGCACATATACACCATGGAATACTATGCAACCATAAAAAATGATGAGTTCATGTCCATTGTAGGGACATGGATGAAATTGGAAATCATCATTCTCAGTAAACTATCGCAAGAAGAAAAAACCAAACACCACATATTCTCACTCATAGGTGGGAATTGAACAATGAGAACACATGGACACAGGAAGGGGAACATCACACTCTGGGGACTGTTGTGGGGTGGGGGAGGGGGGAGGAATAACATTAAGAGATATACCTAATGCTAAATGACGAGTTAATGGGTGCAGCACATCAGCACGGCTCATGTATACATATGTAACTAACCTGCATATTGTGCACATGTACCCTAAAACTTAAAGTACAATAATAATTAAAAAAAAACATACCTCAACATCTTAAAAGCCATATATGACAGAACAACAGCAAGTATCGTACTGAATGTGAAAAAACTGAAAGCATTTTCTCTTAGCTCTGTAACAGGACAAGAAAGCCCACTTTCTTTACTGTTATTCAACATAGTGATAAATACTAATTAGAGCAGTCAGACAACAGAAAGAATTAAAAGACATCCAAACTAAAATGCAAGAAGTAAAATCATCCTTGTTTGCAGATGACATGATCTTATATTTGGAAAAAAACATAAAGGTTCCACCAAAAAACTCTTAGAACTAATAAACAAATTCAGTAAATTTGCAAGATACAAAATCAACATTAAAAATCAGTAGCATTTCTATATGCCAACAGTGAACAATCAGAAATTTTTAAAGTAATCTCATTTACAATAGACACAAATAAAAACACCTAGGAATTAACTTAACAAAAAAGTGCAAAATTTCATGAAAACCGTGAAACATTGATGAAAGAAACTGAAGAGAACACAAGGAAAGATATTTTATATTCATAGATTGGATGAATAAATGTTGTTGAAATGTCCATACTACTAAAAGCAATCTACAGATTCAATGCAATTTCTATTAAAATACCAATTACATTCTTCACAGAATAGAAATAGCAATCCTATCTTTTATATGAAATCACAAAAAAACCCAGAATAGCCAAAGCTATTATAAGCAAAAAGAGTAAAACTGAAGCAATCATATTACCTGACTTCAAATAATATTGCAGCGCTATAGTAACCAAAACAGCATGGTATTTGCATAAAACAGACACATAGACCAATGAACCAGAATAGAGGACCCAGAAACTAATCTGCACACTAACAGTGAACCCCTTTTCAACAAAGGTTCCAAGGACATATACTTTGGAAAAGACAGTCTCTTCAATAAATCGTGCTGAGAAAACACGAAAGTCATATTCACAATAATGAAACTAGACCATATATTGCCATATACCAAAATCAAGTAAAAGTCAACTAAAGACTTAAATCTAAGACCTCAAACTATGAAACTACTATCAGAAAAATAAATGGAGAAACTCTGTAGGACATTGGTCTAGGAAAAAATGTCTTGAGTAATACCCAAAGGCACAGGCAGCAAAAAATAGAAAAATGGGATCACACCAAGTTAAGAAGTTTCTGCACTGCAAAGGAAACAATCAGCAAAGAGACAACCTACAGAATGGGAGTAAATATTTGCAAGCTATGCATCTAAAAAATGATGAATAACCACAATATATAAGGAGCTCAACTCAATAGGGAAAAATCTAATATTCTGATTTTGAAATGGGCAAAGGATCTGAATAGACATTTCTGAAAAGAAGACATATAAATGGCAAACACGCATGTGAGAATGTGCTCAATATTATTGATCATCAGAGAAATGCAAATCAATACTACAATGAGATGTCATCTCACACCAGTTAAAATGGCTTTTATACAAAAGTCAAGCCGTTAAATGCTGACAAGGATCTGGAGAAAAGGGAACCCTCATGCATTGTTGGTGGGAATGTAAATGAGTATAACCACTATGGAGAACAGTCTGGAGGTTCCTCAAAATACCAAAAATAAAGCTACCATATGATTTAGTAATCTCACTGCTGGGTATATATCCAAAAGAAAGGAAATTTGTATATTGATGAGATATCTGCACTCTCGTGTTTGTTGCAGCACTGTTCACAATAGCTAAGATTTGAAAGCAACCTAAATGTCCATCAGCAGATGAATGAATAAAGAAAATGTGATACATATACACAATAGAGTACTATTGATCCATAAAAAAGAATTAGATTCTGTCATTTACAAGAACATGAGTGGAACTGGAGGTCATTATGAAACCGCCTTTACAAAATAACTGAGGAAAATATCACAGTGAAAGAAATCAGACCTAACTGACTCCATCTTGCTTCTAACTTTTAAGTTGTCCTTGTTTATTCCTGGGCATAGGCTGAACTAACTTTGGGAAAGAATTCAGTTCATGGTTTGACTCTAAAACAAAATTGATAATTGCTCTTTCTCAAAAAGACTCCCTTCTTTAGTGGGGACCAGTCTGCCTTTACAGGACTAAAAAAAGAACTACAAGATGAAAAATTACACTTTAAGGGTCATGCAGTCTCTGGTTCCAAGAGTCTGAACCTCCCCAAATTGCTGCTGGGAATAACATCACTATTGTAAAACCAAAGATCAGTACCTGAGATATTTTGTAGACCTTTCACTCAATGACACCACTCAGACCAGTAATCTAGCTCAACCAGTTCTGCCATCACACCCAGGAACAGAAGACAGCAATAAAAATGTACTTCAACCCCCTATGACTTTATCTCCAACCAGACCAATCAGTACTCCCCACTTCCCAAGACACTACCCACCAATTTATCTTTAAAAACTCTGATCCTCAAATGCTCAGGGAGACTAATTTGAGTAATAATAAAACTCTATTCTCCCGCACAGCTGGCTCTGCATGAATGACTCTTTCTCCATTGCAATTCCCCTGTCTTGATAAATCAGCTCCTTCTAGGCAGCAGGCAAGATGAACCCATTGGGTGGTTACAATTATATTAAGTAAAATAAGTCAGTCACACAAATATAAGCTTCACATGTTCTCACTTATTTGTGGAATCTAAAAATGGAAATAATTAAACTCATGGAGATACAGAGTAGAAGGATGATTACTAGAAGCTGGGAAAGGTGGTAGGAAAATAGGAAAAAAGTAGGAATAGGTATAAAAAATAGAGAATGAATAAGATCTAGTATTTGATAGCACAATAGAGGGAATATAGTCCATAAAAATTTAATCATACAATTAAAAATAACTGAAAGATTGTAACTGGATTGATTGTAACACAAAGGATAAATGCTTGATGAGATGAATACCCAATTTTCCATGAAGTGATTATTACATATTGCATACCTGTACTGAAATATCTCATGTACTTCCTAAATATATGCACCTACTATGTACCCGCAAAAATTAAAATTTAAACAAAAATGTATAGGAAGCATTTTCAAACATGAAATGGTGTTTAATCTTTTGGGAGTATATTTATATAAATGTATTATTAATATGTGTTTCAAGATTCTATGGAATTTCTAGTGTTCTGATGTATCTTAGCATAACTTATCTGTAATAATTATAATTATTATGTTAAGTTGCTATATGTCACAGAAAAAAACAAAATTTTTTTTGTTATTTTTGTCTTTAATTATGGCTATTCTAAGACTTTCGGCATCCACTATTATTGTTTTACTTTGATTCTTCTCAAAGAGTGGCTTAGAGTAAGCTACAGTCTAAAACTTGCTTTTGAAACAAAGGGCTTCAACTCCCTGTTTGTCCTGCATTCCAAGAGACAGACTAGGGGTTTGGATGTTTTTCATACATAAGGAGTGAATCTCTGGGCTAGCCACTCCCAGATTCTTTTTTTTTTTTTTTTTTTTTTTTTTTGAGACGGAGTCTCACACTGTCACCAAGGCTGGAGTGCAATGGTGCAATCTCGGTTCAGTGTAACCTCCTCCTACTGGGTTCAAGCAATTCTCCTGCCTCAGCCTCCCAAGTAGCTGGGATTACAGGTGCCCACGATCAAGCTTGGCTAATTTTTTTTTATACTTTAAGTTTTAGGGTACATGTGCACAACATGCAGGTTTGTTACATATGTATACATGTGACATGTTGGTGTTCTGCACCCAATAACTCGTCGTTTAGCATTAGGTATATATCCTAATGCTGTCCCTCGCCCCTCCCCCCACCCTACAACTGTCCCCAGTGTGTGATGTTCCCCTTCCTGTGTCCATGTGTTCTCATTGTTCAATTCCCACCTATGAGTGAGAACATGCAGTGTTTGGTTTTTTGTCCTTGCGATGGTTTGCTGAGAATGGTGGTTTCCAGCTTCATCCATGTCCCTACAAAGGACATGAACTCATCCTTTTATATGGCTGCATAGTATTCTATGGTGTATATGTGCCACATTTTCTTAATCTGGTCTGTCATTGTTGGACATTTGGCTTGGTTCCAAGTCTTTGCTATTGCGAATAGTGACACAATAAACATACATGTGCATGTGTCTTTATAGCAGCATGATTTATAATCCTTTGGGTATACACCCAGTAATGGGATGGCTGGGTCAAATGGTATTTCTAGTTCTAGATCCCTGAGGAATCGCCACACCGACTTCCACAATGGTTGAACTAGTTTACAGTCCCACCAACCGTGTAAACATGTTCCTATTTCTCCACATCCTCTCCAGCACCTGTTGTTTCCTGACTTCTTAATGATCGCCATTCTAACTCGGGTGAAATGGTATCTCATTATGGTTTTGATTTGCATTTCTCTGATGGCGAGTGATGATGAGCATTTTTTCATGTGTGTTTTGGCTGCATAAATGTCTTCTTTTGAGAAGTGTCTGTTCATATCCTTTGCCTACTTTTTGATGGGGTTGTTTGTCTTTTTCTTGTAAATTTGTTGGAGTTCATTGTAGATTCTGGATATTAGCCCTTTGTCAGATGAGTAGGTAGCAAAAATTTTCTCCCATTCTTTAGGTTGCCTATTCACTCTGATGGTGGATTCTTTTGCTGTGCAGAAGCTCTTTAGTTGAATTAGATCCCATTTGTCAATTTTGGCTTTTGTTGCCATTGCTTTTGGTGTTTTAGACATGAAGTCCTTGCCCATGCCTATGTCCTGAATGGTATTGCCTAAGTTTTCTTCTAGGGTTTGTATGGTTTTAGGTCTAACATGTAAGTTTTTAATCCATCTTGAATTAATTTTTGTATAAGGTGTAAGGAAGGGATCCAGTTTCAGCTTTCTACATATGGCTAGCCAGTTTTCCCAGCACCATTTATTAAATAGGGAATCCTTTCCCCATTTTTTGTTTTTCTCAGGTTTGTCAAAGATCAGATAGTTGTAGATATGCAGCATTATTTCTGAGGGGTCTCTTCTGTTCCATTGGTCTATATCTCTGTTTTGGTACCAGTACCATGCTGTTTCAGTTACTGTAGCCTTGTAGTATAGTTTGAGGTCAGGTAGCATGATGCCTCCAACTTTCTTCTTTTGCCTTAGGATTGACTTGGCGATGTGGGCTCTTTTTTGTTTCCATATGAACTTTAAAGTAGCTTTTTCCAATTCTGTGAAGAAACTCATTGGTAGTTTGATGGGTATGGCATTGAATCTATAAATTACCTTGGGCAGTATGGCCATTTTCACGATATTGATTCTTCCTACCCATGAGCATGGAATCTTCTTCCATTTGTTTGTATCCTCTTTTATTTCATTGAGCAGTGGTTTGTAGTTCTCCTTGAAGAGGTCCTTCACATCCCTTGTAAGTTGGATTCCTAGGTATTTTATTCTCTTTGAAGCAATTGTGAATGGGAGTTCACTCATGATTTGGCTCTCTGTTTGTCTGTTCTTGGTGTATAGGAATGCTTGTGATTTTTGCACACTGATTTTGTATCCTGAGACTTTCCTGAAGTTGCTTATCAGCTTAAGGAGATTTTGGGCTGAGTCAGTGGGGTTTTCTAGATATACAATCATGTCATCTGCAAACAGGGACAATTTGACTTCCTCTTTTCCTAATTGAATACCCTTTATTTCCTTCTCCTGCCTGAATGCCCTGGCCAGAACTTCCAACACTATGTTGAGTAGGAGTGGTGAGAGAGGGCATCCCTGTCTTGTGCCAGTTTTCAAAGGGAATGCTTCCAGTTTCTGTCCATTCAGTATGATATTGGCTGTCAGTTTGTCATAGATAGCTCTTATTATTTTGAGATAAGTCCCATCAATACCTAATTCGTTGACAGTTTTGAGCATGAAGGGTTGTTGAATTTTGTCAAAAGCCTTTTCTGCCTCTATTGAGATAATCATGTGGTTTTTGTCTTTGGCTCTGTTTATATGCTGGAATACGTTCATTGATTTTCGTATGTTGAACCACCCTTGCATCTCAGGAATGAAGCCCACTGGATCATTGTGGATAAGCTTTTTGATGTGTTGCTGGATTCAGTTTGCCACTGTTTTATTGAGGATTTTTGCATCAATGTTCATCAAGGATATTGGTCTCAAATTCCATTTTTTTGTTTTTTCTCTGTCAGGCTTTGGTATCAGGATGATGCTGGCCTCATAAAATGAGTTAGGGAGGATTCTCTCTTTTTCTATTGATTGGAATAGTTTCAGAAGCAATGGTACCAGTTCCTCCTTGTACCTCTGGTAGCATTCGGCTCTGAATCCATCTGGTCCTGGACTTTTTTTGGTTGGTAAGCTATTAATTATTGCCTCAATTTCAGAGCCTGTTATTGATCTATTCAGAGATTCAACTTCTTCCTGGTTTAGTCTTGGGAGAGTGTATGTGTCTAGGAATTTATCAGTTTCTTCTAGATTTTCTAGTTTATTTGTGTAGAGGTGTTTATAGTATTCTCTGATGGTAGTTTGTATTTCTGTGGGATCAGTGGTGATATCCCCTTTGTTGTTTTTTATTGCGTCTATTTCATTCTTCCCTCTTTTCATCTTTATTAATCTTGCTAGCAGTCTATCAATTTTGTTGATCTTTTCAGAAAACCAGCTCCTGGATTCTTTAATTTTTTGAAGGGCTTTTTGTGTCTCTATTTCCTTCAGTTCTGCTCTGATTTTAGTTATTTCTTGCCTTCTGCTAGCTTTTGAATGTGTTTGCCCTTGCTTCTCTAGTTCTTTTAATTGTGATGTTAGGGTGTCAATTTTAGATCTTTCCGGCTTTCTGTTGTGGGCATTTAGTGCTAAAATTTCCCTCCACACACTGCTTTGAATGTGTCCCAGAGATTCTGGTATGTTGTGTCTTTGTTCTCGTTGGTTTCAAAGAATATCTTTATTTCTGCCTTCATTTCATTATCTACCCAGTAGTCATTCAGGAGCAAGTTGTTCAGTTTCCGTGTAGTTGAGAGGTTTTGAGTGAGTTTCTTAATTCTGAGTTCTAGTTTGATTGCACTGTGGTCTGAGAGACAGTTTGTTATAATTTCTGTTCTTTTACATTTGCTGAGGAGTGCTTTACTTCCAACTATGTGTTCAATTTTGGAATAGGTGTGGTGTGGTGCTGAAAAGAATGTATATTCTGTTGATTTGGGGTGGAGAGTTCTGTAGATGTCTATTAGGTCCGCTTGGTGCAGAGCTGAGTTCAGTTCCTGGATTTATCTGTTAACTTTCTGTCTCATTGATCTGTATAATGTTGACAGTGGGGTGTTAAAGTCTCCCATTATGATTGTGTGGTAGTTTAAGCCTCTTTGTAGGTCACTCAGGACTTGCTTTATGAATCTGGGTGCTCCTGTATTGGGTGCATATATATTTAGGATAGTTAGTTTTTCTTGTTGAATTGATCCCTTTACCGTACGTAATGGCCTTCTTTGTCTCTTGTTATCTTTGTTGGTGTGAAGTCTGTTTTTTCAGAGACTAGGATTGCAACCCCTGCCTTTTTTTGTTTTCCGTTTGTTTGGTAGATTTTCCTCCATCCCTTTATTTTGAGCCTATGTGTGTCTCTGCACGTGAGATGGGTTTCCTGAATACAGCACACTGATTGGTCTTGACTCTTTATCCAATTTGCCAGTCTGTGCCTTTTAATTGGAGCATTTAGCCCATTCACATTTAAGGTTAGTATTGTTATGTGTGAATTTGATCCTGTCATTGTGATATTAGCTGGTTATTTTGCTCGTTAGTTGATGCAGTTTCTTCCAAGCATCGATGGTCTTTACCATTTGGCATGTTTTTGCAGTGAGTGGTACCAGTTGTTCCTTTCCGGTGTTTAGTGCTTCCTTCAGGAGCTCTTTTAGGGAAGGCCTGATGGTGACAAAATCTCTCATCATTTGCTTGTCTGTAAAGTATTTTATTTCTCCTTCACTTATGAAGCTTAGTTTGGATGGATATGAAATTCTGGGTTGAAAATTCTTTTCTTTAAGAATGTTGAATATTGGCCCCCACTCTCTTCTGGCTTGTAGAGTTTCTGCCGAGAGATCAGCTGTTAGGCCGATTGGCTTCCCTTTGTGGGTAACCTGACCTTTCTCTCTGGCTGCCCTTAACATTTTTTCCTTCATTTCAGCTTTGGTGAATCTGACAATTATGTGTCTTAGAGTTGCTCTTCTCGAGGAGTGTCTTTGTGGTGTTCTCTGTGTTTCCTGAATTTGAATGATGGCGTGCCTTGCTAGATTGGGGAAGTTCTACTGGATAATCTCCTGTAGAGTGTTTTCCAGCTTGGTTCCTTTCTCCCCGTCACTTTCAGGTACACCAATCAGACGTAGATTTGGTCTTTTCACATAGTCCCATATTTCTTTGAGGCTTTGTTCATTTCTTTTCATTCTTTTTTCTCTAAACTTCTCTTCTTGCTTCATTTCATTCATTTCATCTTCCATCACTGATACCCTTTCTTCCAGTTGATCACATTGGTTCCTGAGGCTTGTGCATTCATCACGTAGTTCTCGTGCTGTGGTTTTCTGCTCCATCAGGTCCTTTAAGGACTTCTCTGCATTGGTTATTCTAGTTATCCATTCGTCTAATTTTTTTCAAAGTTTTTAACTCCTTTGCCATTGGTTCAAACTTCCTCCTTTAGCTCAGAGTAGTTTGATCTTCTGAAGCCTTCTTCTCTCAACTTGTCAAAGTCATTCTCCATCCAGCTTTGTTCCGTTGCTGGTGAGGAGCTGCGTTCCTTTGGAGGAGGGGAGGTTTTAGAGTTTCCGGTTTTTCTGCTCTGTTTTTTCCCCATCTTTGTGGTTTTATCTACCTTTGGTCTTTGATGATGGTGACGTACAGATGGGTTTTTGGTGTGTATGTCCTTTCTGTTTGTTAATTTTCCTTCTAACAGTCAGGACCCTCAGCTGCAGGTCTGTTGGAGTTTACTGGAGGTCCACTGCAGACCCTGTTTACCTGAGTATCAGCAGTGGTGGCTGCAGAACAGCAGATATTGGTGAACAGCAAATGCTGCTGCCTTATTGTTCCTCTGGAAGTTTAGTCTCAGTGGAGTACCCAGCCGTGTGAGGTGTCAGTCCGCACCTACTGGGTGGTGCCTCCCAGTTAGGCTACTCAGGAGTCAGGGACCCACTTGAGGAGGCAGTCTGCCCATTCTCAGATCTCAGCTGCATGCTGGGAGAACCACTGCTCTCTTCAGAGCTGTCAGACAGGGACGTTTAAATCTGCAGAGGTTATTGCTGTTTTTTGTTTGTCTGTGCCCTGCCCCCAGAGGTGGAGCCTACAGGGGCAGTCAGGCCTCCTTGAGCTGTGGTGGGCTCCACCCAGTTCGAGCTTCCCAGCTGCTTTATTTACCTATTCAAGCCTAAGCAATGGCAGGTGCCCCTCCCCCAGCCTTGCTGCAGCCTTGCAGTTTGATCTCAGACTGCTTTGCTAGCAATGAGCAAGGCTCCGTGGGCGTAGGACCCTCAGAGCTGGGTGCGGGATATAATCTCCTGGTGTGCCATTTGCTAAGCCTGTTGGAAAAGTGCAGTATTATGGTGGGAGTCTCCCAATTTTCCAGGTGCCATCTGTCACCCCTTTCTTTGACTAGGAAAGGGAATTCCCTGACCCCTTTCACTTCCCAGGTGAAGGTGATGCCTTGCCCTACTTCGGCTCAAGCAGAGTGTGCTGCACCCGCTGTCCTGCACCAACTGTCTGGCACTAGCCAGTGAGATGAACGTGGTACCTCAGTTGGAAATGCAAAAATCACCCATCTTCTGCATCGCTCATGCTGGGAGCAGTAGACTGGAGCTGTTCCTATTTGGCCATCTTGGCCCCACCCCCCAAGCTTGGCTAATTGTTTGTATTTTTAGTAGAGATGGGATTTCTCAATGTTGGCCAATCTTGTCTCAAACTCCTCACCTCATAATCCACCCAACTCGGCCTCCCAAAGTGCTGGGATTACAGGCATGAGCCACCATTCCCGGCCCCACTCCCAGATTTTTAGCTTGGGATTCTTTAGCATGGGATTCTTTTTATAACATAAGATCATTATCTGGGCATGCTTCAGATAAATTATTGCTATCAGGTACATCTGTCATACACTCCTTCCTTCGAGCATACCCTTGAATGGCCCTCACATTCTTTTCTTTTTCTCACATTCATATCGTGCTATTCTTCCATGATTTCTCTGGGGCAAGGTGTTCAGAGAAGCATTCCAGCCAGATGCTGCAGCAGCACTAGCAACTGCAACAATGAAACAAAGTAATGAATACAATAACAATCATACTGTATGGAAAGTTTTCCCAAACACTTAGTAGTTGATTAAACCAAGACATTACAGTGTGCAAAGATTGACATTCTATGGCAGAAATATTGGTATTTAGGGCCCATATGGTCTGGGTTACATTGTGAGAGTATTAAGGGATATATACACAGAATTAAGTTTTAATTAATACACAGGTTCCATTCTGGGTGACAGTTAAGATGTTCAGGGTCATGCAATTTTGCAAAGTAACACGTCTAATTGGAGTTGTTTCTTCAGTGAGAAGAGTAATAGCATGGCAGGTATCATCGAATGCTGCAGCCATATGTTTATCCAGGGACTCGATGTGCATCTCTATTTTTATTGCCCTGAATTGGGGGACAAAAATGGCCAAGTGATAAAACCAGCAGATTGTATGCTTCTGGTGGAGCCTGGTTTTCACACTCTCCCAGTTAGTAGGAATAACTTCTAAAGAGGTCACAATCCATCCCGGCAAGTAAGGAAGGATGCTCTCAAGTGCATCTACTGGTCCAATGATAGGGTAAGTAAGGCCAGCCATGGATGCAGCATGCCCATCGTCATCCTCAAGGGAAGGGGTGGGCCCCCAAGTGGAGACAGTCTGTCTGCCACCCCAGTTACATATCACCGGTTATCTGAAGAGATTGGTCTGTAAGAGTAGCCATCCCATATTACGGATTTTAGCTTTCGGTATGTTGTTATCATGCTTTTTGATACATAAGGGTACACAAACCACTACTTGTATCTGTACTCCCATCATCCACCTGAGCCCATTGTGTATAGCAAACCCCACAGTGGGATAAGATTAATCTGCTCCTGTAGTAGGTGAAAAACATGTCATTTTATTTCTTTGATGGTGGGAAACTTATTGCATGAGCTGCTGTTATTACTATAGGAAAATGGGTGAGGGTCATTATGCCAAATAAAGAAGTGGCTCCAAGCACTCAGGTCAGCAATGTGGATACACAATGGCAGGCCCACAAGGAAGGAGAGAGACAAAACAGATGCAACAGTCTGTTTTGTTCAGGAGACTGCATCCATTCAGTGAAGAGGTTTGCTGCACACTATCTATGGGTGAAAGGTGAGATGTTGGCTGGGTGTCGTGGCTCAGGCCTATAATTCTAACACTTTGGGAGGCCAAGGAGGGCAGATCACCTGAGTTCCGGAGTTCGAGACCAGCCTGACCAACATGGAGAAAACCTGTCTGTACTAAAAATACAAAATTAGCCAGGTGTGGTGCTGCATGCCTGTAATCCCAGCTACTTGGGAGGCTGAGGCAGGAGAATTGCTTGAACCCAGGAGATGGAGGCTAGCCTGGGCAACAAGAGTGAAACTCGGCCTCAAAAAAGAAAAAAAAAAGAAAGAAAGAAAGATGAGATATTTAGTGATTACAAGAAAGTGTAAGTTATGACTATTGAACAAGACACAGGAAGTTGTGTCATTCTGAGAAAGCACCACCCCTGGTAGCAGCCTGGTGTCTGGTTTACAACGCCAAGTGGATTTGATCCCCTTTGCAGTGCATTGCAGGAAGACAGGTAAAACAGTAGGGGTACTATAATGTTCCTTAATGAAAGGGTGATCATCCCCTTGCACAAGGGAGAACTTGAATTCATTATTTTAGAAGCACAAAGGGGGGTAGGATATGAAATGGTTATTAACTCTATATCCTGTTCTAAGTTCTTCCCTATGGGCCAGAAAAAACAGACCCTCTGGGGATGCTTTGCTATGTCCAACACCACATAATGATATGCTCCCCAGTGGGTAGGTCTTGTTGCAAAAGCAATAGCAAATTACCTTGTATATTAGTCCATTTCATGTTGCTATAAAGGAATACCCGAGGCTGCGTTCTGTATTTTTAAAAAGGATTATTTGGCACACAGTTCTTCAGGCTGTAGAAGAAGCATGGCAACAGAATTTGCTTCTGGTAAGACCTCGTGAAGCTTACAATCATGGTGAGAGGCAAAGGGGAAGGGCACATATCACATGGTGAGAAAGAGGATGAGAGAGAGGAAGAGGGACCAGACAAAAAACCAGATCTCACATTAATTAATAAAATGAGAACTCACTCATTAACATGGGGATGACACCAATGAGGGATCTATCCCCATGACCCAAACACCTCCCACTAGGCCCCACCTCAAATATTGAGGTGAGAGATTCAACATGAGATTTGGAGGGAACAAATATCCATATAATATTAAGTCCCAGGTTGGGATAAAGTATACTATCCCTTACATTGTCCACCTGGATCCTGAAGATGACATCAAGCCTTTGCATCAGAAAAGTGTATGCACTGGAGTGATGAGAATGTGCATGTTCATTCAAGGTGTGAATGGCTGCTGGTAGCAGCATGTCCACAGAGCTAGAGAACATGTCTCCTGCCAGAGTTGTTGCTTCAACAATCTATTCACTCGTTCAATCAGACCCTCTGCTGTAGGTTTGTATAGCAAGTGGAAATGCCATTGTATATCCAGGGCCCCTGCCCATTTCTGCAGTTTGTGTCTGGTAAAGTGTGAGCCCTGGTCACTGTTGATATCAGTGGGGATGCCATAGACCACTCACAGCTGCTCTAGACCTTTTATAGTGGCTTTTTCAGTGGCATGCTTGCTGGGATATGCCCACAGTAGCCCTGTCCAGGTGTTCACATGAGTCAAGTCATAGGGGCAGTCATCAGATAAAGGCAAAAGTCCTATATGGTCTACCTGCCACACTTGCACTAGGCTCTGGCCCCAGGTTATCTGCCCAGTACTGTGCAATAAAGGCCTATGGCATTCCTGTGCACAAGTAGGATATTAATGACAGATGAGTACTATGCCTTTATATCACAGTTGCAGGTCCCAATTATTTGCTCTGACCCAAAAAGTATATTGTCCCTGATTTTCTGTCTTCTTATGTAGCCAGTAAACCCTTTAGGAGGCAAAGTCTCCTATGGGCTACTTTGTCTGCCTGTTGATTTCCAATGGTGTAGATGTAGTGTGGGTATTCCCATGGTAGAGCATTATATGCATTCCCAGGATGCAATGGAGAATGTCCTTTCACATGTTGGCACCCCAAAGTGGGTGACCTGCTATAATCCAATCCTCTGCTTCCCATTGTAGTGGCCACACCATGAGTCCCTTAAAAATGGCCCAGCTATCATTACATAGGTCTGTTGGGTCCAGCTCATGGAGGAGAATCATCCAAGTGACTGAAAGATTAGCCCATTTGGCTGCTATGTCCTTTGCCAGTATCAAGTCAAGTACTATCAGTGGACAGCTGAGTGGCCACTGTGTTCCAGGTGCAAGAATTACTTTGTAATAAGCCATCTGTGTACCAGACCTGGTCAGGAATTGGACCCTGTCCCTCCGGTATGACGGAGATTTGTGGAGTCTCAGTAACTTTCATTAAAGACTTTCAGGCCGGGTGCTGTGGCTCACGCCTGTAATCCCAGCACTTTGGGAGTCTGAGGCGGGTGGATTATGAGGTCAGGGGTTCGAGACCAGCCTAGTCACCATGGTG
This sequence comes from Homo sapiens, assembly GCF_000001405.40. Taxonomy (NCBI): domain Eukaryota; kingdom Metazoa; phylum Chordata; class Mammalia; order Primates; family Hominidae; genus Homo; species Homo sapiens. The sequence continues at coordinate 56,865,059 of NC_000023.11, read as the reverse complement.
AAACCCTGTCTCTACTAAAAATACAAAAATTAGCTGGACATGGTTGTGGGTGCCTGTAAGCCCAGCTACTCAGGAGGCTGAGGCAGGAGAATCGCTTGAACCCAGGAGGCAGAAGTTACAGTGAGCCGAGATCATGCCATTGCACTCCAGCCTGGGTGACAGGGCGAGACTCCATCTCAATAAATAAATAAATAAATAAATAAAAATAAAGACTGTGTTTTGGTCATCACATAGGTGCCAGGGCCAAACACCGAATGAAGTTCTGCACTCAAAGGGATTTTAATTAATGTGCTCCTCTGTTGCAAGTAGGCATGCCATTTGGCCACAGTCTGTGTCTGGGCATTCCCAGACTTTGGTTATGGGAAGTTATCCTTCAGCCAACCTGCTATGGGATATTGAGTGCAAATTATCACTGGGACCCCCTGTGCAATGTCTTCCCCTTTTTGTAAGGCATAGTATGTAGTGCATAGTTGTTGGTCCATGACACTATACCTAACTTCAGCCCCCTTTCATAGTTGGGACCAGAATCCTAAAGGCACATGTTTATGTCTTTGCCTTTAGCACTGACCCAAACCAAACCCCTCGAGGTAACTGGCTATGTCCAATTCACAGGGCTGTCTGTGCATTATAACTCCCAAGAACTGTATTTGTTTCACTGTGACTTTTTCTCATTCAAAGGCCACATTCTCCTCTGTGGCCCAATGGGCCCCCTTCTTGACTAAGACTTACGGGGCCTAAGCAGTTGTGCTAAATTGGAAATAAAAGGACACCTATACCTAGAAGGCCTAAGAAGATTTGCAACTGTTTTAGTGTGGTAGGATGTGGGTAGCCCTGCACCTTATCTATAACGGCAGACAGAATAACTTTAGTCTTACCTGACCAGATGACCCCCAAGTATTTGACAGATAAGCCTGAATCCTGGACTTTGCACTGACTGCCCATCTTCTGTTCACCAACTGAGACAGCAAGGTGGAGGATGCATTTCATAAGCTGGAAAGACTCAGGAGTTAGCATAATATCATCAATGCAATGAGAAACTTGTACTTCCTTCGAGGTGGTCCATCAACTGAGGTCTGTTGTCTCTAAGCCCTGACAGATACTGGGGCTATACAAATATTCCTTAGGCAAGATGATAAAGGTCCATTGTTCTTCCCAGGAGAATTCAAATTAGTCTTGACTATATGGGGCAATGGGGATGCTGAAGACATTTGGTAAATTGATAATAAAATGTTATGTGCCAAGGGCCTCTCTTATTCTCATCAAAAGAGAGGTGATAGTGGATGCAGCCACAAACGTTGAGAAAGGACCACATTATTTAATTCTCAGTAATTTACTGTCATTCTCAATGTCCCATCAGCTTTTCACACAGGCCATACAGGATTGTGTGCTGCCTTATAATTCCTACCAGGGTTAACTTCTTAACAGCCCCATTGATCTCATTATGCCCCCTAAACCCTGGCAGATGATACTGCTTCAGTGCTACTACTTACCAAGGGTATGGCAATAGCTCCAGTGTCCATTTTACATTTCCCCGATCACATGCTTTGCCATCCTAACTCTCAGCGGAAATTCCAAAATAGTTATTTGGAGGGTCAAGCCTAATAAGATATCCTTTCTCAAGATGTATTCTGGGATGGGAGCTATGTATACTAAATATGGTTTTGGTGGCAGTCTGCCAATCTGTAATACTAGTTCAACCTGTCTGACCCCACTCCATTACCATCTGTTGCTGCTATAGGACCTTAGAAGTGATAAATGATGCCATATATGAGTGCATTTGGCTCCAGTATCCACTAATACAAGGATAGTCTCTTTATTCCTAGGTTTCCAATATACATTTAGTTCTAAATGTGGCCTTCAATCTCCAGACATCCTGGCTACCATTGCTCTTATTGGGATTCTGGGGTCTTGGCCTTCATCCTAGTCTAAAGGGGTTGACACCTGCAATTTCTCTGCAAGAGGGCTGGTGGGCTGAGCCTCAAGCTCCTTAGTAACTCTAACAGGGATGGCACCATGTCCAAGAGGACAAGGAAAAGACCCAGAGCCAGTAAATGAGACATACATTTTACTGGGGAGACTTACATACAAGGCATGTCCAGTGCTGGTGAGCTGGACAGGAAGACTGCAACTATTTGTAAAATGCATGCTGTTTATATAGCATTTTCACTTAGCACCCTCCACCTAGCAACCTTCTCCTTGTAACCACCATTTAACCCAAAACAAAGGGCCCCAATCCCCTGTACAGGTGTATTCCAAAAATGGGCCAGGGGTTCAGATGTCCTTCATAGATAAAAAAGTGAATCTCTGGATTAGCCACTCCCAGATTCCTTAGCTTGGGACTTTGAACATACATTTTTTTTTAGACCACCATGTCATTCTCGGTGTACGCTAAGTTGAGTTATTGCTATCTGGTATGACTGCCATACACATGGATCTTAGCATAATGGGTTAGCATGAAAAATAATCATAAAGGGAGAGGATTACTTCTGATTCAAAGTTAATCTTTATTCCTCTAGATAGTTTTTTCCATTACTTCTTTCCACCTTCACCAGTGCGGAAGAAATTGTTATGGATTCATCAGATTTGAAGACAACTGCTTGCACATTAAACAACCACTGCAAAAAAAATTATCGCACAGGTGAGACATTTTTATTTACTTTTTTTTCATATACCAAAAGTGTGGTAAGAGCTGAAATCAAGCTAGGGCCCTAAGGTATGTGTGAAATAACTATACATATCTGCATTTTTCTGAAACTGCAGTTTGATATAAGATAAAGGGGCAGGTACACATGTTAAGCTCCTCTTATTTGAATAAGCTCCTCTTATTTATCTCCAAAATGGAGTCTATTGCCAAAATGCTAAGTAATTTTGGATAAATGTCTTTATTCTCACTTATCACACTGTTACTTATACTGCTACACTAATCACTTTGAGGCTGTGTTCAGGATTTCCTGTGTTCTCTGACCATAATGCCATCAAATAATACGCTAGTTTCTTACTGATGTCCAGTCTCTGGCAGAGCTTACAAAACACTATAATCTCTGTGACATAGCAAAATATTGGGAAAATACAAAATTTTCATTAATATATAATTTATTAAATAAATGTGGCACATCTATTAGAAAGATATGAGAAAAAGCTGTATACACTGATGTGTAGTAACAGTAAAACGTTTTGTTAATGTATCATAGAATAAAAAAACACAGAATATTATGTAGAGTGTTGCCCTTTTAGCTCCAAAAAATGGAAATTATAAGCAAATCATTAATAGTAGATACCACAAGTGATTGTGGGTGTGGAGGATGGTATTACAGAGACTTTACACTTTCTATGTATCATGTATTCAAATTTATTAATAATTGCTAATACAGATGTTCATTTATAAAACAATCAGATGGAAGGAGGAGGCAAAGCAACATGGCTAAATAGAACCCTCTAGTGATCACCCCCCGGCACAGGAACACCAAATTGAACAACTACCCATGCAAGAAAGCACCTTCATAAGAACCAAAGATCAGGTGAGTGGTCACAGTACCTGATTTTAACATCACATCAAGGAAAGAGGCACTGAAGAGGGTAGAAAATACAGCCTTAAGTTACTGACAACACCCCTCAGATTAGCCAGCAATGGTTCCTGGCACAAAGAGAAAATCCCTGTGCTTGAGGGGGAGATAGTGCAGTGACTGTGAAACTTTGCATTGGAATTCAGTGCTGCCTTGTCACAACAGAAAAAAACATACGGCAAAATTCAGACAGCACCCATGGAGAGAAAATTTAAACCAGCCCAAGCCAGAGGGAATTTGTCTATCTCAGCCTTTGCAAGCTGAGTTCCGGCCAGCCCTACCACCATGGGCTAAATAGAACTTTGGGCCCTAAAAGAACTTGAAAGATAGGCGGGGTCACAATAACTGCAATTTCCATACAAGTACTGGTGCCATATGAGCTCATAGCCAGTGGACTTGGGGTGTATGAGACCTAGTGAGACACCAGCTGGGGCAGTCAAGGAGTACATGCATAACCCCTCCTTCAACCCCAGGCAGAAGAGCTTCTAACTCTGGGAGAGACTCTTTCTTTCTGCTTGAGCAGAAGAGAGGGGAAAATATAGGAAACTTTGTCTTGAAACTGGGATACTAGCTCAGCCACAGCATAATAGGGCACCAGGCAGAGTCCTGAGGCCCGCATTCCAGCCCCTAGCTCCAAAATGACATTTCTAGACACACCCTGGGCCAGAAGGAAACCCACTGCCTTGAGGGAAAAGACACAATCCTGCCAGGATTCATTACCTGCTGACTAAAGAGGCCTTGATTCTTGAATAAACATCAGTACTTGCCTAGCTATACTCACTGTGGGCTTTGGGTGAGGCCCAGAGCCCTGCTGACTTCAGGTGTGACCCAGCACATTTCCAGTTGTGGGGGACATAGCAAGGGATTCCTACTGCTTGAGGAAAGGAGTAGAAAGAGCAAAGGGACACTGTCTTGAAGCTTAGGCACCAGCTCTGCCACAGTGGAGTAGAGCACAAAGTGGGCTTCTGGGGTCACTGATTCTAGTCCTTGACTCCTGAATGACATTTCTGGACCCACGCTGGTCCTCAAAGAAGCCCACTGCTCTGAAGGTAGAGACCCAAGCCTGGTGGCATTTACCAGAAGCTCACTGAAGTGCCCATGAGCCTTGAGTGAACATCAGCAGTAGCCAGGCAGTATTTGCTGTAGGCCTGGGGCAGTGATGGACACAAGGACAGACAACTTCAGCATGAGAAAAGCAGAGGAGGCAGTGAGAAGGACTTTGTCTTGTGGCATTGGGTGCCAGCTCAGCCACAGTAGAATAGAGCACTGAGCAGATTCCTAAGGTTTCCAACTACAGGCTCTAACTCCTGGATGGCATTTCTAGATCACCTTTGGTTGATTGGCAGGTGGAGGGAACTCATCATTCTGAAGGGAAAGACACAAGCCTGGTTTCATTCACAACCTGTTAACTAAAAAGTTCTTGGGACTTGAGTGAACATTAGCAGTAGCAAGGCAGTGGTCTCTGTGGACATTTTGTGAGACCCAGTACTATGCTGGCTTTGGATGTGGCCAGCACAGTCCCACTAGTTGTTACCACGTGGGTGTTTGTGTCACCGCTCCTCCAGCTCCAGGCAGCTAAGCACAGATAGAAAGACTCCACTTGTTTTGGAGAAAGAAAAGGAAGAGAACAAGAGTCTTTGCTTGATAATTTAGAGAATTCTCCCAGATTGTACCCAAGACCACCAAGGAAGTACTTCTATGAGTCCAAAAGAGTCACAGCATTACTGGGCTTGGAGTTCTCCCCTAATGCGAATGTAACTGCAGTAACCAAAGATTTGAATCACAACACTCAATTCCCTTTGACTGCTTAGAAAGCCTTTCCAAAAAGGGTGGATAAAGCAAGCCTAGTCTGTGAAGACTACAATAAATATCTGACTCTTCACTGCCCAAACACTGATGAACATCCCAAAGCATGAAGACAATCCAGGAAAACATGACCTTACCAAATGAACTAAATAAGGCACCAGTGACAGATCCCAGAGTGATATAGATATGTGATCTCACAGAAAGAATTCAAAATAGCTGTGTTGAGGAAACCCCCAAAAATCCAAGATAATACAATAAAGAAATTCAGAATCCCATTAAAAATTTTTTAAAATACACTGAAATAACTTTAAAAATCAAGTAGAAACTGTACAACTAAAAAACCCAATTGACATACTAAAGAATGCATCAGAGCCTCTCAAGAGCAAAATTGATCAAGTGGACGACACAATTAATGAGCTTGAAAACATGTTATTTGAAAATACACAGTCAGAGGAGACAAAAGAATAAAAATGAATCTTGCCTGCAAAATCTAGAAAATAGCCTCAAAAGGGTAAATCTAAGGGTTATTGGCCTTAAAAAGGAAGTAGAGAGAGAGAGATAGGGGTAGAATATTTATTTTAAAAAATAATAATGAAGAAATTTTCAAACCTAAAGAAAGATATCAATATTTAAGTAATAGAAGGTTACAGAACACCAGGCAGATATACCAAAATTAGACTACTTCAAGGCTTTACAAATCAAACTCCCTGATATGGTTTGACTGTGTCCCCAAACAAATCTCAACTTGAATTGTATCTTCCAGAATTCCCACATGTTGTGGAAGGGTCCCAGGGGGAGGTAATTGAATCATGGGACTGGTCTTTCCTGTGCTATTCTCATGATAGGGAATAAGTCTCATGAGATCTGATGAATTTATCAGGGGTTTCTCCTTTTGCTTCTTCCTCATTTCCTCTTGCTGCTGCCATGTAAGAAGTGCCCTTCACCTCCTGCCATGATTCTGAGGCCTCCCTAGGCATGTGGAACTGTAAGTCCAATTAAACTTATTTTTCTTCTCAGTCTCAGATTTTTTTTATTAGCAGTGTGAGAACAAACCAATACAGTAAATTGGTACCAGTAGAGTGGGGTGTTGCTGAGAAGATAACCAAAAATGTAGAAGTGACTTTGGACCTGGGTAACAGGCAGAGGTTGGAACAGTTTTGAGGGCTCAGAAGAATACAGCAAAATGTGAGAAACTTTGGAACCTCCTTGAGGCTTATTTAATGGCTTTGACAAAAATGCCGATAGTGATACGAAAAATAAGGTCCAGGATGAGGTGGTCTCAGATGGAGATGAGGAACTTGTAGGCAACTGGAGCAAAGGTGACTCTAGTTATGTTTTAGCAAAGAGACTGATGGCATTTTGCCCCTCCCCTAGGTATTTGTGAAACTTTGAACTTGAGAGAGATTGTTTAGGGTATCTGGCAGAAGACATTTCTAAGTAGCAAAGCATTAAAAAAGTGACTTGGGTGCTGTTAAAAGTATTCCATTCTAAAAAGGAAACAGGTCATAAAAGTTCAGAAAATTTGCAGCCTGACGATGCAGTAGAGAAGAAAAACCCATTTTCTAAGGAGAAATTTAATATAGCTGCAGAAATTTCCATAACTAGCAAAGAGCCTACTGTTAATCCCCAAGAGCATGAGGAGAATGTCTCCAGGGCATGTTAGAGACCTTCACAGCAGCCCCTCCCATCACAGGCCTGGAGGCCCAGGAGTAAAAAGTGGTTTCATGAGCCAGGGCCAGAGTCCCCGTGCTGTCTGCAGCCTAGGGACTTGGAGCCCTGTATCTCAGCCACTCTAACTGTGGCTGATAGGGGAAAATATAGAGCTCAGGCTGTGGCTTCAGAGGGTGAAAGGCCCAAGCCTTGGCAGCTTCCAAGTGGTGTTGAGGCTGAGGGTGCACAGAAGTCAAGAATTGAGGTTTGGGAACCACTGCCTAGATTTCAGAAGATGTATGGAAACACCTGGATACCCAGGCAAAGGTTTGCTGCAGGGACATGACCCTAATGGAGACCCTCTGCTAGGGCAGTGTGGAAGAAAATGTGGAGTTGGAACCCCAACACAGAGTCCCTACTGGTGCACTACCTAGTAGTGCTGTGAGAAGAGGGCCACCATCCTCCAGATCCCAGAATAGTAGATGCACTGACAGCATGCACCATGCACCTGGAAAAGTCACACTCAATGCCAGCCCATGAAAGCAGCTGGGAGGGAGGCTGTACCCTGCAAAGCCACAGGGGCAGAGCTGCCCAAGACCATAGGAACCCAACTCTTGCATCAGCATGACCTGGATGTGAGACCTGGAGTCAAGGAGATCATTTTGGAGCTTTAAAACTGGACTGCCCCTTTGTTTTGGCCAATTTCTCCCACTTGGAATGGCTGTATTTACCCGATACCTGTAGTCTAATTGTGTCTAGGGACTGACTAGCTTGCTTTTGATTTTACAGGCTCATAGGTGGACAGGACTTGCCTTGTCTCAGATGAGACTTTGGACTATAGATTTTTGGATTAATGCTAAAATGAGTTAACACTTTGAGGGACAGTTGAAAAGGCATAATTGGTTCTGAAATGTGAGGATGTGAGATTTGGAGGGTCCAGGGGTGGGATGATATGGTGTGGCTGTTTCCCCACCCAAATCCCAATTTGAATTGTATATCTCAGAATTCCTATGTGTTGTGGGAGGGGCCCAGGGGGAGATAATTGGATCATGGGGGCTGGTCTGTCCCGTGCTATTCTCTTGATAGTGAATAAGTCTCATGAGATCTAATGGGTTTATCAGGGGTTTCTGCTTTTGCTTCTTCCTCATTTCCTCTTGCTGCCTCCATGTAAGAACTGCTTTTCACTTCTGGCCATTATTCTGAGGGCTCCCCAGCCATGTGGAACTGTGAGTTCAATTAAACCTCTTTTCCTTCCCAGTCTTGGGTATGTCTTTATCAGCAACATGAAAATGGACTAATGCATGCCCAAAGGTCAAGGATAAAGAAAAAATCCTACAAGCAGCAAGAGAAAAGTAACAAATAGGCCAGACACAGTGGCTCACACCTGTAATCCCAGCACTTTAGGAGGCTGAGGTGGGTGGATTGCTTGAAGTCAGGAGTTCGAGACCAGCCTGGCCAATATAGCAAAACCCCGTTTCTACTAAAAATACAAAAATTAGCTGGGCATGGTAGCGGGTGCCTGTAATCTCAGCTACTCCAGAGGCTAAGGCAGGAGAATAACTTGAACCCAGTAAGCAGAGGTTGCAGTGAACTGATTTCACGCCACTGCATTCCAGCCTGGGAGACAGAGTGAAACTCTGTCTAAATAAATAAATAAAACATACAAAGGAGCTCCAATGTATCTGGAAGCAGATTTCTCAGTAAAACCTTATAGACCAGGAAAGAGTGGCATGACATTTAAAGTTCTGAAGAAAAAAAAACTTTTATTATAAAATAGTATCTCCAGTGAAAATATGCTTCAAACACAAATGAGAAATAAAGACTTTCCCATGCAAAAAAAACCTGAGGGATTCCATCAACACCAGACATGTCTATGCAAAATGCAACAAATGTTTCCTTAATTTGGAAAAAAAGCTCTTATTGAGCAATAAGAAGTCATCTGAAGGTACAAAACTCACTGGTAATAGTAAGTTCATAATACTAAAATTGTGTTGTGTAAACTACTCATATCTTGAGTAGAAACAGTAAAACATGAACCTATCAAAAATAATTACAACTTTAAGACATAGTCAATATAATAATGTTTAAGTCGTAAAAGCAAAATGTTAAAAAGTAGAGGGGGGATAAAGTCAAACTATAGAGTTTTCATTAGCTTCCTCTTTGCTTGTTTGTTTTTGCAATCAGTGTTAATTTAAGATAATGGGATATAAGATATTATTTGCAAGCTAATGGTAACCTCAAATCAAAAAACCTACAACAGATATACAGAAAGTTAAAAAAAAATAAATAAATAAAACATACTACCTGAGAAAATCACCATCACAAAAAGGAAGACAGAAAAGAAAGAAGAAAAAAAAGACCCACAAAACAACCAGAAAACAAATAACAAAATGGCAAGAATAAGTTATTAATTTTTTTTTCTTTTTGAGCGGAGTTTCACTCTTGTCGCCCAGGCTGGAGTGCAAAGGCATGATCTCGGCTCACTGCAACCTCCACCTCTCAGATTCAAGCGATTCTCCTGCCTCAGCCTCCCAAGTAGCTGGGATTACAGATGCCACCACATCTGGCTAATTGTGTGTGTGCGTGTGTGTTCGTGTGTGTGTGTATATATATACATGTATATGAGATGAGGTTTCTCCATGTTGATCAGGCTGGCCTCAAACTCTCGACCCACCACAGCCTCCCAAAGTGCTGGGATTACAGGCATGAGCCACCGTGCCCAGCCAATTCTTACTTATTAATAAGAACATTGAATGTAAATGCACTAAACTCCCTAATCAAAAGACATAGAGTGGCTGAATAGATTTATTTTAAAGAAGACCAAAAGATCTGTTCCCTAAAAATAACACATGTCACCTATAAAGACACACATAGAATGATAATAAAGGGATGTATCTATACCTCTCTCAGTCAAAACTGATTTGAAGACAAAAACTATAAAAAGAGACAAAGAAGGTCATTATATAATTATAGAGATATCAATTAAACTAGAGGACATAATAATTGTAAATCTATACACCCCCAACACTGAAGCACCCAGATATAAAGCAAATATTATTAGAGCTAAAGAGAGAGATAGGCCCCAAAACTGTAATAGCTGGAGACTTCAAGACCCTACGTTCAGCATTAGACAGGTCATTTAGATAGAAAATAAACAAAAATATCAGAGTTAATCTGCACTATAGACCAAATGACCCTAAGAGATTTACAGAATATTTCATCAAGCAGGTTCAGAATACACATTCTTCTCCTCAACACATAGAACATTATCAACAATAGACTATATGTTAGGTCACAAAAAAAGTCTTAAAAAAAACTTTTAAAATAATATTAACCATCTTTGATCACAATGGACCAAAATTAAAATCAATAACAAAAGTATCTGTACCAACTATACAAACACAGGGAAATAAAAAAAAAAGCTCCCGAATAACAAGTGACTCAGTAAAGAAGTTAAGAAAAATTTCTGTAAAAAGTTAAAACAAATGGGCCGGGTGCAGTGCCTCACGCCTGTAATCCCAACACATTGGGAGGCTGAGGCGGGCGGATCACGAAGTCAGAAGATCGAGACCATCCTGGCTAACACGGTGAAACCCCATCTCTACCAAAAATACAAAAAAATTAGTTGGGTATGGTGGCAGGGGCCTGTAGTCCCAGATACTCAGGAGGCTGAGGCAGGAGAATGGCGTGAACCCAGGAGGCGGACCTTGCAGTGAGCTGAAATCGCGTCACTGCGACAGGGTGAGACTGCGTCTAAAAATTAAATAAATAAATAAATAAAATGGAAATATGGAAATACAACCTACCAAGACCAAAGGACGACAGTGAAAACAGTGGTAAGAAGAAAGTTTATAGCAATAAGCACCTACACCAAAAAAGTAGAAAAACTTTAAATAAACAACATAACAATGCATCTTGAAGAATTAGAAAAGGAAGAAAAAACCAAAACCAAAATTCGTAGAAGAAAAGAAATAACAAAGACCAGAGCAGAAATAAAGTTGAAACAAAAATATAAAAGATCAACAAAATAAAAAGTTTTTTTGTGAAAAGATAAAAATATTGATAAACCTTTAGCCAGACTAAAAAAATAAAGATCCAAACAAATAAACTCAGAGATAAAAAAGGGACCATGCAACTGATCTTACGGATATTCAATGGATTATTAGAGACTACTAAGAGCAACAATATGGTGGTAAATTGGAAAAGCTAAAAAAAGTAGATAAATTCCCGGACATACGCAATCTATCAAGATTGAAACATTAAAAAAAAATCAAAATCTGAAAAGACCAATAAGAAGCAATGAGATTGGCCGGGCACAGTGACTCATGCCTCTAATTCCAGCACGTTGGGAGTCCAAGGTGGGTGGATCACTTGAGGCCAGCAGTTCACAACCAGCCTGGCCAACATGGTGAAACCTGATCTCCACTAAGAATACAAAAATTAGCTGGGCGTGGTGATGTGCGCCTGTAATCCCAGCTACTCAGGAGGCGGAAGCAAGGGGAATGCTTGAATCTGGGAGGCAGAAGTTGCGTCGAGCCAAGATTGTGCCACTACACTCTAGCCTAGGAAACAGTGTGAGACTCTGTCTCAAAAAAGAAAAAAAAAATAAGATTTTAGCCATAGTAAAAAGTTTTCCAGCAAAGAAAAGCACAGGACTCAATAGCTACACTGCTGAATTTTACTAAACATTTGTTTTAGAACTAATACCAATTCTACTCAAACTCTTTCAAAAAATAGACAAGGAGATAATACTTTCTTTTATTTTTATTTTAAGTTCTGGGATACATGTGCAGAATGTACAGGTTTGTTACATAGTTATACACGTGCCATGGTGGTTTGCTGCACCGATCAACCCATCATCCAGATTTTAAGCCCCACATGCATTAGGTATTTGTCTTAATGCTCTCCCTCCCCTTGCCCCCTACCCCCCGACAGGCCCCAGTGTGTGATGTTACCGTCCCTGTGCCCATGTGTTCTCATAGTTCAACTCCCACTTATGAGTGAGAACATGTGGTGTTTGGTTTTCTGTTCCTGTGTTAGTTTGCTGAGGATGGCTTCCAGCTTCATCCATGCCCCTGCAAAAATCATGATCTTATTCCTTTTTTATGGCCCCATAGTATTCGATGGTGTATATATGCCACATTCTCTTTATCCAGTCTATCATTGATGGGCATTTGAGTTGGTTTCAAGTCTTTGCTACTGTAAATAGTGCTGCAATAAACATGCATCTGTATGTGTCTTTATAGTAGAATGATTTACTTGCTGGGTCAAATGTTATTTCTGTTTCTAGATCCTTGAGGAATTGCCACACTGTCTTCCACAATGATTGAACTAATTTACACTCCCACCAACAGTGTACAAGTTTTCCTATTTCTCCACAGCCTCGTGAGCACCTGTTGTTTCCTGATTTTTTAATAATTGCCATTCTAATTAGCATGAGATGGTATCTCATTGTGGTTTTGATTTGCATTTCTCTAATGACCAGTGATGATGAGCTTTGTTTTTTCATATGTTTCTTGGCCACATAAATGTCTTCTTTTGAGAAGTGTCTGTTCATATACTTCACCCAAAATTTGATGGGGTGGTTTGTTTTTTTTCTTGAAATTCGTTTAAGTTCCATGTAGATTCTGGATATTAGACTTTTGTCAGATGGGTAGCTTGCAAAAATTTTCTCCTATTTTGAAGATTGCTTGTTCACTCTGATGATAGTTTCTTTGGCTGTGCAGAAGCTCTTAAGTTTATTAGATCCCATTTGTCAATTTGGGCTTTTTATTTGCAACTGCTTTTGGTGTTTTGGTGACAAAGTCTTTCCCCATGCCTATGTGATGAATGGTATTGCTTAGGTTTTCTTCTAGGGTTCTTACGGTTTGGGATTGTACTCTTAAGTATTTAATCCATCTTGGGTTAAATTTTGTATAAGGTATAAAGAAGGGGTCCAGTATCTGTTTTCTGCATATGGCAAACCAGTTTTCCCAGCACCATTTATTTTTATTTTTTTGAGATGGAGTCTCACTCTTGTCCCCCAGGCTGGATTGCAATGGCGTAATCTCAGCTGACTGCAACCTCTGCCTCTCGGGTTCAAGTGGCTCTCCTGCCTCAACCTCCCAAGCAGTTGGGATTACAGGTGCCTGCCACCAAGCCCAGCTAATTTTTGTATTTTTAGTAGAAATGGATTTTCACCATGTTGGCCAGGTTGTTCTCGAACTCTTGACCTCAGGTGATCCGCCCACCTCAGCCTCCCAAAGTGCTGGGATTACAGGCATGAGCTACAGCACCTGCCCTCCCAGCATCATTTATTAAATAGGGAATCTTCAACCTGATTGCTTGTTTTTGTCAGGTTTGTTGAAGATCAGATGGTTGTAGATGTGTGGTGTTATTTCTGAGGCTTCTGTTCTGTTGCATTGGTCTATATATCTGCTTTGGTACCAGTACATGGTGTTTCGGTTTCTGTAGCCTTGTAGTATATTTGGAAGTCAGGTAGTGTGATGCCTCCAGCTTTATTCTTTTTGCTTAGGATTATCTTGTCTATACAGGCTCTTTTTTGGTTCCATATGAAATTTAAAGTAGTTTTTCCTAATTCTGCAAATAAATTCACTGGGAGCTTGATGATAATGGCATTGAATCTATAAATTACTTTGGGCAGTATGGACATTTTCACAGTATTGATTCTTCCTATCCATGAGCATGAAATGTTTTTCCATTTGTTTGTGTCCTCTCTTATTTCCTTGAGCGGTGGTTTGCAGTTTCCTTTGAAGAGGTCCTTCACATCCCTTGTAAATTTTATTCCTAGGTATTTTTGTAACAATTGTGAATGGGAATTCACTCATGATTTGGCTCTCTGTTGGTCTATTGTTGGTGTATAGGAATGCTTGTGATTTTTGGACATTGATTTTGTATCCTGAGACTTTGCTGAAATTACTTATCAGCTTATCAGCTTAAGAAGTTTTTGGGCTGAGACGTTGAGGTTTTCTAAATACATAATCATGTCATCTGCAAACAAAGACAATTTTATTTCCTCTCTTCCTATTTGAATGTGCTTTATTTCTTTCTCTTGCCTGATTGCCTTGGCCAGAACTTCCAATACTATGTTGAATAGGAGTGGTGAGAGAGGGCATCCTTGTCTTGTGCCAGTTTTTTAGGGGAATGCTTCCAGCTTTTCCCATTCAGTATGATATTGACTATGGGTTTGTCATAAATAGCTCATATTACTTTGAGATATGTTTCATCAATACCTAGCTTATTGAGAGTTTTTAGCATGAAGAGATATTGAATTTTATCGAAGGACTTTTCTTCACCTATCAAAACAATCATGTGTTTTTTGTTATTGGTTCTGTTTATGTGATGAATTACATTTATTGATTTGCTTATGTTGAACCAGCCTTGCATCCCAGGGATAAAGCCAACTTGATAATGGTGGATAAACTTTTTGATTGCTGCTGTATTTAGTTTGCCAGTATTTTATTGAGGATTTTCACATCGATGTTCATCAGGGATATTGACTTGAAATTTTCTTTTTGTTTGTGTGTATCTGCCAGGTTTTGGTATCAGGATGATGCTGGCCTCATAAAATGAGTTAGGGAGGAGTCCCTCTTTTTCTATTGTTTGGAACAGTTTCAGAAGAAATGGTACCAGCTCTTTGTTGTACCTCTGATAGAATTTGGCTGTGAATCCATCTGTTTCTGGGATTTTTTTGGTTGGTAGGCTGTGAATTACTGCCTCAATTTCAAAACTTCTTATTGGTCTATTAGGGGATTTGACTTCTTTCTGGTTTAGTCTTGGGAGGGTGTATTTGTTCAAGAATTTATCCATTTCTTCTAGATTTTCTAGTTTATTTGCATAGAGGTGTTTACAGTATTATCTGATGGTTGTTTGTATCTGTGGGATCAGTATTTGGATTCCCTTTATCATTTATATTGTGTCTATTTGATTCTTCTCTCTTTTCTCCTTTATTAGTCTAGCTAGTGGTCCGTCTATTTTGTTAATCTCTTCAAGATGACGAGTTAGTGGGTGCAGCGCACCAGCATGGCACGTGTATACATATGTAACTAACTTGCACGTTGTGCACATGTACCCTAAAACTTAAAGTATAATAAAATTTATTGAAGTGTTTTTCATGTCTCTGTCTCCTTCATTTCTGCTCTGATCTTAGTTATTTCCTGTCTTCTGCTAGCTTTTGAATTTGTTTGCTCTTGCTTTTCTAGTTCTTTTAATTGTGATGTTAGGGTGTCAGTTTTAGATCTTTTCCACTTTCTGATGTTGGCATTTAGTGCCCTAAATTTCCCTCTTCACACTGCTCTAGCTCTGCCCAGAGATTCTGGTACCTTGTCTCTTTGTTCTCATTGGTTTCAAAGAACATCTTTATTTCTGCCTTAATTTCGCTATTCACCCAGTAGTCATTCAGAAGCAGGTTGTTCAGTTTCCATGTAGTTGTGCAGTTCTGAGTGACTGTCTTAATCCTAGGTTCTAATTTGATTGCACTGTGGTCTGAGAGACTGTTTGTTATGATTTTTATTCTTCTGCATTTGCTGAGGAGTGTTCTTTTAATTATGTGGTTGATATTAGTATAAGTGCTATGTGGTGCTGAGAAGAATGTATATTCTTTTGATTTGGGGTGGAGAGTTCTGTAGATGTCTATTGGGCCCACTAGGTCCAGAGTTCAGTTCAAGTCCTGAATATCCTTGTTAATATTCTCTCTCGTTGATCTGTCTTATATTCACGATGGGGCGTTAAAGTCTCCCACTATTATTGTGTGGGAATCTAAGTCTTTTTGTAGGTCTCTAAGAACTTGCTTTATGAATCTGGGTGCTCCTGTACTGGGTGCACATATATTTAGGATAGTTAGCTCTTCCTGTTGCATTGATCCCTTTATCATTATGTAATGCCCTTTTTTGCCTTTTTTGATCTTTGCTGGTTTAAAGTCTGTTTTATCAGAGACTAAGATTTGAACCTCTGCTTTTTCTACTTTCCATTTGCTTTGTACATATTCCTCCATTTCTTTATTTTTAGCCTGTGTGTGTATTTGCATGTGAGATGGGTCTCCTGAATGTACCACATCAATGGGTCTTGAATGTTTGTCCAATTTGCCAGCCTGTGTCTTTCAATTGGGGCGTTTAGCCCATTTACCTTTAAGGTTAATATTGTTATGTGTAAATTTGGTCCTTTCATCATGATACTAGCTTGTTATTTTTCACATTAGTTGATGCAGTTTCTTCATAGTGTCTTGGGTCTTTATATTTTGGTGTGTTTTTGCAGTGGCTGGTACCGGTTTTTCATTTTCATATTCATTACTTCCTTCAGGAGCTCTTGTAAGACAGGTCTGGTGGTGACAATATCTCTCAGCATTTGCTAGTCTGGTAAGTATTTTATTTGTCCTTTGCTTATGAAGCTTAGTTTGGCTGGATATGCAATTCTGGGTTGAAAATTTTTTCTTTAAGAATGTTGAATATTGGCCCCAAGTCTCTTCCGGCTTGTAGGGTTTCTGCAGAGAGATCTGCTGTTAGTCTGATGGGCTTCCCTTTGTGGGTAACCTGACTTTCTCTCTGGCTGCCCTTAACATTTTTTCCTTCTTTTCAACCTTGGAGAATCTAACAATTATGTGTCTTGGGGTTGCTTTTACCGAGGAATATTTTAGTGGACTTCTCTGTGTTTCCTGAATTTAAATGTTGGCCTGTCTTGCTAGTTTGGGGAAGTTCCTCTGGATGATTTCCTGAAGTGTGTTTTCCAACTTGGTTCCATTCTTCCCATCACTTTCAGGCATACCAATCAAAAGGAGCTTTGGTCTTTTCACATAGTTCCATATTTCTTGGAGGCTTTGTTCATTCCTTTGCATTCTTTTTTCTCTAATCTTGTCTTCATGCCTTATTTCAGTAAGTTAATCTTCAATCTCTGATATCCTTTCTTCTGCTTGATTGATTTGTCTATTGATACTTGTGTATGTTTCACGAAGTTCTCGTGCTGTGTTTTTCTGCTCCATCAGGTCATTTATGTTCTTCTCTAAGGTGGTTATACTAGTTAGAAATTCCTGTAACCTTTTATCAAGGTTCTTAGCTTCCTTGCATTGGGTTAGAACATGCTCCTTTAGCTCGGAAGAATTTGTTATTACCCACCTTCTGAAGCTTACTTCTGTCAATTCATCAAACTCATTCTCTGTCCAGTTTTGTGCCCTTGCTGGTGAGGAGTTGCAATTTTTTGGAGGAGAAGAAGCATTCTGGTTTTTTAAATATTCAGAATTTTTGTGCTCTTTTTTTCTCATCTTTGTGGATTCATCTACATTTGATCTTTGAGACTGATGATCTTTGGATGGCGTTTTTGTGTGTGTGGGTGTCCTTTTTGTTTATGATGATGTTATTGCTTTCTGTTTGTTAGTTTTTCTTCTAACAGTCAGGCCCCTGTTCTGCAAGTCTGCTGCAGTTTTCTTGAGGTCCACTCCAGATCCTGTTTGCCTGGGTATCACCAGCAAAGGCTGCAGAACAGCAAAGATTGCTGCCTGCTCCTTCCCCTGGAAGCTTCTTCCCAGAGGGACACTTGCCTGATGCCAGCCAGAGCTCTTCTGTATGAAGCGTCTATTGACCCCTGCTGGGATGTCTCTTAGTCAGGAGGCATGGGAGTCAGGTTCCCACTTAAGGAGATAGTCTGTCCCTTAGGAGAGCTCAAGCTCTGTGTTTGGAGAATCCTCCTTGTTAGGATCTGCTGCTGTCTTCATATCTGGCAGGCAGAAGAGTTTAAGTCCACTGAAGCTGCACCCACAGCCACTCTTTCCTCCAGTTGCTCTGTCCCAGAGAGTTGGAAGTTTTATCTATAAGCCCCTGACTGGGGCTGCTCCCTTTCTTTCAGAGATGGCCTGCCCAGTGAGGAAGAATCTAGAGAGGCAGTCTGGCCACAACCTCCTTGCTGTGCTATGGCGAGTTCCACCCAGTCCTAACTTCCCAGCCCCCTTAGCACTGTCAGGGGAAAATCGCCTACCCAAGCCTCAGTAATGGTGGACACCCCTCCCCCTACTAAGCTTGATCATCCCAGGTCGACTTCAGACTACTGTGCTTGCAGCGAGAATTTCAAATCAGTGGTTCTCAGCTTGCTGAGCTCTGTGAGAGTGGGACCTGCTGAGCAAGATCACTTGGCTCCCTAGTTTCAACCCTCATTCCAGGGAAGTGAGCCGTTCTGTCTCACTGGGGTTCCAGGCACTGCTGGGGTATGAAAACAACAACAACAACAAACTCCTGCAGCTAGCTCAGTGTCTGCCCAAACAGCTGCCAAATTTTGTGCTTGAAACCCAGGGTTCTGGTTGTGTAGGCACATTAGGGAATATCCTGGTCTGCATATTGCAAAAACAGTGGGAAAATTGTAGTATCTGGGCCAGATAGCACAGTTCCTTATGGCTTTCCTTGGCTGGGGGAGGGAGCACCCTGGCTTCTTGCACTTCTTGGGTGAGGCGATGCCCCACCCTGTTTCTGCTTGCCCTCCATGGGCTGCATCCACTTCCTAACCAGTCCCACTGAGATGAACTGGGTACCTTAGTTGGAAATGCAGAAATCACCCACCTTCTGTGTTGGTCTTGTTAGCTGCAGACTGGAGCAGTTCCTATTCAGCCGTCTTGCCAGATCTCCCACACTTTTTTTTGTAAGGTGCTGTTAACTATATGGTTATTGGCTAGAAATCCTGAGTTATCAACTGTATATATCTATGGTTTGTAAAAAGAACAAAAGAACCAAGACAAACTCTTGATGCTCCTTGCTTGTTTGGCATTGAGGTTGTGGAGAAGATGCTTTTTGGAGGTGCTGTAGCTCAGGGTATCCACAAGGAGGCTGGACCTGTTGACTCTGCAGTGGGCATCCCTTTAGTCTCAGGTTGTCTTATTTCTGTATATAGTGATATAGCATTTTGCTGCCATCTTATCTGTGGACAGAGAGGGTGTCAACTTGCATGAGAAGTTTTATTTTGGTTTATTTATTTATTTAATTTTAATTAAGTGTGGTAGTTTTTAAACAAACTGTAGAACTCTTCATTGTCAGCAAAGTGAAGAGCCACATAATCAATGAAAGTTCAAAAGCCTTCTGTACTTAAACATGATTTGCAACGTTCCATTTTTTGTATGTTTAGAATGCTGAAATGTTTTTGAAGTTAAATAAACAGTATTACATTAAAAAGTAAAGGAGGGAGGGATATAAAACTACATATTGAGTACAAAGTACACTACTCGGGTGATAAGTGCACTAAAATCTCAGACTTCACCACTATGTGATTCATCCATGTAATCCAAAATCTCTTGTACCTTTAAATGACCTTTGAGTTCATTGATTTTTTATTATGCACAATTGACTCTGCCATTGAATCTCTCTTATTGTATTTTTAGTTCTGTTATTGTATTCTTCAGCTCCAGGATTTCTTCTTGTGGTTTGTAAAATGGTATATATTCAG
Source organism: Homo sapiens (assembly GCF_000001405.40). Taxonomy (NCBI): domain Eukaryota; kingdom Metazoa; phylum Chordata; class Mammalia; order Primates; family Hominidae; genus Homo; species Homo sapiens. The sequence goes on along the minus strand of NC_000023.11, from coordinate 56,845,626 downwards.
TAAACTCATTTTTTTCATGCATTGTTTTCCTGATTTTGTTTAGTTGCCTATCTGTGTCTTCTTGCATCTCAGTGAGCTTCTTTAAGATTATTGTTTTGAATTTTTGACAGGCAATTCATAGATCTCAATTTTTTTGGGTCAATTACTGGAGGTTTATTGGTTTTATTGTTTTATTTTGTTTCAAGTGTGTCATGTTTGTCTGATTCTTCTTTGTGTAGCCTTGCATTGGTGCCTGTTCATTTGAAGGAGAAAACTCCTATTCCAGTCATTACTGACTGATTTTACCAGGTAAAGACCTTAGGTCCCTTTATGATGGATTTTCCTCTGAGACTGAAATTAAGTGGAGTTAGAGCTGTGTCATGCAGCTGCTGTTGGGTTCACAGTAGGCCTGTTATCAGTTGTGTAGATAGATATGACTCCCTCTGGGCCCCCAGGAGGCATATTTCTGGGACACTGGGTGGGTCACTGAATAGACAGAACTGGTCCCAGACCATGGTTTAGCAGAGCTGAAGCCATGACACAAGGCTGTTTCATAATCTGTAGTTGGATTGAGGTCACTGGGTCTGTCTCCAAAAAAACTAAAAAGTACATCTCTGGTGGGTCCTTGAGTCAACAGGATTACTTATTCTCTGTGGCTGGAGAGAATGGAGCTGGATTACAGAACTGCTTTGTACTGCACAAGGGCATTGAGGTCATTGGGCCTGGCTTTGAGCAGTGGTGTCTTCTGGAAGGTCCCTGGTCAGGCAACACTGCTCTTAAACAGCAGAAGAAAGAATCTGAAGCCAAGTAACATATTCGTTTGGGGATCTGCTGTAGGACTGAAATCTACAAGACTGCTTCTGGGGACATGGACAGGCATGACACCCTGCACATCCCTGAGCAAGAAAGACTACTTGTAGATGATGGCCAAGAGGAGATGGAGCTGGGTTACAGAGCCATTTTAGAGTTCACAGCTGGGACAAGATTTGGCAGGCCTGTCATCCAAGGCATAGTGAGTGTGACTCTTCCCAGGTCTCTTAGCAGGTGGTTCTGGTGGCAGCAACAGACCCAAATCATGTTATAATCAAGTCCACTTGAGGAAAATGTCATTTCTGGGTCGGTAGGTGAGACCATGGTTGGTGAGCCTACCACCTGGGTGCAAGCCTGTTCTCTCAAACAGCCCTCCTCAGTCTTGGGATCCACTGGGGTTTTGCAACATTCTAACTGGGACTCAAGGCTACAAAAAGGGCACTTCTCTTTGTGAATGGTTGCCAAATTTTTATTACTGTGGGAGGATGCTAGTGTTAAACATGCTACTGTGCTATCCTGCTAAAATTACTTCTCCATTTGTTACTTCTTAAGCTGCATTGTGTATTTTCCTTTTAGAAATCATTCTTTACAGAGAATGATGGCTTCCAGTCGGGAAGTGGGGGCCAGAGGAGAAAGAGCATTAGGACAAATACCTAATGCAGGTGGGGCTTAAAACCTAGATGATGGGTTGAGAGGTGCAGCAAACAACCATGGCACATGTATACCTATGTAATAAACTTGCACTTTCTGCACATGTATTTCAGAACTTAAAGTAAAATTTTAAAAAAAGAAATCCTTCTTTACCCATTTACCAATGACTTGGTGAAGTCGTCAATCAAGATACTGAAACTGAACTCTTCTTTCCATAATGGTAATTTCATAGCCTTAGGCTGACCAATCAGATCACCCACTCTGGTGGATTCATGAATTCATGAATGGTATGCAATCCAAGCAGGATCAACAACAGTATTATTTAAACAATTAATATGGAATATTGGGAAAGAGATTGCTTCTTCTCCTTAGTGTGTGAGCTTAATGTGATATAATCCTGAAGGTGCTGCAGGTGTCCTCTTTCTCACTACAAAGAGACAGCCTGGCAGAAAGTGAACAGTGAAAAAGTGAACTAAAAGATGTGAGATCTCTGAGTGTATAATTTTAGCACCTGAATTCAGCCATGTTTTATATCTTGTTTAATTATCTTCCCTCCATGTTATACTATAAGCTACATTGACTGTTATTTTACTCATCATTATACTCCCAGTACTTGATACAGCAATTGTGACATAGTAGGCTTTAAACTAATACATTTTGACAGAGTAAATTATTATTATCTCAGGGATTATACCTATCCTACAATAATATATTGACAAATATTATCTTTGTATATTTTTACAATTTGAGGCTGGGCATGGTGGCTCATGCCTGTCATCCCAGCAATTTGGGAGGCTGAGGCGGGTGGATCACCTGAGGTCAGAAGCTCAAGGTCAGCTTGGCTAACATGGTGAAACAGCATCTCTACAGGTGGTGGGCACCTGTAGTCCCAGCTACTTGGGAGGCTGAGGCAGGAGAGTCGCTTGAACCTGGGAGCCAAGATCGCACCACTGCACTCCAGCCTGGGTGACAGAGTGAGACCCCATCTCAAAAAAAAAAAATACAATTTGATGTTTTGCATTTATGCTTATGGTATGAGAAAAAAAACTAATTTGAGTTTTTCCCTATATGATTAGCCAAATGTTCTTAACACAATTTAATGAACGAAACAGTTTTCTCAATGAATTTGAAATCTCACCTCCATATCCTTATATAAGCTGATGTCCATTTCTGGGTTTTAGATCCTGTTGAACTGACTCATGTGCACATTTCTATGTCATTAATCCATTACTTAAATTATTGTGTCTTTCTTATATTTTAATGTACATAAAGATTTTTCTAAAATTAATTTTTTTGACAAAGGGTCTTGCTCTATCACCCAAGCTGCAATGCAGTGGCAAAATCTCGGCTCACTGCAACCTCCAGCTCCTGGGTTCAAAAGATTTTTGTGCTTCAACCTCCCAAGTAGCTGTGATTACAGGCGTGCACCACACCAGGCTAATTTTTGTATTTTTAGTAGAGACAGGGTTTTGTCATGTTGGCCAGACTGGCTTCGAACTTCTGGCTTCAAGTGATCTGCCTGCCTCAGCTTCACAAAGTGCTGAGATTACAAGTGTGAGACACCATGCCCGGCCTCCTAAAATTAGTTATAATTGTTTTTCCTTGACTATTTTACCACACTAATATTTGTAGTTAAAATTTATGGTCACATTGTTAAATTCCAAAACAAATCCTTTAGGCATGTTGATTAATATTTTAATTTGTATGATAGATTTTGAGAGAACATGGCTACAATATTATTTCTTTAAATTCAGAAACTTTAAAAATCTCTTCATGTAGCCTTGTTTTATGTATATTCATAATTTTTAATATTTTTGTTCCATATTTCTATAGTCTTGCATTTTATAAACTATATTAAATAATCAGGGGTGGAGCCAAGATGGCCACATAGGAACAGCACCAGTCTACAGCTTCCAGCATGAGGGAGGTAGAAGACGGGTGATTTCTGCATTTCCAACTGAGGTACCAGGTTCATCTCACTGGGGAGTGCCAGACAGTGGGTGCAGGACACTGGGTGCAGCACACTGTGCATGAGCCAATGCAGGGCAAGGCATCACCTCATCCGGGAAGTGCAAGGGGTCAGGGAATTCCCTTTCCTAGTCAAAGAAAAGGGTGACAGATGGCACCTGGAAAATCGGGTCACTCCCACCATAATACTGCACTTTTCCAATGGGCTAAACAAACGGCACACCAGGAGATTATATCCCGCACCTGGCTCAGAGGGTCCTATGCCCACAGAGCCTCACTCATTGCTGGCACAGCAGTCTGAGATCAAACTTTAAGGTGGCAGCGAGGCTGGGGGAGGGGTGCCTGCAATTGCCGAGGCTTGAGTAGGTAAACAAAGCAGCCAGAAGCTCGAACTGGGTGGAGCCCACCACAGCTCAGGGAGGCCTGCCTGCCTCTGTAGGCTCCACCTCTGGGGGCATGGCACAGACAAAAAAAGGCAGCAGTAAACCCTGCAGACTTAAATGTCCCTGTCTGACAGCTTTGAAGAGAGTAGTGGTTCTCCCAGCACACAGCTTGAGATCTGAGAAAAGGCAGACTGCCTCTTCAAGTGGGTCCCTGACCCCGAGTAGCCAAACTGGGAGGCACCCCCCAGTAGGGGTGGACTGACACCTCACACGACCAGGTACTCCTCGGAGACAAAACTTTCAGAGGAAAGATTTGCAGTTCACCAATATCCACTGTTCTGCAGCCACCACTGCTGATACCCAGGCAAACAGGGTCTGGGTTGGACCTCCAGCAAAATTCAAAAGACTTGCAGCTAAGGGTCCTGACTGTTAGAAGGAAAACTAACAAACAGAAAGGACTTCCACAACAAAAACCCATCTGTACGTCACCATCATCAAACACCAAAGGGAGATAAAACCACAAAGATGAGGAAAATCAGAGCAAAAAAACTGGAAACTCTAAAAATCAGAGTGCCTCTGCTCCTCCAAAGGAATGCAGCTCCTCACCAGCAACGGAACAAGGCTGGATGGTGAATGACTTTGACGAGTTGAGAGAAGAAGGCTTCAGAAGATCAAACTGCTCCGAGCTAAAGGAGGAAGTTTGAACCAATGGCAAAGAAGTTAAAAACCTTGAAAAAAATTAGACGAATGGCTAACTAAAATAACCAATGCAGAGAAGCCCTTAAAGGACCTGATGGAGCTGAAAACCATGGCACAAGAGCTATGTGACGAATGCACAAACCTCAGTAGCCGATGCGATCAACTGGAAGAAAAGGTATCAGTGATGGAAGATGAAATGAATGAAATGAAGCAAGAAGAGAAGTTTAGAGAAAAAAGAATAAACAGAAATGTACAAAGCCTCCAAGAAATATGGGACTATGTGAAAAGACCAAATCTATGTCTGATTGGTGTACCTGAAAGTGACAGGGAGAATGGAACCGAATTGGAAAAGTCTCAGCAGGATGTTATCCAGGAGAACTTCCAAAATCTAGCAAGGCAGGCCAACATTTAAATTCAGGAATACAGAGAACACCACAAAGATACTCCTCGAGAAGAGCAACTCCAAGACACATAATTGTCAGATTCACCAAAGTTGAAATGAAGGAAAAAATGTTAAGGGCAGCCAGAGAGAAAGGTCAGGTTACCAACAAAGGGAAGCCCATCAGACTAACAGCTGATCTCTTGGCAGAAACTCTACAAGCCAGAAGAGAGTTGGGGACAATATTGAACCTTCTTAAAGAAAACAATTTTCAACCCAGAATTTCATATCCAGCCAAACTAAGCTTCATAAGTGAAGGAGAAACAAAATATTTTACTGACAAGCAAATGCTGAGAGATTTTGTCATGACCAGGACTGCCCTAAAAGAGATCCTGAAGGAAGCACTAAACATGGAAAGGAACAACCAGTGCCAGCCACTACAAAAACATGACAAATTGTAAAGACCATCAAGGCTAGAAAGAAACTGCATCAACTAACGAGCTAAATAACCAGCAAATATCATAATGACAGGATCAAAATCACACATAAGAATATTAACCTTAAATGTAAATGGGCTAAATGCTCCAATTAAAAGACACAGACTGGCAAATTGGATAAAGAGTCAAGACCCATCAGTGTGCTGTATTCAGGAAACCCATCTCACTTGCAGAGACACACATAGGCTCAAAATAAAGGGATGGAGGAAGATCTAACAAGCAAATGGAAAACTAAAAAAGGCAGGAGTTTCAATCCTAGTCTCAGATAAAACAGACTTTAAACCAACAAAGATCAAAAGAGACAAAGAAGGCCATTACATAATGGTAAAAGGATCAATTCAACAAGAATAGCTAAGTATCTTAAATATATATGCACCCAATACAGGAGCACCCAGAATCATAAAGCAAGCCCTTAGTAACCTACAGAGACTTACCATTTGACCCAGCCATCCCATTACTGGGTATATACCCAAAGGATTATAAATCATGTTGCTATGAAGACACATGCACACATATGTTTATTGTGGCACTACTCACAATAGCAAAGACTTGGAACCAACCCAAATGTCCAACAACGATAGACTGGATTAAAAAAAATGTGACACATATACACCATGGAATACTATGCAGCCATAAAAAAATGAGGAGTTCATGTCCTTTGTAGGGACATGGATGAAACTGGAAACCATCATTCTCAGCAAACTATCCCAAGGACATAAAACCAAATATTGCATGTTCTCACTCAAAGGTGGGAATTGAACAATGAGAACACATGGACACAGGAAGGGAAGCATCACACGCTGGGGTCTGTTGTGAGGTAGGGGGAGGGAGGAGAGATAGCATTAGGAGATACACCTAATGCTAAATGGCGAGTTAATGGGTGCAGCACACCAACATGACACATGTATACATATGTAACAAACCTGCACATTTTGCACATGTACCCTAAAACCTAAAGTAAAATAAATTTAAAAAAAACAAAAATAATGGGAGACTTTAACACCCCACTGTCAACATTAGACAGATCAACGAGACAGAAAGTTAACAAGGATATCTAGGAATTGAACTCAGCACTGCACCAAGTGGACCTAATAGACATCTACAGAACTCCCACCCGAAATCAACAGAATATACATTCTTTTCAGCACCACACCACACCTATTCCAAAATTGACCATATAGTTGGAAGTAAAGCACTCCTCAGCAAGTGTAAAAGAACAGAAATTATAACAAACGGTCTCCCAGAACACAGTGCAATCAAACTAGAACTCAGAATTAAGAAACTCACTCAAATCCACACAACTACATGGAAACTGAACAATCTGCTCCTGAATGACTACTGGGTACATAACGAAATGAAGGCAGAAATAAAGCTGTTCTTTGAAACCAATGAGAACAAAGACACAACATACCAGAATCTCTGGGACACATTGAAAGCAGTGTGTAGAGGGAAATTTTAGCACTAAATGCCCACAAGAGAAAGCAGGAAAGATCTAAAATTAACACCCTAACATCACAATTAAAAGAACCGGAGAACCAAGAACAAAACACATTCAAAAGCTAGCAGAAGGCAAGAAATAACTAAGATCAGAGCAGAACTGAAGGAAATAGAGACACAAAAAACCCTTCAAAAAATCAATGAATACAGGAGCTGGTTTTATGAAAAGACCAACAAAATTGATAGACTACTAGCAAGACTAACAAAGAAGAAAAGAGAAGAATCAAATAGACGCAATTAAAAATGACAAAGGGGATATCACCACCAATCCCACAGAAACACAAACTACCATCAGAGAATACTATAAACACCTCTACGCAAATAAACTAGAAAATCTAGAAGAAATGGATAAATTCCTCGACACATATAACCTCCCAAGACTAAACCAGGAAGAAGTTGAATCTCTGAATAGACCAATAACAGGCTCTGAAATTGAGGCAATAATTAATAGCTTACCAACCAAAAAAAGTCCAGGACCAGATGGATTCACAGCCGAATTCTACCAGAGGTACAAGGAGGAACTGGTACCATTCCTTCTGAAACTATTCCAATCAATAGAAAAAGAGGGAATCCTCCCTAACTCATTTTATGAGGCCAGCATCATCCTGATACCAAAGCCTGACAGAGACACAACAAAAAAAGAGAATTTGAGACCAATATCCTTGATGAACATTGATGCAAAAATACTCAATAAAATACTTCAAACCGAATCTAGCAGCACATCAAAAAGCTTATCCACCATGATCAACTGAGCTTCATCCCTGTGATGCAAGGCTGGTTCAACATACGAAAATCAGTAAACGTAAACCAGCATATAAACAGAACCAAAGACAAAAACCACATGATTATCTCAATAGATGCAGAAAAGGTCTTTGACAATATTCAAAAACCCTTCATGCTAAAAACTCTCAATAAATTAGGTATTGATGGGACATATCTCAAAATAATAAGAGCTATCTATGACAAAATGACAGCCAATATCATACTGAATGGACAAAAACTGGAAGCATTCCCTTTGAAAACTGGCACAAGACAGGGATGCCCTCTCTCACCACTCCTATTCAACATAATGTTGGAAGTTCTGGCCAGGGCAATCAGGCAGGAGAAGGAAATAAATGGCAATCAATTAGGAAAAGAGGAAGTCAACTTGTTCCTGTTTGCAGATGACATGATTGTACACCTAGAAAAGCCCATCATCTCAGCCCAAAATCTCCTTAAGCTGATAAGCAACTTCAGCAAAGTCTCAGGATACAAAATCAATGTGCAAAAATCACAAGCATTCTTATATACCAATAACAGACAAACAGAGAGCCAAATCATGAGTGAACTCCCATTCACAATTGCTTCAAAGAGAATAAAACACCTAGGAATCCAACTTACAAGGGATGTGAAGGATCTCTTCAAGGAGAACTCCAAACCACATTTCAACGAAATAAAAGAGGATACAAACAAATGGAAGAACATTCCATGCTCATGGGTAGGAAGAATCAAATCGTGAAAATGGCCATACTGCCCAAGGTAATTTATAGATTCAATGCCATCCCCATCAAGCTACCAATGACTTTCTTCACAGAATTGGAAAAAACTACTTTGAAGTTCATATGGAGCCAAAAAAGAGCCTGCATTGCCAATTAAATCCTAAGCCAAAAGAACAAAGCCGGAGACATCACACTACCTGACTTCAAACTATACTACAAGTCTACAGTAATCAAAACAGCATGGTACTGGTATGAAAACAGAGATATAGACCAATGGAACAGAACAGAGCCCTCAGAAATAATGCTGCATATCTACAACTATCTGATCTTTGACAAACCTGACAAAAACAAGAAATGGGGAAAGGATTCCCTATTTAATAAATGGTGCTGGGAAAACTGGCTAGCCATATGTAGAAAGCTGAAACTGGATCCCTTCCTTACACCTTATACAAAAATTAATTCAAGATGGATTAAAGACTTATATGTTAGACCTAAAACCATAAAAACCCTAGAAGAAAAACTAGGCAATATCGTTCAAGACATAGGCATGAGCAAGGACTTCATATCTAAAACACCAAAAGCAATGGCAACAAAAGCCAAAATTGACAAATGGGATCTAATTCAACTAAAGAGCTTCTGCACAGCAAAAGAAACCACCATCAGAGTGAACAGGCAACCTACAAAATGGGAGAAAATTTTTGCAACCTACTCATCTGACAAAGGGCTAATAACCAGAATCTACAATGAACTCAAACAAATTTACAAGAAAAAAGCAACCCCATCAAAAAGTGGGCAAAGGATATGAACAGACACTTCTCAAAAGAAGACATTTATGCAGCCAAAAGACACATGAAAAAATGCTCATCATCACTGGCCATCAGAGAAATGCAAATCAAAACCACAATGAGATACCATCTCACACCAGTTAGAATGGCGATCATTAAAAAGTCAGGAAACAACAGGTGCTGGAGAGGATGTGGAGAAATAGGAACACTTTTACACTGTTGGTGGGAATGTAAACTAGTTCAGCCATTGTGGAAGTCAGTGTGGCGATTCCTCAGGGATCTAGAATTAGAAATATCATTTGACCCACCCATCCCATTACTGGGTATATACCCAAAGGATTATAAATCATGCTGCTATAAAGACACATGCACATGTATGTTTATTGTGTCACTATTCACAATAGCAAAGATTTGAAACCAACCCAAATGTCCAACAATGATAAACTGGATTAACAACATGTGGCACATATACACCATGGAATACTATGCAGCCATAAAAAATGATGAGTTCATGTCCTTTGTAGGGACATGGATGAAACCGGAAACCATCATTCTCAGCATATTATCGCAAGGACAAAAATCCAAGCACCGCATGTTCTCACTCATTGGTGGGAATTGAACAATGAGAACACATGGACACAGGAAGGGGAACATCACACTCCAGGTTCTATAGTGGGGTGGAGGGAGGGGGGAGGGATAGCATTAGGAGATATACCTAATGCTAAATAACAAGTTAATGGGTGCAGCACACCAACATGGCACATGTATACCTATGTAACAAACCTGCATGTTGTGCAAACGTACCCTAAAACTTAAAGTATAATAATAATAAAATAAAAATAAACTATATTCAGTCGTTTACATTAGCATGTTTAATATTCATTCCATATCCACAAAGGATTACAAAATGTTTCTGAGTGGAATTTTTTTTTGATTTAGAAAAATAATTTAATGCTGGTTGTGGTGGCTCACACCTGTAATCCCAACCCTTTGGGAGGCTGAGGCAGACAGATCACTTGAGCCCAGGAGTTCAAGACCCACCTGAGCAACAAGCAAAACCCCATCTTTACTAAAAACAAAAAAATTCACTGGGTGTGGGCCTGTAGTCCCAGCTTCTCAGGAAGCTGAGGTTGGAGGATCACCTGAGCCCAGGAAATGGAGGTTGCACTGAGCTAAGATTGCACCACTGGACTCCAGCCTGGGCCACAGAGCAAGATCTTGTCTAAGATATATATATATATATATACACACACATATACACATACATATATACATATATACATACATATATATATATATGATAATTTAATTCTACAAGAACAAGTTTCCAAGCTCAGTCTTGAATGGGAAGATTGCAATAAAGAAGACAAACCATTCCACAAATTACTGGTTTGGTGCAAATGTAATTTGCAGTTATTGTCATCTAAAGTAGTGTCAAAATCGCAATTACTTTTGCACTGACCTAATAAAAAGATTACTTCTCTGAGATGTAAATATTGCTGTCATATTTACTGATTTTTTTTTTTTTGCTTCCTTCTAGGTATCTTATAGTGAGTAGGGGCTTGAACTCTAAATAAGAATATGAGAAAAGTTTATATGAAGAGAGTGGTTTCAGGCACATGGCAACTCACTGAGTGCTAAAGATAGTCATGGCCAGTGGTCAGAGATGATCACTGTACTGGTTAGTTGTAAGCATCAACTTAACTAAGTTAAGAGATACCAACGTAGTGGGTAAAGCATTATTCCTTTTTATGTCTGTGAGTGTGTTTCCAGAAGAGATTGGAAGTTAAATAAATGGACTAAGGAAAATCTATCCTCACCAAATGTGGGTGGGCATCATCTTATTGGTTGGCGGCCCAAATATAGCAAAAAGGCAGATGAAAGGCAAACTTATCTCTCTTTTTTGAGCAGGGAAACCCAACTTCTTGTATGCTTGGAGGTCAGAACTCTACATTTTTCAGCCTTCAGACTCTGGTACTTGAAACTGTGTCCCCCCAGTGTCTCAGGCTTTCAGAATTGGACTGAGCTATAGCATAAACTTCCCTGGTTGTCCAACTTGCAAATGATATTTTGTGGGACTTCTCCATGTCCATAATCACATGACCCAATTCCCATAATAACTTCTTTCTTATATATATCTACTTTTCATTCTGTTTCTCTGAAGAACCATGAATAATACAGATTTTGGTACCAGAAGTGGTTCTAGAGCAACAAAATTTTAAGGATAAGTTTCCTGAATTGGCTTTAGAGTTTCTGGAATTTACTAATTTGGTTAGATTTTAAAATGCTAAGGACTCCCTATTCAAGATCATATAGAGAGCAGTAATAATCCATGGTGTGATCCGTCAATAGACATATGCAAAATATTACTATTTTATAGTTCTAATCAACCACATATAAGAGTCAAGGAATTTAGTGACTCTGTATATAATACTTTTGAACATTTGTGGAAAACTAAGAAATATAATGACATTGGTTGGTTTCTCCTAATGTCAATGGACAAAGTGATTAAAAAATTAAAGGATGAGCTCAGGGATTTGAATTCCTACCTTAGGAACTGCACAAATGACCTAAGAGCTTTAAGCTATGCTCTGAGAGAGAAGCTTATCTCCTGTAGCCACAGGACTGAACATAATGAAAATCAAACACATGTTCTTATCATGGAATTTCCTGAATTACAAAGAGAGTTTAAATGCCAGCCTCTCAGGGTATCTAATGTGAAAGTGAGTCACAGACTGGGAAAAAATGGGATCATGTAAATTGAGATGGTGATGCATAGAAAAACTCAATGACGCAAGAGACATTGAGCTTTTAAATTTTAATGAAGTGTTTTTTTGTTGTTGTTTTGTTTTGTTTTGTTGTTTTGCCGGTGGAAGTAGCCTTTCAATCTCCCAGTAGTAGCACTGTCCCCACTCATAGTGGTATTGGCCTTTCCACTTCTGTCTAATGGAATGATAATAGTCTCCATAGAGGCAGTTTCCAAGCATGACAATGCTGATTCTCCTTGGGACCAACCGTCACCACCCAACTTTGCTTCTAGATCCATAAATAGAATCAAGTTCCAGCAGATCCTTAAATGTATGGAATAAAGTGTGACCCATGAAGGAGTACTTCACACTTCAAAAATAAACCTAAGTTTTCTAATTGATACAAGTAGATATTCAGGGCACTTTTCTGGGAATGCATATTAAGGTATGAAATGGAGGTGGAAGAAATATAAAGTTGCATCAGGCTGAATTTGTTCATTTGTGACCACCAAGTAGAAATTCTGTATTGAATGTTGCAGCTTGGGGAGTTAGAAAGGGCTCTAACAGTTGGTGTAGTTTCCTGGCTGAAAAGTGGATCAAAAAGATAGACAATTGCTGGCTGGCAAGATGGCCAAATAGAAAAATCTCTGGTCTGCAGCTCCCAGTGAGATCAACACAGAAGTCAGGTGATTTCTACATTTCCGACTGAAATACCTGATTCATTTCATTGGGACTGGTTAGACAGTGGGTGCAGCCCATGGAGGGTGAGCCAAAGTAGGGTGGGGCATCACCTCACCTGGGAAGTGCAAGGGGTTGGGGAATTCTCTCCTCTACCCAAGGGAAGCTGTGAAAGACTGTGCCTGAGGAATGGTGCACTCCAGCCCAGATACTGGGCTTTTCCCACAGTCTTTACAACTCGCAGACCAGGAGATTCACTACAGTGCCCATGCCACCAGGGCCCTGGGTTTCAAGCACAAAACTGGGATGCCATTTGGGCAGAGACTGAGCTAGCAGCAGGAGTTTTTTGTTGTTGTTGTTGTTTTTTGTTTTTTGTTTTTTTTCCCCCCATACCCCAGTGGTGCCTGGAACTCCAGTGAGACAGAACTATTCACTCCCCTGGAAAGGGGGCTGAAGCCAGGTAACCAAGTGGTCTGGCTTGGCAGGTCCCACCTGCCAAGCAGTAAATACCCACAAGCAAAAGCAGGAAAGATCTAAAAGATCCCACCTCCACGGAGCCCAGCAACTAAGATCCAATGGCTTGAAATTATCGCTGCCAGCACAGCAGTCTAATGTCAACCTGGGACACTCGAGCTTGGTGGGGGGAGGGGCATCCACCATGGCTGAGGCTTGGGTAGGCAGTTTTACCCTCACAGTGTAAACAAAGCTGCCAGGAAGTTTGAACAGTGTGGAGCCCACCACAGCTCAGCAAGGCCACTGTGGCCAGACTGTCTCTCTAGATTCCTACTCTCTGGGCAGGACATCTCTGAAAAAAAAGGCAGCAGCCCTAGTCAGAAGCTTACAGATAAAACCCCCATCTCCCTGGGACAGAGCACCAGAGGGCAGGGGTGGCTGTGGGCACAGCTTCAGCAGACTAAAACATCCCTTCCTGATGGCTCTCGAGAGAGCAGCAGATCTCCAAGCACAGCATTTGAACTCTGATAAGGGTCAGACTGTCTCCCCAAGTGGGTCCCTGACCTCTGTGTATTCTGACTAAGAGACACCTCCCAGTAGGAACTGACAGACACCTCATACAGGAGAGCTCTGGCTGGCATCTGGCAGGTACCCCTCTAGGACGAAGCTTCCAGAGGAAATAACAGGAAACAATCATTTCTGTTCTGCAGCTTCCGCTGGTGATACCCAGGCAAACAGGGTCTGGAGTGGACCTCCAGCAAACTCCAGCAGACCTGCAGCAGAGGGGCCTGACTGTTAGAAATACAACTAACCAACAGAAAGGAATAGCACATCCACACAGAGTCCCCATCTGAAGGTCACCAACATCAAAGACCAAAGGTAGATAAATACAAGAAGATGGGGAGAAACCACTGCAAAAAGGCTGAAAATTTCAAAAACAAGAATGCCTCTTCTCCTCCAAAGGATCACAACTTTTCACCAGCAAGAGAACAAAACTGGACGGAGAATGAGTTTGACGAATTGACAGAAGTAGGCTCCAGAAGGTGGGTAATAAAAAACTCCTCCAGGCTAAAGGAGCATGTTCTAACCCAATGCAAGGAAGCTAAGAAACTTGATAAAAGGTTACAGGAACTACTAACTAGATTAACCAGTTTAGAGAAGAATATAAATGACCTGATGAAGCTGAAAAAACAGGACAGGAACTTCATGAAGCATATAAAAGTGCCAATAGCCAAATAGATAAAGCAGAAGAAAAGATATCGGAGATTGAAGATCAGCTCAATGAAATAAAGCAAGAAGACAAGATTAGAGAAAAAAGAATAACAAGAAGTGAACAAAGCCTCCAAGAAATATGAGGCTATGTGAAAAGACCAAATCTACATTGGATTGGTGTACCTGAAAGTGATGGGGAGAATGGAACCAAGTTTGAATACACTCTTCAGGATATCATCCAAGAGAACTTCCTCAACCTAGCAAGGCGGGCCCACATTCATCCCTTTACCACAATGGTAAAGGGATCAATGCAACAAGAAGGGCTAATTATCCTAAACATATATGCAGAAATACAGAAGCACTCAGATTCATAAAGCAAGTTCTTACCGACTTACAAAGAGACAGCCTTCCACACAATAATAGTGGGAGACTTTTACACCCCACTGTCAATATTAGACAGATAAATGAGACAGAACATTAACAAGGATATTCAAAACTTGAACTCAGCTCTGGACCAAGTGGACCTAATAGACATCTACAGAACTATCCACCCCAAATCAACAGAATATACATTCTTCTAAGCACCACATCGCACTTATTCTAAAATTGACCACATAATTGGAAGTAAAACACTCCTCAGCAAATGCGAAAGAATGAAAATCATAACAGTCTTTCAGACCACAGTGCAATCAAATTACAACTAATTACAACTCAGGATTAAGAAACTCACTCAAAACTGGACAGCAACATGGAAACTGAAAAACCGGATCCTGCATGACTACTGGGTAAATAACAAAATTAATGCAGAAATAAAAATGTTCTTAAACCAGTGAGAACAAAGAGACAAGGTACTAAAATCTCTGGGACATATTTAAAGTAGTGTAAAGAGGGGAATTGATAGCACTAAATGCCCACAAGCAAAAGCAGGAAAGATCTAAAATCGACACCCTAACATCAAAATTAAAAGAACTACTGAAGCCAGAGTAAACAAATTCAAAAGCCAGTAGAAGATAAGAAAAAACTAAGATCAGAGCAGAACTGAGGGAGATGGACACATGAAAAACCATTCAATAAATCAATGAATCCAGGATCTGGTTTTCTGAAAAGGTGAAAAACCATTCAATAAATCAATGAATCCAGGACCTGGTTTTCTGAAAAGGTAGAGAAGAATCAAAAAGATGCAATAAAATTGATGGAAGGGATATCACCAGTGATCTCACAGAAATACTAACTACCATCAGAGAATACTGTAAACCTCCTACACAAATAAACTAGAAAATCTAGAAGAAATTGATAAATTCCCAGAAATACACATCCTCCCAAGTCTAAACCAGCAAGACATCAAATCACTGAATAGACCAATAAGAAGTTCTGAAATTGAGGAAGTAATTAATAGCCTAGCAACCAAAAAAAGTCCAAGAACAGACAGATTCACAGCAGAATTCTAGATGAGGTATAAAGAGGAGCTGGTACCATTTCTTCTAAAACCATTCCAAACAATAGAAAAAGAAGGAATCCTCCCTAACTCATTTTATAAGGCCAGCAACATACTGATATCAAAACCTGGAAGAGATACAACAAAAAAAGAAAATTTCAGGCTAATATCCCTGATGAACATCAATGTGAAAATCCACAGTGAAATACTGACAAACCAAATCCAGCAGCACATCAAAAATCTTATCCACCAGTATCAAGTTGGCTTCATCCCTGGGATGCAAAGCTGGTTCAACATATGCAAATTGATAAATGTAATCCATCACATAAACAGAACCAATGAAAAAAACCACTTGATTATCTTAATAGATGCAGAAAAGGTCTTCAACAAAATTCAACAGCCTTCATGCTAAAAATTCTCAATAAACTAGGTATTGATGGAACGTCCCTCAAAATAGTAAGAGTTATTTATGACAAACTCACAGCCAATATCATACTGAATGGGAAAAAACTGGAAGCATTTCCTTTAAAAACTGGCACAAGACAAGAATGCCCTGTCTCACCACTCCTATTCAACATAGTATTGGAAGTTCTGGCCAGGGCAATCAGGCAAAAGAAAGAAATAAGACGTTTTCAAATAGGAAGAGAGGAAGTCAAATTGTCTCTGTTGCAGATGACATGATTGTACATTTAGAAAACCCCATCGTCTCAGCCCAAAATCTCCTTAAGCTGATAAGCAACTTCAGCAAAGTCTCAGGATCCAATCAATGTGCAAAAATCACAAGCATTCCTATACACCAATAATAGATAAACAGAGAGCTAAACCATGAGTGAACTCCCATTCACAATTGCTACTAAGAGAATAAAATACCTAGAAATCCAACTTACAAGGAATGTGATGGACCTCTTCAAGGAGAACTACAAACCACTTCTCAAGGAAATAAAAGGGGACACAACCAAATGAAAGAACATTCCATGCTCATGGATAGAAAGAATCAACATAGTAAAAATGGCCTTACTGCCCAAAGTAATTTATAGATTCAATGCTATCCCCATTGAGCTACCACTGACTTTCTTCACAGATTTGGAAAAAATACACTAAACTTCATATGGAATGAAAAAACAGCTCCCATAGCCAAGACAATTCTAAGCAAAAAGAACAAAGCTGGAGGCATCACACTACCTGACTTCACACTGCACTACAAGGCTACAATAACCAAAACAGCATGGTACTGGTACCAAAACAGATATATAGACCAAGGGAACAGAAGAGAGGGCTCAGAAATACCACCATACATCTACAACCATCTGATCTTTGACAAACCTGAGAAAAACAAGCAATGGGGAAAGAATTTCTTATTTAATAAACAGTGTTGGGAAAACCGGCTAGCCATATGCAGAAAACTGAAACTGGACCCCTTCCTTACACTTTATACAAAAATTAACTCAAGATGGATTAAAGACTTAAATGTAAGACCTAAAACCATAAAAATCCTAGAAGAAAACCTAGGCAATACCTTCAGGACATAAGCATGGGCAAAGACTTATGTCTAAAACACCAAAAGGTATGGCAACAAAAGCCAAAATTGACAAATGGGATCTAATTAAATGAAAAAGCTTCTACACAGCAAAAGAAACTATCATCAGAGTGAACAGGCAACCTATAGAATGGGAGAACGTTTTTGCAATCCATCCATCTGACAAAAGGGCTAATATCCAGAATATACAAAGAACTTAAACAAATTTACAAGAAAAATCAAACTACTCCATCAAATAGTGGGCGAAGGATATGAACAGACACTTCTCAAAAGAAGACATTATGCAACAAACAAACATATGAAAAAAGCTCATCATCACTGGTCATTAGAGAAATGCAAATGAAAACCACAACGAGATACCATCTTACACCAGTTGGAATGGTGATCATTAAAAGGTCAGAAAATAACAGATGCTGGAGAAGATGTGGAGAAATAGGAATGCTTTTACACTGTTGGTGGGAGCGTCAATTAGTTCAGCCATTGTGGAAGACAGTGTGGCAATTCCTGAAGGATCTAGATCCAGAAATACATTTGACCCAGAAATCTAAATACTGGGTATATTCCCAAAGGATTATAAATCATTCTACTATAAAGACACATGCACACGTATGCTGATTGTGGCACTATTCACAATAGCAAAGACTTGGAACCAACCCAAATGCCCATCAATGATAGACTGGATAAAGAAAATGTGTCACATATGCACCATGGAATACTATGCAGCCATAAAAATGGATGAGTTCATGTCCTTTACAGGGTCATGGATGAAACTGGAAACCATAATTCTCAGCAAACTAAAACAAGAGCAGAAAACCAAACACCACACTTTCTCACTTATAAATGGGAGTTGAACAATGAAAACACATGGACACAGGGAGGGGAACATCACACACGGGCCTGTCAGGGTGTGGGGGGCTAGGGGAGGGATAGAATTAGGAGAAATACCTAATGTAGGTGATGGGTTGATGGGTGCAGCAAACCACCATGGCATGTGTATACCTGTTCATGTGAAACTGCACATTCTGCACATGTACCCCAGAACTTAAAGTATAATTTTAAAAAATAATTATTTAATAATTACTTAATTGATCACTTAATTTAATCCTTATTAACAGTCTGTTACCACTATTCTTTCATTTTACTGCATAATCACCTTTTTGGTCACTTAGTTTAATCTTTATTAAGTCTGTGACCACTATTGTCCCATTTTACTGCATAACAGTCTACTAAAAGTAATATTTTTAAAAATTAATCATCAGATAACTATTTCCTGATTGTATTGCATTATCTATATTAAAGTCTTTCTCTGGGAATTTCCTCAAGTATGATCTTCATACCTTTGATACCTTTTCTCCTTTAATAACACTCATCTAAATTTTAGACTCACATATCTAATAAAACAGCTCATAGTTTTTCCTTCCCTACATTGCTCGCTCCTATTTCTTGAGCTGTCATTGCTCTTAAAGCCTATACCACACAGATACAGTCTCTGCTGTTTTTTAACTCTTTCATTTATGCAACTTCTGGAATTATGGGCTGAATAAATTCATGTTTTAAAAAAAAAGACAGCCAATTATGAGTGACTTGGAAATACCCAAACACCCTTGGTTTAATGGAGAAGAAGAAATTCACAGGATTAGGGAGATTAAAATACTAGAGTAGATTTGTCTTTTAAGGCTTAGTCATCAACACTGGAAGAGTCTAGAAAGTGTAACTTTCACCAGTGCTTTGGGAAATAGATTTGTGAGGGGATCCCCAGCATCCTTGAAGAGCTCCATGATTGCTTTTCTCTGTAGGACAGATCTTACGGTGAAACCTGCAATCACTCAATTGGAAAACTTAAATGCAATAGGTATAATTGGATCTTGAGATAGCAGGGGTGAAGTTGCGGCACACAATCATTAAAAGAAAGGTGAGTATAATTACTGTAATGGACAGCAGTGTAAAAGCCCCAATCAGAATAATCTGACTCACACAGAACTATGGTGTTGGCTAGTTTCCATAAGTGAAATAGATGAGAAAGCTACTAAGTCTTTACTTGATCTGTATAAGCAGAAAATGTCCAGGTCAAATAAACGAAAGTCTAATTTGAATCATAAAAGCAAAAAAAAAAAAAAAAAAAACACCACAACACTCAATTAATTTTCAGGCTTCATCCAGTTTACAAACACAGAAACCCTTGAATGAAGGGGAGGCTCTCTAGTCAGAGTAAGGGCTATGGGGGTCAGGTGATCAATGAAGTATTTGCTGAGGTCTATCTTGCGGTGAGTCCAGTAGGTCACTGATCCCATTCTGTGGTTATTTCTCTAGTTCCAGAATGCATCATTAGAATAGAAATAATTAGCAGCTGGAAGAATCTCAACACTGGTTTTCTAACCAGAAAAGTGAAAGCTATTATAGTGAGAAAGGCCAAATAGAAGCAATTAGAGTTGTGTATACCAAGGAAAATAGTAAATCAAAAGCAATACTGCATCTCTGGAAGGATTGTAGACATTAATGCCACCATCAAATACTTGAAAGATTCAAAGATGTTGATTCCTACCACATTCCCCATTCGACTCTTCTATTTTACCGTGCAGAAGAGAGATGGGTCTTGGAAAATTACAGTGGAATATCATAAAATTAAACAAGTGGTGATTCCAATGGAAACTCCTCCACTAGATGTGGATTCACTGCTTGAGCAAATTAACACATCTCCTGGTACCTGCTAGGCAGTTAATAATCTGGCAAACACCTTTTCTCCAAATTTGTCCATAATGTCCACCAGAACCAGTTTTCTGTCAGCTGCAAAGACCAGTAATAATCTTTATTGTACTATTTCAAGAGTGTCTTAACTCTATAGCACTACATCATAATTTAGTTTAAAGGGACCTTGATTGTTTTTCTCTTCCACAAGATATTTCACAGACCTATTACATCGAAGACATTTTCTGATTGGACTTAATGAGCAAAAAGTAACAAATACTTTGCACTTATTGCTAAGACATTTGCATTTCAGAAGGTAGAAAATAAATCCAACTAAAATTCAGGAGACTTCAACCTCTTTAAAATTTCTAGGGGTTATGTGGTGTGGGGCATGCCAAGATGTCCTTCCTAAGGCAAATAATAAGTTGTTGCATCTGATTCCTCCTGCAACCAAGAAAGTGGCAAATTGCCTAGTGACCTATGTAATTGGTCCAAACTACCAAGGAGAAGGTAGACTACCGTACCCCAGTGGAGGTAAGAAAGAGTATTTATGGAATACAGAAGATCTTCTAGGGAGTCTCTTAATATTACCACACCCTATGATTAAGGGTCAATGGAAAACTACAATGACCCAATCCAGGCAGAACAACAAATGGCCGAAACCCTTCAGGAATGAAGGTTTGGATCACACCAGCAGGTAAGGAATTACATTTGGCTGAGGTGCTTGCTGCAAGCAAAGAGAATACAGAATGGGTTGTAGAAATAGGTTGTTCAAAATACCAGCTATGACCACATGACCAATTAAGGAAAAAAAGACCATAATTGTCATGAGTATTTCTTTTCTATGTGTTAAAATTAAGATTATATATATGTATATGTATATTATGTATAATATACATTTATTAAGCAAATATCTTTGTTTCATTTCCTCTCTTATTCCTTTATAATGTAACAAAAGATGTATTGACTTTATATCAGTATGTGAGCTTGTTTTTTTTAATTATTATTCTACTTTAAGTTCTAGGGTACATGTGCACAACGTGCAGGTTTGTTACATATGTATACATGTGCCGTGTTGGTTTGCTGCACCCATTAACTCGTCATTTACATTAGATATTTCTCCTAATGCTATCCCTCCCTCATGCCCCCACCCCATGACAGGCCCTGGTGTGTGATGTTCCCTGCCCTGTGTCCAAGTGTTCTCATTGTTCAATTCCCACCTATGAGTGAGAACATGCGGTGTTTGGTTTTCTGTCCCTGTGATAGTTTGCTCAGAATGATGGTTTCCAGCTTCATCCATGTCCCTACAAAGGACAATGAACTCATCCTTTTTTATGGCTGCATAGTATTCCATGGTGTATATGTGCCACATTTTCCTAAACACTCATCTAATAATTTTGCATTCTCTTTAAGGTGCTTAATAGGGAAAGCAGGGTGTTTTCTGCTCAACAGACATAGCTGACCTGTATGATAATGGAATTTCTCATTATAAGTCAATAAACTTTTGTTCTCTTTCTGTGTCTTTCAGTCTTGTGATGTAATCAGTGTGATTCACATTATAGTATTTAAGTTAGAGGATATCAGAAGAAAAGTAAACAACACTCAGCAGTGAGTTTATCTCTCTTTATGGGGAAGGGATTAATATGTTTATATTTTCATATGTTTTTGTGTTAATAATTGGCATATATTTCTTTCAGATTGAAGAACTCCCTTTAGCATTTCTTGTAAGATAGATCTGGTGGCAATGAACTCCTTAAGCTTTGTTAATATGAGAATGTCTTTATCTCTTCTTTATTTCCAAAGGACAGCTTTGCTGGTTAAAATATTCTTGGTTAAGTTTTGTTTTTAGTACTTAGCATATATCATTCCACTCTCTCCTGGCCTGTAAAGCCTCTGCTGAAAGATCCACTTCTAGCCTTATTGAAACTCCCTTCTATGTTATTCGTTTCTTCCTCTTGCTGCTTCCAACATCCTGTCTTTGTCCATAATTTGTAACAGATTGAATATAATATGAATTAGTCCTCTTTAGACTGAATCTCATTGGAGACTTTTCACCTTCTTGTTTTTGGATATTTATTTCTTTTCACAGATTTGAAAAGCTTTCACTATTATTTCTTTAAATAAAATTTCTACTTTGTCCTTCTCTGCTCCTTTAAATCATATCACATGAAGACTTCTTCTTTTGATGTTGCCCTGTAAAATCTGTAAACTTTCTTAATTTCTTTTTTTTTCTGACTGTATATTTTCAAATAACCTGTCATCTAAATTCCTAGATCCTTTCTTCTGCTTCATAAATTCTGCTGTTCATGCGCTTTATTGCATTTTTCACTTAATTCATTGTATTTTTCAGCCACAGAATTTGTGGGCTTTTAAAAATAATTTCAATCTCTCTGTTAAATTTCTCATTCTGATCATTTATCTTCTGATTTTATTGAATTATCTGTAGTTTTTTGAAATTTGCTGAGCTTCCTTAAAATTAATTATTTTGAACTCTTTGTCATGCAGTTCATATATCTCTATTTTTTTTGTTTGTTTGTTTCAGCTAATGAGAAATTGTATTATTGTGGTGATGTTATGTCTCCCTGGCTTTTCCTATTTCTTACTGCCATATGTTTATTTCTACACATCTGAAGTAAGGGCTTATTCCAGTCCTTGCAGACTGGCTTTATCAGGTAAAACCCTTCAGCAGTCAGCCTATCCAGGGATTCTGAGCATGCCATCTGGCAAGGTTTGAGGGTGAGCTTGCTTGCAGAGTCCTCAGGCATGTAGGTCTGGTATCTGGGTCAGCAGGCAGCTGAGTATAGTGTCTGTGCCTGTGGTATTGGGTCTGACACTTGGACCCAATGGACTAGACTTCAACAAGGGTGAGGTTTGCAGGGATGAATCTGAAGCCTGGGTCCATGAGGGCAGGCCTAGAGCCTGTATCTATGATGGCCAACCTCAAGCCTAAGTCCACAGGGTCTGACCTGGAGCTGGGATGAGACTTGACCCTGAGTCTGCAGGAGCTGGCCAGGCACTTTGGCATCTGTTTCCACTAGGATGAGTCTGAAGTCTGAGTCCACAGAAACTGGACTGACACTGGGCCAGCCAGTAACCTAAGGATGAAGGAGTGGCTCTGGATCTTGGATCCACAGAAGCTGACCTGGATTCTGAGTCTACAGGGGTGTTCTTGGAACTTCAGTCCAAGGGGTATGGTCTGATACCAGAGTATACAGGAATAAGCCTGAACACTGAGTCTGCTGAAACAGGCCTGGACTCTGAGTTCTCTGAAGTGTAAGCCCACAGGGACCAGCCTGGAGCCTGAGGCTGGCCTACTGTTAAGTCTAGTGTGGAGCCTGGGTCTGCAGGGGCTAGTCTGGAGCCTGGAGCCCACTGGGCTGGCCTGAAGCCTGGGAATATGGGAACAAGCTTGGAGTCGTGTTCACTGATGTCAGCCTTGAGGCTGAGTATACAGTTGCTGGCCTAGATTCTAAGACAGCAAAGTCTGGCCTAGGTCCTGGGGTCTTGGATACTGGCCTTGTATATGGGTACACATGGACAACTCTGGAGTCTAAGTCTATGAGGGCCTGCCCAGCACTGAGGTCTATTTGGGAGGGCCTAGACCCTGGGTTAGCTGAAAGGTGGGACCATGAGACCAGCCTGGCACTGGGAAGGCATTGACCATATCTTCATGGGTCCCCACCTGGTGTTTGATGCCAGTGTGTTAATCTGGCACTGGGACAGGCCTGAAGTCTGGTGCTGGTACCAGTTTGAAGCCTGGGGCCACTGGAGCCAACCTGGTGCTGGGGCAGTTTTGGAATCCAAGTCTATTGTGCAGGCCTAGAGCCTGGGTCTGCAGGATCCTACCTAGTGCCAAGGTAGGCCTGGAAGTTCAGTCTGCATGTACCAGCCTGGAACCTGGGGCTAAGGGGGCCTCTCTGGTGCAAGGTTTTACTGGAATGGGCCCAGTTTGGGGGTTTGAGGAAGTCCAGTACTAAGCTTTTTCTTCTTCCCCTCATAGATGTGTATCTTTCTCCATGCTGTGCTACTTAGAGTTGGGGGAGGGGTGATGTGCATAATGTAAAACTGTCCTTTTTCCACTCTATTATTTTTTCCCCTTTGGAAATGGAGTCTTGCTCTGTCGCTCAGGCTGGAGTGCGTGGCGCAATCTTGTCTCACTGCAAACTCCGCCTCCCAGATTCAAGCGAATCTCCTGCCTCAGCCTCCCAAGTAGCTGGGATTACAAGTGCCTGCTGCCACATCCGGCTAATTTTTGTATTTTTAGTAGAAACAGGGTTTCATCATGTTGGCCAGGCTGGTCTCAAACTCCTGACCTCAAATGATCTGCCCTTTCTCCACTCTTAAATGCATCTTTCTTTATTTGCTACACCCAGGTGCTGTAATCTCTCACTTGGTTTCTTTAGGCCTTGTAAAGGTAATTTTGCGCATGAATAGTTGTTCAAATGGATACTTCTGCAAGGTTATGAGTGCTGAAGAATTCCATTTTGCCATCTTGCTGCATAGGAATTTAATAAGTTGGGAGAGGCTGGCCAGGCATGGTGGTTCACGCCTGTAATCCCGGCACTTTCGGAGGCCAAGGGGCGGGCGGATCACCTGAGGTCAGGAGTTCGAGACCAGCCTCAACATGGAGAAACCCTGTCTCTACCAAAAATACAAAATTAGCTGGGTGTGGTGGTGCATGCCTGTAATCCCAGCTACTCGGGAGGCTGAGGCAGGAGAATTCCTTGAACCTGGGAGGTGGAGGTTACAGTGAGCCAAGATTGCACTATTGCACTCCAGCCTGGGCAACAAGAGTGAAACTCCGTCTCAAAAAA
Source organism: Homo sapiens (assembly GCF_000001405.40). NCBI lineage: Eukaryota > Metazoa > Chordata > Mammalia > Primates > Hominidae > Homo > Homo sapiens. Next base: position 56,820,939 of record NC_000023.11, on the reverse strand, counting down.
ATAAAATAAAAGTTGGGAGAGGCTGCCTTGGGAGGTGCTAGCCAGACATCTATTGTTTTAAACAACTTGAGATATGCACATATAATACAATCCGTGATTTAAAGTGTACAATTCAATGGTTTTGGATATTTATAGATAAGCATAGATATGTGTAAATATCACTACAGTCAATTCTTATGCATTTTCATTAACCCTGAATAAAATCACACAGTCCTTAGACATCAATTCTCAATCATAACTTAAGGGAAACTCCATCCTTAAGCAAATATTTTTTCTGAACCTATAGACTTGCCTCATGTGGACATTTTATTTATATGAAATTATATAATATATGGTACTGTGTGACTGGCTTTTTTCACATAGCATAATGCTTTTGCTTTTCCCAGACCACCAGGCAAGAATTATTTTCCTTTTTTTTTTTTTTGGCATAATGCTTTCAAGGTTTATTCTGGCAGTATGTATACTTATTTCCTGTATATGACTAAATTAATATTCCATTGTGTGAATATACATTTTGTTTTCCATTCACCAGTTGATGGGCATTTGAGTTGTTTCCACATTTTCCTAGTACAAATATTTCTGCTGTAAACCGTCCTGTACAATTTTTGTTTGAACACCTGTTTTTTAGTTATTTTGGCTATGTATCAGGAGTAAAATTGCTGGGTAGCATGTTATTTCTTTTTTTTTTCTTTTTTTTGAGATGGAGTCTTGCTCTGTCATGCCCAGGCTGGAGTGCAGTGGTGGGATCTCGGCTCACTGCAACCTCTGCCTCCCAGGTTCAAGGGATTCTCCTGCGTCAGCCTCCTGAGTAGCTGGGCTAATTTTTTATATTTTTTAGTAGAGATGGGGTTTCACCATGTTGGTCAGGCTAGTCTCGAATTCCTGACCTCAGGTGATCCATCCACCTCAGCCTCCCAAAGTGCTGGGATTACAGGTGTGAGCCACCACGCCCAGCCATTATTTTTAACTTAGAGAGGAACCACAAAATTGTTTGCCCAGTGGCTGCACATTTATCATTACCAGCAACAATGCCGCATGTTCCTGTTTTCCCACATTCTAACATTTATTATTTTGCTATTTAAAATAATAATAATAATAAGTATCCTACTGGGTATAAATTGCTGTCTCTTTGTGATTTTGATTTGCATTTCCCTGATGACTAATAGTGTTGAGCATCTTCTCATGTGTAATTTGTGATTTGTATGTCTTCTTTACAGAAGAATCTATTCAGATCCTTTCGTTATAAAATTGGTTTATTGTTTGTTTTATTATTTAGCGGTAATTACTGTTTATTTTATTTTATTATTTTGTTTTATTTTTTGAGATGGCGTCTTGCCCTGTTGCTTAGGCTGGAGTGTGCATTGGTGCAATTTTGGCTCACTGCAACCTCTGCCTCCCAGGTTCAAGCTATCCTCCCACCTCAGCCTCCTGAGTAGCTAAGATTACAGGCATACACCACCACACCCTGCTAATTTTTTTTGTGTGTGTATTTTTAGTAAAGATGGGGTTTCATCATGTTGGCCAGGCTGGTGTCAAACTCCTGACCTCAAGTGATCCCCCTGCCTCAGCCTCCCAAAGTGCTGGGATTACAGGATGAGCCACCATGCCTGGTCTTATATATTTTAGATACAAGTCATTTATGAGACATATTATTTGCAAAAATAATCTTGCACTGTGGCTGTCTTTCAAATTTCTTGACTGTGTTCACTGAAGCAAATTTTTTTTCAATTTTAATTATGTCCAGTTTATCTTTTTTTTCCTTTATTAACTTGTGCTTTGGTGTAAGAATTAAAAATCTAATACTTAATTCAAGGTCACAAAAATTTATTCTATATTTCCTCCCAAGAGTTTTATAGTGTAACCCTTATATTTGAGTCTTTGGCCTATTTTGAGTTAATTTTTGTATTTTGCATGAGGTAGGGGTGGAAGTTTTTTGTTTTTTTGTTTTTTTTTTGCATGTAGATACCAAGTTGTCCCAGTACCATTTATTGAAAATAGTTATTTCCCCTTTTGTCTTGCCTCCTTCTCAGAAGTTAATTGGCTGCAAATTAACTTTTGTGAGGGCTTATGTCTGGACTTTGGATTCTATTTCATTGATCAATATTTATATCCTATGCCAGTACCACATAGACTTGTTTATTGTAGCTTTGTAATAAGTTTTAAAATTTGGAAATGTGACTCTTCAAACTTTGTATACTTCAAGATTGTTTTGGCTATTCTGGGTCCATTACATTTTCATATGAACTTTAGAATCAGGTTATAAATTTCTTCAAAGTAGGCAACCTTAATTTTGATAAGGGTTGCATTGAATAGTTTGATTATTTTGAAGAGTGTTGTCATCTTTATAATACTGTGCCTTCTGATGCATAAAATGCCTTTCACCAGATGTCCTTTTAAAGAAGTCTGTGTTTACTGTTTGTGATGTTCAGCCTGGCTCAGAAGTTTTAAAACTCTAATGTGTGATTAGTAATATTATACAATCTTTAAAATAACTGTCTATAATTTATTAAGTGTGCATAACATAACTCTAGAATATACATAAATGTCACCATACCTCCATTTGTGATTTTTCAGATTCTTTAATTCTGATGCTAGGGACTAATTTCAGAGGATTGGGTAAAATACTCAGGTTTCACAATCTCTCTAAATATTCATTTTACAATGTAAGCTTTAATTACTTATTTGAACAAATTGTATTATTATTTTATATTTTAATTTATAAGCCAAGTTTATCTGACATTTTCAGATATAATATATGCTTTCAAGTCTGTTTATCTTTTATTATTACAATTCAAAGGTAGAAGCTTTATTTTTTTATATCCCTGGAAATTATTATAGTCTATAAATTTTTTTCTATAACCTTGTAATTCCTGAAACATTTATGAACTATATGAAATATTGAAAGCTGCTATCTAATGTTTTCCCATTTTACTTGTATTTTTTCACCATAATATTTATTACTGTTTTTAATTAGGATATTCTATTTGTTCAATACTAAGCATTTTAGAAGGAAAGTAGAAAATTACAAAAAACAAGCACATCAACCATTTCAGTCAGAAAAAAATAGTTAAGATGTAAAATACTAGGATGAGGATTAGCATAAAAAGATGTAGATTCCATGCAAAAACTGACAGCAAATTAAAGAAAGTGTACTGGAAACAATTCTTTTTTGGATTTAACCTTCCTCTACTTTCCTTATATTTTTCACTAAAATAAATGAATAAATAGACATAAATAAATGAATAAATGTAGGAAGAAGGTCATATTTCAACACTAATTTTAGTAATGCTTTACATAGGAGTTCTTATAAAATATTTACTTAAAATTCACAATTTACTAGATGTAGTCATATAGATCTAACACAGCGCTTAGAGACAAACTTTATTGGGGCCTTAATGGATTTATAGGAATATAAAGTTATACAACAAGAACAGGATGTCACCAAAAGAGTTCACTGGTTGGCTGCTGCAGGACCATCTCACAGGCATTGTTTGCTTTGGTAAGTTCACCATGATCCAGGGCATGGCCTTAAATCTCAGAGGTCTTACAACCCGATCTTGCCCATGTCTTAGAATTCATCGAAATTCAGGAAGTGAAATCGCGCTGATTACATCATAAGACTGAAAGATACAGAAAGAACAAAAGTTTATTGACTTATAATGAGAAATTCCATTATCATACAGGTCAGATATGTCTGTTGAGCAGAAAACACCCCAATTTCCCTATTAAGCAAGTTAAAGAGAATGCAAAATTATTAGATGAGTGCTTAATAAATATTAAATCAAAGGCATACAATGTCAATAACCTGCATCTTTTTGGTATCTAATGTATTTGAATGCAAAATAATTTATCTGTTAGGTGGACCAGATGTTTCTATTATCTTAGGCATATTTCTCCCCCAAAAAGTACAGGGATGTCTACCGCTATTACTCTTGTTTTATTAGGCTTCCAAAACTAATCAATCAGCCTCATTGTTCCCTCATAGCCCCTTGACAAACTCCTATATTCCTTGGAAATTTTATATTTATTTATTTATTTACACAAATAATACATGAATAAATACATGAATACAATCTAACTGTATATAATTCAAACAACATAGACATAATTCTTCTTACTGCTAAACTTTTACCATTCCTCAGTCTTTCTCCTATTTACAGAAGAAAACATAGTTATCAATTCTGTCTAGACCTTTTTATTTCTATTTAAATGTACACATATATAGTATTTATAATAATATAATAATTTAGATTTGGAGTTTATAATATAAATTAGATCATCCTAGCATACACTTCGGCAATTTGTTTTTATTCACTTATAAATGTCTTAATAATTTTTAATATAAAAATAGATCAGTCTCAATATTTCAATGGCTTCAAAATATTGCATCGTGTTACAGTATAATTTTAACTGTTGAAAGATGTTCAAATTCTGTTGAAAGATATTTAATATGCTTGCAACATTTTTACTACAAGCAAGCCAATTTATTGATATGTAGAATTATTTCCATATATTCTACAAATAAAACACAAGTCAAAACTTACAAACATTAAAATTACGATAGAGATAAAATACTTTAGAAACGTACAATTTTATAGACAGTAGATATTTAACCAAATCCTTTCTAAAACTGAGAATTCTGGAGACTTTTTTGATTGTGGCAAATATGATGACCTAATATTAAAGTCAACTATATTTATTATTATTATTGGCCATATATTTTTGTCTCCTATGAATTGCCTGTTCTTTGACTATATTTCTATCAGGCTTTGTTTCTGTATTAACATAAAGAAATGTATTATATATTCTATGAATTAATGGCATCCATTATCTATCTTTTAAATGGAACCACATTGTATATAAATAGTCTTTAAGTTTACTTATGCTGTTTTTCTTCGTATAAAATTTGCATGTTTTATAAAAGAAAATTATATTTAGAAATATAATACGAAGGCATTAAAATGAGGAAAACAACATGAAATGTATAAAAGAGAAGATTAACAATTTCTTCCAGAAAAACAATTCTAAATCTGTGGAGGTTAAAAGATGTTAAAAGTATGGAATAAATGCCTAATAATTTTTTCCATAACCAATCAAAGACACATATACTTACCAACATGTAACTCTTTCTGTTTGTTGTTACAAAAAATGAGTTTGTATTATACACATTACTCCGAACATGTTTTATTTATTTAATAATATCTCATAGTAACCACATAAACTTAAATATTTTAAAAATATCTGCACAAAATTCCAGCAAATGTGTCCACCAAAACATAGTAATTCTCAAAATGAACATAACTGAGACAGTTTCCAATTGTTTTCACAAATATGCAAACATATTCTCAGATGGTATAATAAAAAAGTTAAACAATTTGTGGATTACCATTTCAAATGTTTCAGTAAACAATTCTCCAAACACCAATGTATGAGAGACAAGCTAATCACCTCAACAAGAAATACCTGTTATCATACTTTAAATTTCTATAAATGATAAAGAAAACATAGTATATGTTTGATTTATTGTACCTTAATAGAATTTTAAAAGTGGACAATTTTTTAAGAATTTAGTAATCCAAAATTTCTTAGTCATGATGATCTCCTCATTTTGATGTAGAAAAATAAATTTTAATTTAAATGAATCTCTATAAAGGGTCATTGCGTATGAATCATTTTAATCATCTTTGCAACATAGGTTTAAATCTCTTTACCAGATACTATACTGTATTTTGGTTTAAAATTAAGTGTTTTTAGCATTTTTATTAAAATATTTTCATTATCAAAGAGTAAATAATTTATTGATGGCTTTCAAATTTTCCTGATTTCTCAGAAAGATCTATTTAAGCCAAGTCATATAGTCTATAAAATCATGAATTTATATTAAAATGAGTTGATTTATCACTACTTTAAGAATAAATTTCTCAGTGTAGTAAAAATTGTGTATAAGATATGACAGAAATGTAAAAAGCATTATAGAATGAAGTAAAGGTTAAATATATATTCCAAAAATATATTCTCTATTAGCTATTAATGACACATAAAATATGACATTTCTTACTATCACATTTGATCAAATTAAAAAAAAAAAGAAATACCCCAAAATATGATCAAGAGTCTAAGGTGAACAGCGGAAGAGAAGATGTGGTTCACCAGGTATGGTGGCTCAGGTCTGTAATCCCAGCACTTTGGGAGGCCGAGGTGAGCAGATCACGAGGTCAAGAGATGGAGGCCATCCGGGCCAACATGGTGAAACACCATCTCTACTAAAAGTACCAAAAAATCAGCTGGGCATGGTGGCATGCACCTGTAGTCCTAGCTGCTCAGGAGCCTGAGGCAGAAGAATCGGTTGAACCTGGGAGGTGGAGGTTGCAATGAGTCAAGGTCACACCACTGCACACCAGCCTAGACAACAGAGCGAGACTCCCTCTCAGAAAAAAAAAAAAAAATGTGGTTCATAACTTGGGTCACTTAAACAATAAGCAAAAGAAAATTAAAACATATGATGCAAAAGAGAAATGATCTTCTTAAAATAATGACTTAATAATCCCTAATTGATATATAATCAACTTTAATAAAACTGTTTCTTAAATGCCCTGATAAGCCACGAAAAAAAAAAGTTACAGAGTAAAATAAATGGAGAAAAAATATTTCATATAACATTCAATAAAGCCATTCAATAACCACTCAAAAACAACTCAATAAAAAAAGACTCAAAAACCATGAAATTAAAAGAAGATAAGATATCACTATGAATCCACCACTGGGAAGAAGAAAAATTCACCACCTAAAATGACTACCTTCGGTCCAGAAAAATTGATAGAAAGAAAATGCAAAAATCAATTACAATCTGAAAGTACTAAATAAAAAAGTAAAAGAACAAATTGAAAAACACAAAAGAAAAAAACTGAAACTGATACCAATTATGTTAAAAATAATGTAAAGCAGTGAAAATAAAAAATGAAAAACAAAAAAAAAGACAAAAGAATCAGACTGAGAAGAAGCAATGACAATGAACGGGAGTGGCAAAGAGACACCAGTGACATCCCCGTGAAAAAACACACAACCAAGAAGCTTTGTGATGATGGGATCCTTTCCGAGTGTAAGTTTTTAAGCAGTTTGACCAAGAAAGCTCCAGTTTCACACCAACTGCTGGGGCCTATCTGATAACAGACTTCCTGCATTCATTCTCAAAGGAACGCCCAAGTTACCCAATCAATGGCATGATGACCCAGGCCTGGAGACAAAAAAGCATGCCCATCGCAAGTGGTGATTCAGAGCCTGTATGGGAGAGTTTGTGGGCAGTGTTATGCCTGTGGGGGTGCATGTGCGTACATGTCTGTGTGGGGGAACACTTGGGCCCACACCCTTGTGCCCGTGTCAAGTTTCTTGTGTGTTTCTCTGCTTGTGTGTTTGTGATTATGTTTTGGGGTGTGGAGTCCCTTCTGAGTGCGTGTGTGGGTGTGTCTGTGGTCTGTGGGCATCTGCCTGTGTGAGTGAGAGTGGGAAAATGGGCACGTGGCAGAGACAGCCTGCCTGTACACACTGAAATGTGGATCGCTGTTGTGTTCACATGGCTGGGCTGGAAAGAAAGGCAACAGGACACAACTTGCCAAGGCTCCCACTGGCTCAGGATTGGACATTTACAGAGTCCACAAAAAGAATGGGGACAAACAGCGAGCCAAGAGGTACTGGGAAATCCATGAATTCACGATGACATTTCACTTAAAAGTAACTCCTGGGTGGTGTTTTATATATATACTTTAAGTTCTAGGGTACATGTGCACAATGTGCAGGTTTGTTACATATGTATACATGTGCCATGTTGGTGTTCTGCACCCATTAACTCATCATTCACATTAGGTATATCTCTAATGCTATCCCTCCCCCTCCCCTCACAGCAAGACAGGCCCCGGTGTGTGATGTTCCCCACCCTGTGTCCAAGTGTTCTCATTGTTCACCAGAGAAACTGAACTGGTGACTTTCATCTCTGCTTCTTTAAAAATGAAAGTGAAGCCTCCTTCCAGGCCTGGTGCTGCAAGGGGACACACCCATCACCAATGAGCAGAAGAAGCAGTCTCGATAGAACATTTGTCCCGCAGAGAGCTGAAAGTGAAAGGAAAAAGGAAGAAGAAGAAGAAAGAAAGAGGAGAAAAAGAACAACAACAAGTGGCAGCTTCGTGTCACCAAAGCTGTCCTGAAAGATCTAGTTCAGGGGTGTATCACTGCGTGGTGACATACACAACAAGTGACAAAGAGATATGAGTGACGTCCGGGTGAAAGGACACACCACTGAAAAGCTTCTCATTGATGGGGTCCTTTCTGAGTGGGATCAAGGGCTCTGATCCACAAGTAGCCTTGCAGGAGCAAAAGAGAACAAAGGTACAGGCAAAATCTTGCCCTCTGAATATCATCAGCACACTTCAAGGGGCCATCAAGTCCCTAGTACATAAGGCCAAGGGAGGGAAGGACTCTGGAAATGGGAGGAGAGATGAAAAATGGGGAGAAACCGGACACCAAGAAAAAGAGGTAATCAGCCACCTATGGCAATAGGGAGGGCAGAAAGAGGAGGGGGATTCTGATTATGCACTTCAGGGGTCAGCCAGGATCCATCTAATTTTCTTAGGAAAAGTAAGCATGTTCTCCCTAATGATGTGCCTGTGCCCACCCGACCCTCCCCAAACCACAAGTGGACTAAAAGTAAAGACAGTGAAGATAAAAAAAAGTGGGAAGCTGGCAAGATGGTGGAATAGGAGCAGTTCCAGTCTGCAGCTCCCAGCGAGATCGATGCAGAAGATGGGTGATTTCTGCATTTCAAACTGAGGTACCAGGTTCATCTCACTGGGACTGGTTGGATAGTGGGTGCAGCCCAAGGAGGGTCAGCCAAAGCAGGGTAGGGGTGTCACCTCACCAAGAAAGTGCAAGGTGTCAGGGAACTCCCTCTCCTAGCCAAGGGAAGCCATTAGGGACTATACCATGCACTCCAGCACAGACACTGCACTTTTCCCATGGTCTTCACAACCCGCAGACCAGGAGATTCACTCCAGTGCCCATGCCACCAGGGCCCTGGGTTTCTAGCACAAAACTGGGTGGCCGTTTGGGCAGACACCAAGCTAGCCACAAAAGTTGTTTTTTTTTCATGCCTCAGTGGCACTCAGAAGTCCAGCCAGACAAAACCATTCACTCCCTTGGAAAGGAGGCTGAAGCCAGGGGGCCAACCGGTCTGGCTCGGCGGGTCCCAACCCCATGGAGCCCAGCAAGCTAAGATCTACTGGCTTGAAATTCTTGCTGCTAGCACACCACTCTGAGCTTGACCTGGGACCCTGGAGCTTGGTGGGGGGAGTGGCATATGCCATTGCTGAGGCTTAAGTAGGCAGTTTTACCCTTACAGTGTAAACAAAGCTGCTGGAAAGTTCGAACTGGGTGGAGCCCACCGCAGCTCAGCAAGGCCACTGTGGCCAACCTGCCTCTCCAGATCCCCTCCTCTCTGCACAGGGCATCTCTGAAAAAAAGGCAGCAGTTCCAGTCAGGGACTTATAGATAAAACCCCCACCTCCTTGTGACAGAGCACCTGGGGGAAGGAACAGTTGGGGGTGCAGCTTCAGCAGATTTAAACGTCCCTGCCTGGTACCTCTGAATAGAGCAGCAGATCTCCCACCACAGCGTTTGAGCTCTGATAAGGGACAGACTGCCTCCTCAAGTGAATCCCTGACACTCATGTATCCTGACTGGGAGACACCTCCCAGTAGGAACTGACAGATACCTCATACAGAAGAGCTCTGGCTGGCATCTGGCAGGTGTCTCTCTGGGACAAAGGTTCCAGAGGAAAGAACAGGCAGCAATCTTTGCTGGTCTGCAGCCTCCGCTAGTGATACCCAGGCAAACAGGGTCTGGAGTGGACCTCCAGCAAAACTCCAGCAGACCTGCAGCAGAGGAGCCAGACTGTTAGAAGAAAAACTAACAAACAGAAAGGAATAGTATCAACATCAACAGAAAGAACATCCAATCAGAGACCTCAGCTGATGGTCACCAACTTCAAAGACCAAAGGTAGATAAATCCATGAAGATGGGGAGAAACCAGCACAAAAAGGTTGAAAATTCCAAAAACCGAACACTTTTTCTCCTCCAAAGGATCATAACTCCTCACCAGCAAAGGAACAAAACTGGACAGAGAATGAGTTGGAAAAATTAACAGAAGTAGCCTTGAAAAGGTGAGTAATAACAAACTCCTCCAAGCTAAAGGAACATGTTCTAACCCAATGCAAGGAAGCTAAGAACCTTGAAAAAAGGTTAGATGAATTGCTAACTAGAATAACCAGTTTAGAGAGGAAGATAAATGACCTGATGGAGCTGAAAAACACAGCACAAGAACTTCGTGAAGCATACACAGGTATCAATAGCTGAATGGATCAAGCAGAAGAAAGGATATCAGAGATTGAAGATCAACTCAATAAAATAAAGCAAGAAGACAAGATTAGAGAAAAAAGAGTAACAAGAAATGAGCAAAACCTCCAAGAAATATGGGACTATGTGGAAAGACCAAAACTACATTTGATTGGTGTACGTGAAAGTGACAGGGAGAATGGAACCAAGTTGGAAAAGACTCTTCATGATATTATCCAGGAGAACTTCCCCAATCTAGCAAGGCAGGCCAACATTGAAATTCAGGAAATACAGAAAACACCACAAACATACTCCTCGAGAAGAGCAACCCCAAGACACATAATTGTCAGATTCACCAAGGTTGAAATGAAGGAAAAAATATTAAGGGCAGACAGAGAGAAAGGTTGGGTTACAAGGGAAGCCAATCAGACTAACAGCAGGTCTCTCGGGAGAAACCCTACAAGCCAGAAAAGAGTGGGGGCCAATATTCAACATTCTTAAAGAAAAGAATCTTCAACCCAGAATTTCATATTCAGCCAAACTAAGTTTCATAGGCAAAGGAGAAATAAAATCCTTTACAGACAAGCAAATGCTGAGAGGTTTTGTCACCACCAGGCCTGCCTTACAAGAGCTCCTGAAGGAAGCACTAAACATGGAAGGATCAACCAGTACCAGCCACTGCAAAAACATACTAAATTGTAAAGACTGTCAACATGATGAAGAAACTGCATCAACTAACAGGCAAAAAAACCAGCTAGCATCATAACGACAGGATTAAATGCACACATAACAATATTAACCTTAAATGTAAATGGGCTAAATGCCCCAATTAAAAGCACAGACTGGCAAATTGGATAAAGAGTTAGGACCCATTGGTGTGCTGTATTCAGGAGACCCATCCCACATGCAAAGACACACACAGGCTCAACAAAAGAGATGGAGGAATACTTACCAAGCAAATGGAAAGCCAAAAAAAGCAGGGGTTGCAATCCTAGTCTCTGATAAAACAGAGTTTACATGAACAAAGATCAAAAGAGACAAAGAAGGACATTACATAATGGTAAATAAATCAATGCAACAAGAAGAGCTAACTATCCTCAATATATATGCACTCAATACAGGAGCACACAGATTCATAAAGCAAGTTCTTAGAGACCTACAAAGAGACTTACATTCCCACACAAAAACAGTGGGAGACTTTAACACCCCACTGTCAATATTAGATAGATCAACGAGAAAGAAAATTAACAAGGATATCCAGGACTTGAACTCAGCTCTGGACCAAGTGAACCTAATAGACATCTACAGAACTCTCCACCCCAAATCAACAAAATATACATTCTTCTCAGCAGCACATTGCACTTATTCTAAAACTGACCAAATAATTGGAAGTAAAACACTCCTCAGCAAATGCAAAAGAACGGAAATTATAACAGTCTCTAAGACCACAGTGCAATCAAATTACAACTCAGGATTAAGAATCTCACTCAAAACCGCACAGCTACATGAAAACTGAACAGCCTGCATCTGAATGACTACTGCGTAAATAACGAAATAAAGGCAGAAATAAATATGTTCCTTGAATGAATGAGAACAAAGACACAACGTACCAGAATCTCAGGGATGCGTTTAAAGCAGTGTGGAGAGGGAAACTTATAGCACTAAATGCCCACAAGAGAAAGCAGGAGAGATCTAAAATCAACAACCTAATATCACATTTAAAAGAAATAGAGAAGCAGAAGCAAACAAATTCAAAATCTAGCAGAAGGCAAGAAATAACTAGGATCAAATCAGAACTGAAGAATACAGAGACAAGAAAAACCCATCAAAAAAATCAATGAATCCAGGAGCTCGTTTTTTGAAAAGATCAACAAAATAGATAGACCTCTAGCCAGCCTAATAAAGAAGAAAAGAGAGAAGAATCAAATAGATGTGATAAAAAATGATAAAGGGGATATCACCACTGATCCCACAGAAATACAAACTACCATCAGAGAATACTATAAATACTTCTATGCAAATAAACTAGAAAATCTTGAAGAAATGGATAAGTTCCTGGACATGTACCTTCTCCCAAGACAAAACCAGGAAGAAGTTGAATCCCTGAATAGACCAATAACAGGCTCTGAAATTGAGGGAGCAATTAATAGCCTACTGACCAAAAAAGAGTCCAGGACCAGACGGATTCACAGACGAATTCTACCAGAGGTACAAAGAGGAGCTGGTACCATTCCTTCTGAAACTATTCCAAACAATAGAAAAAGAGGGAATCCTCCCTAACTCCCCAACTTTTATGAGGCCAGCATCATCCTGATACCAAAGCCTGACAGAGACACAACAAAGAAAGAGGATTTTAGGCAGCATTTGAAAAAGCTTATCCACCACGATCAAGTCGGCTTCATCCCTGGGATGCAAGGCTGGTTCAACATATTCAAATCAATAAACTTAATCCATCACATAAACAGAACTAATGACAAAAAACCACACACTTATCTCAATAGATGCAGAAAAGGCCTCCGACAAATACAACAGCCTTCATGCTAAAAACTTTCAATAAACTAGGTATTGATGGAATGTATCTCAAAACAATAAGAGCTATTCATGACAAACCCACAGCCAATATCATACTGAATGGGAAAAAACTGGAAGTACTCCCTTTGAAAACTGGCACAAGACAAGAATGCCCTCTCTCACCACTCCTATTCAACACAGTATTGGAAGTTCTGGCCAGGGCAATCAGGCAAGAGAAAGAAATAAAGGGTATTCAATTAGAAAAAGAGGAAGTCAAATTGTCTCTGTTTGCAGATAACATGATTGTATATTTAGAAAACCCCATCGTCTCAGCCCAAAATCTCCTTAGGCTGATAAGCTACTTCAGCAAAGTCTCAGGATACAAAATCAATGTCCAAACATCACAAGCATTCCTATACCCCAAGAACAGACAAACACAGAGCCAAATCATGAGTGAACTCCCATTCACAATTACTACAAAGAGAATAAAATCCCTAGGAATCCAACTTATAAGGGATGTGAAGGACCTCTTTAAGGATAACTACAAACTACTGCTCAATGAAATAAAAGAGGACACAAACAAATGGAAGGACATTCCATGCTCATGGATGGGAAGAATCAATATCATGAAAATGGCCATACTGCCCAGGGTAATTTATAGATTCAATGCTATCCCCATCAAGCTACCCCTGACTCTCTTCACAGAATTAGAAAAAAACTACTTTAAAGTTCAAATGGAACCAAAAAAGAGCCCAAATAGCCAAGACAATCCTAAGCAAAGAGAACAAAGCTGGAAGCATCACGCTGCCTAACTTCAAACTACACTACAAGGCTACAGTAACCAAAACAGCATGATACTGGTACCAAAACAGATATATAAACCAATGGAACAGAATGGAGGCCTCAGAAATAACACCACACATCTACAGCCACCTAATATTTGATGAACCTGGCAATAACAAGCCATGGGGAAGGATTTTCTATTTAATAAATGGTGCTGGGAAAACTGGCTAGCCATATGCAGAAAGGTGAAACTGGAACCCTTCCTTACACTTTATACAAAAATTAACTCAAGATGGATTAAAGACTTAAACCTAAAACCTAAAACCATAAAAAACCTAGAAGAAAACCTAGGCAATACCATTCAGAATACAGGCGTGGGCAAAGACTTCATGACTAAAACACCAAAAGCAATGGCAACAAAAGCCAAAATAGACAAATGGGATATAATTAAACTAAAGAGCTTCTGTACAGCAAAAGAAACTATCATCAGAGTGAAAAGGCAACCTACAGAATGGGAGAAACTCTTTGCAATCTACCCATCTGACAAAGGGCTAATATCCAGAATCTACAAAGAACTTAAACCAATTTACAAGAAAAAAACAACCCCATCAAAAAGTGGGCGAAAGATATGAGCAGAGACTTCTCAAGAGAAGACATTTATGCAGCCAATGAACATATAAAAAAGCTCATCATCACTGGGCTTTAGAGAAATGCAAATCAAAACCAGAATGAGATACCATTTCATGCCCGTTACAATGGTGATCATTAAAAAGTCAGAAAATAACAGATGCTGAAGAGGATGTGGAGAAATAAGAATGCTTTTACACTGTTGGTGGGAGTGTCAATTAGTTCAACCACTCTGGAAGACAGTGTGGCAATTCTTCAAGCATCTAGAACTAAAAATACCATTTGACTCATCAATCTTATTACTGGGTACATACCCAAAGGATTATAAATCATTCTACTCTAAAGAGACATGCACACATATGTTTACTGCGGGACTGTTCACAAAAGCAAAGACTTGGAACCAACCCAAATGCCCATCAATGATAAGATGGATAAAGAAAATGTGGCCCATATACATCATGGAATACTATGCAGCCATAAAATGGATGAGTTCATGTCCTTTGCAGAGACATGGATGAAGCTGGATACCATCATTCTCAGCAAACTAACAGAAGAACAGAAAACCAAACACCACATGTTCTCACTCATAAGTGGGAGTTGAACAATGAGAACACATGGACACAGGGAGGGGAACATCACACACCGGGGCCTGTCATGGGGTGGGGAGCTAGGGGAGGGATAGCATTAAGAGAAATACCTAATGTAGGTGACGAGTTGATGGGTTCAGCAAACCACCATGGCACGTCTATATCTATGTAACAAACCTGCGTGTTCTGCACATGTACCCCAGAACTTTAAGTATAATAAAAAAAAAGTGAAGGGAGAAAAACTCCAAAAGTACACAAAGAATTAGAGTGAGCAATGAGGATGAGAGTGAATTGGAATGCAGAGTGTACCAAGTAGACAGGTAGTAGCCCAAGTGGCCTCCTGTGGCCTCACAGAGGAGGAAGAGCCATCAGCCAAGAGAGTCAGCCCCTTAGTCCCAGGTCTGCACCACATTGGCACAGAGGCCTGGCAAGCCTGGAGGCTGCCCTGGTCCCCACTGCCCCCACCACCACCCCATCCTGCATCCTCTGCCAGCAAATATTGGAAAGCCACACAGATAGGGACAAGAAAGATGAACAAAAGAGAACCTGGAAGCTGAGGAACCCTGCCCAGTTAGAGTTGTCTAGACAATGGGATCCAGGTTTTACGGGAGGTGCCTGGGCCTACACTTTTGAGTGACTATGGGTGAGGATACATGTATGTGCCTGAGGATGTATGGAAGCACAGATAAAGACAGGAAAAAGGTGAGATGTGATGGGAGTTAAATGTTAAAAATGAGGACCTCTGACATTCAGACTCCCAATGCCACCCCGAAGAACTCTGTCCAGATCTTCCTGCATTCCTTTCTTCTTGCATTTTCCTTATGCAGGCACTGGAGGTGCCCCCATGGTGATTACTACACATGAGAAAAGGATCCACATTTGTTGACAAGTGACAGAAAGGGAGTGATTCCTGTTCCATGGTACTGTTGCCCTTCTTCCTGGAATGCCCTGAGAGTGCAAGCCCATGCATGAAACTGACGTTCGTGAGAGTAGGTCATACCCCTCTGAGTGTGGGAATCATAACCTGTAGGGTGAATTTTCTCTCCTCTAAAGCTCTGCACGTTCCCAGTGCAGCCTACACATCCAGGAAGACTTGTAACAAGCGAAGAAAGAAAACATTTGCAATATTCTGAGATGGTTGTGTTCCATGCTGCTCTCCAGTCACTGAGAGGCATGGGTAAGACATGCAACCTTTAGAGCAATGAGGCCACAGCTTTGCATCTCAACAAGTGTTCTGTATGAAGGACCCATGCATGGCTTTCCCATTTCTGCCTGGAGACCCAAAAGGGGTGGCACAATTTGTCCTCCACTGTCTCATCCATTTTCCAGGCTGAATAATCTGACAAGCAATAGAATTCAGCTTGAGGAGCCCAGAGTGCTCGGTATCAAACCAAGGAACAGCCACCTCACCATCTGCAAAGACACGCCAGCCTCAACCTTCACTTCCATGCCCAGCACAGGAACACAGAGGAGGCCCAGGCGAAAGTGAGCATGGCTGGGGCCTGGCTACCCATGTATTTGGCAGAATGACTAAGATGCCCGGGGAATTAACTGGTGAGCCATCACATTCAGTGAGCACACATGCTCCATCAGCTATGCCAAGTGGCTTTCTCTAGGAGAGCCGCCTGTGGAAGCCACCCAGAATACCCCTCCTACTCTTGGGCATGGATGAGTGCCTGGGCTCCAGTGAGAAAAGTAGCTGAAGGCCTGGGACAGGTGTCCAATCTGTCGAGTCTCATCCTGACAGACACCTGGCCCGACCTTCTTCTGCTAGAAGGGTCAACAATCTATGGATGCCTGTTGGACCTGGGTGCTTTTGATCCAAGCTTTTGTCCCTTCCCCAAGAAACAGTGTGTTCCCTATTTACAAGCGTAGTGCTCACAAGCAGGCAGCCTGGTCTCCTTAGGAGGCTTGTGCAAATTCAGAGAAGTAATCAGCAGTGGCCTACAAGCAGGCCCATGCACTCACACACCCCTCCCCCATACCCCTTCACATTGCCCCCAGTGCGACCTATCCCCACCATGCCACAGCCCCAAGGGTGGGATTTCTTGAGGATAGGCTCCTCTGGCTCACTGGGACCCCTGCCCAGAGAGGAATCCAGAGGGAAGGAGGGAGGCAGAGAGCCTTTCGCATGTTGCAGGTTTCCCCAAAGAGACCATGTAGGTGGGGAGTCCTGCTGTAGATGAGGTGAGCGCTCCTTGGCCGGTTTCTTTCTTTCTTTCTTTTCTTTTTGTTTTGTTTTGTTTTGTTGGAAGCAAAAGGAGAAAGAGAAAAGCAAGGGAAATAAGTGACTGCCATTTCTGGAGCCACACTGCCATCCAGCGGCAGTTGTTTCTGAACACGACCGGCTGCAGGGATACTTGCCTTCTGACAGGCACAGACTTCAGCGAGAATATGTCGGGCTGGGTGGACTCTGACTAAGCCAGAGTTTCCCCCATCGCGGTTTTAAACCTTTGAAGGAAGTGTGCCTGCCATTTGGACCCCACGGAGAAGCAGCTAATCTAGAGGCCCAGGGACAGAGCAGCCAGGCAGCCCCAAGACCAGTCAGTCCAGAGTGCGGAGGTGCCCTGGCAGCCATCTTGAGGTGGGCTTAAGGGAAGCCACTGACTACTGACGGCCGAGACTGGGGTCGTTTACACTGGTCTCTTTTGTGGGGAGTTCTGGGGTGCCCTTGCCTGGAATCACGCTGGGGCCAGAGGTCCCCTATCCTCCCAGTGAACCAAGGAGCTGTGGGGTGCTGTGGGCGGGACGACTCCTGCCCGGCAATTCCTGGAGATGGCCAGGGGAACCCATGGAGGGCCGCCCCTTCCTGCCCTTTTTTCGGAGAGGGCTGTGGAGCCCGGGTGCCATCCTGGTAATGAGCAAGGGCAAAGGGCCAGCCAGGAGTTCCTCTCTCGTCCAGCTTCAGCCTGGGGGCCCCACACCGCCACCATCTCTTTCGTGCTCCTGGGATTTCTCCAGCACTCATGCCCAGCTGCCTCCAGTTTCCAGAAACAGATTCCGCTCGATGGCACTATGGCTCTACAAAGGCCAACTACAAGCTTAACCCTGCCCCTCCAATCCGACGGCCTCCACCCTTTCCAATGTGAAAAAAAGAAAAGGGAAAGAGAAACAAAAAAAAGACAGGGAGGATAAAAAGGAGCCAGCCACCTGGTCTCAGGTTGACCACCAAACTTAAGGGACCCTACGACCTAGGACCAGTAGGCAGGAGACACTGCGGAAATCCTCTTTATGCCGCCAGCCTTTGCTTTTCCTTTGGCCCTCTCCAGGTTTCATGGCTCATGCTCATGCAGAAAAATAGAAGACAAATGATACATAATCATGGCCACTGGGAAACCACAGGAAGACTGGGATCATGGGGCTGCCGCCCCAGGACAAGGTGCTGGTCACCCAGCTGAATTACCCAAGGTTTTGCTGCAGGACTGGTGGTTCTCCCAAAGCCTGGAGCTCCAGATAGAGTTTACCACCTTGGGCTGGCACATGGAGGTCACCAAAATGAGCGAACAGCTCAACAGGCAGTCACAGGGCGTGTGGCAGGAATCTCCCTCAGAGGGGATACTCAGCAACTGACTGAAGTCTGACTCTGTGCAGGCTGTCCTGGCTTTCACATGGGGTGGGGGGGAGGGGTGACATGAGGGTGGCTTAGGGGAACTGGGGAAGGCCACCACGCAACACAGATTCCCATGGCATCACAGAGGGCCAAGGGTCCCAAGGGGACTGTCTGCCTCTACCCAAGGTGTGGTCCCTTTTTAAGCAGGTTGACCCAGGAGGCTCCAGTTTCACACTGGCTGCTGGGGCTTATCTGATAACAGACTTCCCGCATTCATTCTCAGGAGAAGGCCTTAGGTGCCCAATCAACAGCATAATGACCCAGGCCTGGAGCCAGGAATCCTCACCCATAGCCCATTGCCTGTGGCCGACTGAGAGCCTTTATGGGAGAGTTCGTGGGCAGTCTGGTGGCTATGGCGACACATGTGTGTGTGCGTCTGTGTGGGTGAATGCTTGAGCCCGCACCCCTGGGCCTGTGTGAGGATTTGTGTGTGTGTGTGTGTGTGTGTGTGTGTGTGTGTGTGTCTATGAGTTTGTGAGTGTGCATGTGTTAGTGTATGTCTTTGTGTCTGTGTGTGTATCTCCCTGTGCATGTGTGTTTGTGATTATATTTGTGGTTGTCGGGGTTTCCCTGTGAGTCCATGTGGTTGTGTCTGTGTCTGTGGTCTCTGGGTGCCTGCCTGTGTGAGTGAGAGTGGGCAAATGGGCACGTGGGAGAGACAGCCTGCCTATACACACTGAAATCTGGATCGTTGTGTTCACATGGCTGGATTGAAAGAAAAGACAAAGGGGGACAACTTGCCAAGGCTCCTGCTGGCTCAGGATTACACATTTAGAGCATCCACAAAGAGAATGGGAAAGAATGGTGAGCCATGAGGAACAGGTTAAGGGGTGGGTTCATGGTGACATTTCATGAAAAGTAACACATTGGCGCCTTTGTGGAACACCAGAGGGACTGAACTGGTGACCTTCATATCTGCTCCTTTAAGAACAAATGAGGCCTTTCTCACTTTTGTTCTGCAAAGGGGCATCCTGCATCACCAGGAGCAGAGGAAGAAGCAGTCTCAGTATAATGCTTGACCCGCCAAGAGCCAAAAGTGAAAGGAAAAAGAGAAGAAAGAAGAGAAAAATGAGAAGGAGAAGGAGAAGGAGTAGAAGAAAAAGAAAAAGAAAAAAGAGGAGGAGGAGGAAGAGGAAGAAGAACCAGAAAGACAATAAGAACAAGAAGTGGCAGCTTCACGCCACAGCAGCTGTCCTGAAGGACCTAGTTCAGGGGTGCCTCACTGCATGGTGGCATACACAACAAGAGGCAAAGAGAAACCTGTGATGTCCCGGTGAAAGGACACAACACCAAGAAGCTTCTTGTTGATGGGT
This sequence comes from Homo sapiens, assembly GCF_000001405.40. NCBI lineage: Eukaryota > Metazoa > Chordata > Mammalia > Primates > Hominidae > Homo > Homo sapiens. Next base: position 56,801,128 of record NC_000023.11, on the reverse strand, counting down.
TCTTTTCCGAGTGGTATCAAGGGCTTTGATCTACAAGTAGGCCTAGAGAAGCTACAGAGGACAGAGGTGCAGGCTGAGCCATGCCCTCCAGATGTCATCAGCGCACTGCAAGGGGCCACGGGCTTCTAATCTACAAGGCCTGGGTAGGGAAGTACCCCGGAAATGGGTGGGAGGAGAGATGTAAAACGGGGAGGAAATGGATACCAGAGAAAGGAGGTAATGAGCCACCTATGGCAACACTGACAGAAGGCAGATAGGGGAGGGGGATGCTGCTTACACCCCCAGGGTTCAGCCCGGGTCCTTCTGATTTCCTTAGGAAAAGTAGGCTTACTCTCCCTAAGGACATTCCTGTGCCCACCCGACCCTGCTTTTGCAGGCTGATCCTGAACTCCCTAAACCAGAAATTGATGAAAAGTAAAGAGTGAAGAAGAAAAAAGTGAAGGAAGAAAAACTCCAAAAGTACACAAAGAATCAGGGTGAGCAATGAGGTTGAGAGTGAACTGAAATGCAGGATATCCCAGGTGGAAAGGTGGCTGCCCAAATGGCCTCTTGTGCCTTCGTACAAGAAGAGTCACCTACCAGAGAAAAGCATCAGACCCTTAGGCCAGGGTTTGTACTGGGTCCACACAGAGGCCAGTGGAGCCAAGAGACTGCGCTGCTCCACACTGCCCCCACCCCCACACCATCCCACACACTCCACCAGCAAATACTGGGAAGCCAGACAGAAAGGGAGAACAAAAATGAATAAGAGAAAACCGGGAAGCTGAAGAACCCTTCCCATTGAGAGTTACCTAGATGTGGGGATCTGAGTGTGAGCACAGGTGCCTGGGCAGACACCTTTTAGTGAGTATTGGTGGGGATGCATGTATGTGCCTGAGAACATATAGAAGCACAGATGAAGACAGGAAAAAAGTTAGATGAGATGGGAGTTAAATATTACAAATGAGGATTTCTGACACTCAAAGTCACCTTGCCACCCCTAAGGACACAGTCCAGATCTTCCTGCATTCTTTTCTTCCTATGTTTTCCCTAGGCAGGCACCAGTCTCCTTCTGAGGAGACCTGTGCAGATTCATAGAAGAATCTGCAGCGGCCCACACACAGGCCTAAACACCCACACACCCCTCCCCCTTTACCCCCTCACACTGCCCCCGGTGCTACAAATCCACAGCAAAAGCATAGCATTTCTTGAGGATAGGCTCCTCTGGATTACTGGGACCCCCTGCCCAGAGAAGAATCCAGAGGGTAGGAGAGGCAGACATCACTCCTACTGTTGCAAGTTTCCCCAAAGTAACCACATAGGTGGGGAGCCCTGTTGAAGATGAGGTGGGTGCTGCTTGGGCAGTTTCTTTGTTTCTTTGTTTTTTTTGTGTGTGTTTGTTTTGTTTGGTTGGCAGCAAAAGGAAGGAGAGAAAGGCAAAGTGGAGGAAGGAAAAGGGGTGATTGCCATTTGTGGAGTCACAGTGCCATCCGGCGGAAGGTGTTTCTTGACAACAGACTACAAGGACACTTGCCTTCTTCCAGTCACAGATATCAGCGAGGATGTGCCAGGCTGGGTAGACTAGGCCCAAGCCAGGGTTTCCCCCACTGGGGTTCAGAGCCCTTAAGGAAGTGTACCTGCCATTGGAACTCCATGAAGAAGCAGCTAAGCTAGAGGCCCGGGGACAGAACAGTCTGGCAGCCCCAAGACCAGTCAGCCCAGTGGGCGGAGCTTCCCCATCTTGAAATGGGTTTAAGAGAAACCACTGTTCACTGACTGCCGAGACTGGGGCCATTTGCTCTGGTCTCTTTTGTGGAGAGTTCAGGGGTGCCCTTGGCTGGGGCCACGCAGGGACAGGGGCACCCTATCCTCCCTGGGAACAAAGAAGTTTTGGGATGCTGGGGTGGGGCAACTCATGCCAAGCAGTCTCTGGGGGCTGCCAGGGGAACCCATGGTGGGCCGCCCCTGCCTGTCCATTCTTACAAAGAGAGCTGTGGAGCCAGGGCGCTATCCTGGGAATGAGCATAGACCATGGGCCAGACAGGAGTTCCTCTCCCAGCTTCAGCCTGGGGGCTCCACACCACCATCTGTCTGGCACTCCCGAGCGTTCCTCAGCACATGAGCTCAGGTGCCTCCCATTTCCAGAAACAATTTCCACTTGATGGCACTATGGCTCCACAAACGCCAAGTACAGTTGTAACCCTGCTCCTCCACCCTGAGGGCCTCCACCTTTTCCAATGTGAAAAAAGCAAATAGGAAGGAGAACGAGAAAAAGACAGGAGGGAGAGAAAGGAACGAGCCAACTGGTCCCAGGTTGACCACCAAAACTCACAGGTCCCAATGACCAAGGACCAGTAGGCTGGAGACCCTGCAGGAATACTGTTTAGGCAGCCAGTCTTTGCCCTTCTTTGGCCTTCTCCAGGTTTCATGTCTCCTGCTCCTGCAGAAAGTAAAAGACAAATGACAGATAATCATGGGCACTGGGACACAAGAGGCTTGGGATTAAAGGGCTGCCGTTCCAAGACAAGGTGCTGGTCACTCAGCTGGCTTACACAAGGTTTTACTGCAGGACTAGGAGTCCTCCCAAAGGCTCTAGGTAGTTTACCGCCTTGGGCTGGCAGATGGAGGTCACCAGAACGGGCAGACTGCTCAACAGGGAGCCACAGGACCTGAGGCAGGTGTATCCCTTAGAAAGCACACTCAGCAACTCGTGCAAGTCTGACTCTGCACAGGCTGTCCTGGCTTTCACACAGGCAGGGGTGGGAGGATGTGGCTTAGGGGGACTCAAAAAGGCCACCACGTTGCCACAGATTCCCATGACATCACAAAGGGCTAAGGATCCCAACAGGACTCTCTCTGCCTCTATCTGAAAGGGGAGTCTGTTTTTAAGCGGGTTGACCCAGGATGCTCCAGTTTCACATCTGCTGCTGTGGCCTTTCTGATAAAAGATTGCCCGCATTCATTTTTGGGAGAAAGCCAAGTTGCCCAATCAATGGCATGAGGACCCAGGCCTGAAGCCAGGAATGCTTGCCCATAGCCCATTGCTTGTCAGAGATTAAGAGCCCGTATGAGACAGTGTGGGCAGTCTCATGCCTGTGGCTTTGTGTGTTTGTTTACCTCTAAGTGTGAGAATGCTTGAGCCCCAACCCCTGTGCCCATGTGAGGTTACCTGTTTATTGGTCTGGTTGTGTATGTGTGACTTTATGTGTCAGTGTGCCTGCGTGTGTGTGTCTGCATGTGTGTTTGTGTCTGCATCTGCATGTATCTCCATGTGTGTATGGGTTTTGTAATTTCATTTCTGGTTGTGGGGTTTCTTGTGAGTGTGTGCATGTGTTCTGTGTCTGTGGTCTGTGAGTTCCTGCTTGTGTGAGTGAGAGTGGGCAAATTGGCACATGGCAGAGACAGCCTGACTGTACACACTGAAATCCGTATCGTTTTGTTCACCTGGCCTGACTGGAAGGAAAGGCAATAGGGGAACAATGTAACAAATTGCTGAGGCTCCTACTGACTCAGGTTTACACATTTAGAGAGTCCACAAGGAGAACAGGAAAGAATGGTGGGCTATAAGGTACTAGGTACAGGGTGTGTTTACCATGACATTTCACTTAAAAGTAACACGAGGACAGCTTTTTGGTGGAAAAGAAGGACTGAACTGGTGACCTTCATCGCTGTTCTTTTAAGAAGAAAAGTGAAGCATTTCTTGAGGCCTAGAGCTGCAGAAGGACATTCCCCATCACCAAGGAGAAGAAGAAGCAATCTGCTAGAACATTTGCATGCAGAAATCCAAAAGTGAAAAAAAAAGGAAAGAAAGAAGAACAAGTAGAAGAAGAAGGAGAAGAAAAGTAGAAAAAAAGATGTAGAAGGAGAAATAGAAAAGAAGGAGAGAAAGAAAAAGAAGGCAAAAAGAGAAGTCAAAGAAGAAAAGAAGAAGGAGAAGGAGGAGGAAAAGGAAAGAAGGAGAGAAGAAGAGGAAGAGGAAGAAGAAGAAGGAGAAGGAGGGAAGGGGAAGAAGAGGAAGAAGAAGAAGAAAGAAGAAGAGGGAAAGAAAAAGAAGAAGAAGGAGAGGGAGTTGGAGGAGGAGGAGGAGGAAAGGAGGAAAAGAACAATAAAGAAGAGGAGCAGGAGTAGGAAAAGGAAGAAGAAACAGAAGGAGAAAAAGAATAGGAAGTGGGAGGTCCATGACACTGTAGCTCTCCTGAAGGATCTAGTTCAGGGGGACCTGAATGTGTGATGACATACACAACGAGTGGCAGGGAGCCACCGGTCATGTCCCACTTAAAGGACACACAACCGAGAAGCTTCTTGTCAATGAGATCTTTCCTGAGTGGGATCAAAAGCTTTGATCCACAAATAGTCCTGCAGGAGCTACAGAAGACACAGGTGTAGGCTGAACAGTGCCCTGAGGATGTCATCAGCAGACTGCAAGGAACCACTGAGCCCCAAGCCTACAAGGCCAAGGCAGGGAAGGACCCCCAAAAAGAGAGGAAGATGAAAAACGGGGAGGAAATATATATCAGGGAAAAGAGATAATCAGCCACAAATGGCAATATGGAGAGAGGGCAGAAAGGAAAGGGAAATGCCAATCACTCCTTGCAGGGATCAGCTGGGGTCCTTCTAATTTCCTTAGGAAAAATAAGTTTGTTTTCCCTAAGGGTGTTCCCTAGCCCAGTTGACCCTGACTTCCAGGCTGATCCTGACCTCCCCAAACAAAAGTGAATGAAAAGTAAAAAGAGTAAAGAAGAAAAAAGTGAAGGGAGAAAACCTCCAAAACTACACAAAGAATCAGAGTGAGCAATGAAGTTGAGAGTGAACTGGAATGCAGAGTGCTCCAGGTGGGCAGCTGGCAGCCCAAGTGGCCTCCTGTGGGCTCACAGAGAGGGAGCCATCAGCCAGGAGAAAGAGTCAGTCCCATAATCCCAGATCTCCACCACATCCGCACAGAGGCCTGTTAGGCCAGGGGGCTGCCCTGCTCCCCGCTGCCCCCACCCCAACCCCATCCTGAACATTATGCCAACAAATACTGGGAAGTCAGACAGAAAGGGACAAGAAAGATGAAGAGGGAACCGGAAACCTGAAAAACTGCCCACTGAGAGCGGCCTAGAGGACCAGACACAGGTGTGAATGAAGGTGTCTGGGCAGACACTTATGAGCATGGGTGGGGATACATGGATGTGCCTGAGGACCTATGCAAGCACAGATGAAGACAGGAAAAAGTTGAGACATAATGGGGGTTAAAAGTTAAAAACGAGAACCTCTGAAACTCAGAGTCACAATGCCACCCCTAAAGACACAGTCCAGATCTTCCTGCATTCTTTTATTCTCGCGTTTTCCCTAGGCAGGGCCAGAGGTGCGCCCGTGGTGGATGCTACCTACATATGAAAAAAGGACCTGCATTTGTTGACAATTAAAAGAAATCGGGTGAAGCCTGTTCCATGGTCATGTGGGTCTTCTCCACGGAATGCCCAGAGAGTGCAGGCCCATACACGAGATTGACGTTCCTCTTGTGAGAGTGGTTCACGCACCCCTGATTGTGGGAATCATTACCCATGGGGTAAATTTTCTGTCCTGTGAAACTCTGCCTGTTCCCAGTGCAGCCTACACATCAAGAAAGACTTGTAACAAGCAAAGACAGAGAACAGTTGCAATATTCAGAGAGCATTGTGTTCCAAGCTGCTGCCCAGGCACTGAGCAGCATGGGTAGCATATGTAACCTTTAGAGCAACACGGTCATGGCTTCGCATCCCAACATGGGCTTTGTATGATGGACCACGTCAGGCTTTCTTATGTCTGCCTGGAGACCCTAAAGGGCCGGCATAATTTGTCCTCGACCATCTCATTCATTTTCTGGGATGAATATCCAGCAAGCACCAGAGTTTACCTTGAGGACCCCAGAGAGCTCTGTATCAAACCAAGGCACAATTGCCCAACCACAAATTAAAACACTCCACATAAAATCTCTCCTTTCACACGCAGCACAGCAACACAGACAGGCCCAGGTGAAAGCGAGCTACCCATGCACTTTGGCAGAATGACCAAGATGCCAGAACAACTAACTGGTGAACCACCACGTTCCAGTAAGCATGCATGCTCTATCAGACATGCCAAGTGGCTCTCTCTCCAGAAGAGCCAACTGTGAAATTCACCCAGAAATACCCCTCCCACTTCTGGGCACGAATGAGTGCCTGGGCTCCAGTGAGAGAGGTCGCTGAAGGTCTCAGACAAGAGTCCCTCCCATCCAGTCCCATCACAAGAAATATCTGGCCCGAATCCCTGCAGCTGGATGGGTCAACAATGTATGGATACCTGTTTGAACTGGCTGCTTTCCATCCAAGCTTTTAACCTTTCAGCAAGAAAAAGACTGCTGCCTAGAGACAAGTGTGGTGTGCACCAGCATTCGGCCTGGTCTCTTCTTAGGAGACCTGTGCAGATTCATAGAGGAATCGGCAGGGGCCCACACGCAGGCCCACTCACCCACACACCCCTCCCCCTGTACCCCCTCACACTGCCCCCAGTGCAACCTACCCCCACCATGCCACCGCCTAAGGGTGGGATGTATTGAGGATAGGATCCTCTAATTCACTGGGACCCCTGCCCAGAGAAGAATCTAGAGGGAAGGGGGAAGGCAGAGAACCCTCCTACTGTTGCAGGTTTCCGCAAAGTGACCTCGTAGGTGGGGAGACCTGCTATAGGTGAGGTGGGTACTCCTTGGACAGTTTCTTTCTTTGTTTCTTTGCTTTTGTTTTTTTGTGTTGGTTTTGTTCAGTTGGCAGGAAATGGAGAAAGACGAAGGCACAGTGGGGGAAGAAGAAGACATGACTGCCATTTGTGGAGTCGCAGTGCCATCCAGCAGAAGGTGTTTCTGAACATGACAACAGGCTGCGGAAACACTTGCCTTCTGCTAGGCACCGAGGTCAGCAAAAATATGCGGGGCTGGGTGGACTCTGCCTGAGCCAGGGTTTCCCCGACCAGGGTTTAGAGCCCTAGAACAAAGCGTACCTGCCGTTGGGACCCCTTGGAGAAGCAGCTACTCTAGAGGCCCAGAGACAGAGCAGCCATGCAGCCTGCAGACCAGTCAACCCACAGGGTGGAGCTGCCCCAGCAGCCATTTTGAGATGTGCATAAGGGAAGCCACTGGCAACTGATGGATGAGAATGGGGCTGTTTACCCTGGTCTCTTTTGTGGGCAGCTCCGAGGTGCCCTTGGGGGGCCACAGGGGGAACAGGGAGCCCCTACCCTCCCGGGAGGAAAAGGAGCTTCAGGATGCTGAGTGTGGGGTGACTCATGCCTGGCAGTTCCTGGAGACTGCCAGGGGAAGCCATTTTCTGTCCTATGAAGCTCTGCTTGCTCACAGCCGGCCTGACTGCCCTTTCCTAAAGACAGCTGTGGAGCCAGGGTGCCATCCTAAGAATGAGCCCAGGCGAAGGGCCAGCAAGGGGTTCCTCTCTCATCCAGCTTCAGTCTGGGGGCCACACGCCACCATCTCTTTTGTGCCCCTCGGATTTCCCCAGCAGTTGTGCCCAGCTGCCTCCCGTTTCCAGAAATAGTTTCCGCTTGATGGCAGTATGGCTCCACAAATGCCAACTACTACCTCAACTGCCCCTCCAAGCTGAGGCCCTCCATGCTTTCCCATGTGAAAAAAGTAAAGAGGAAGGAGAAAAAAAAGACAAGGAGAAGACAAAGGAACCAGCCACCTGGTCCCAGGTTGACCACCAAATTTAGGGGACCCTAGGACCAAGGACCTGTAGACTGGAGATCCTGCAGAATGCTGTAGAGGCAGCCAGCCTTTGCCCTTCCTTTGGTCCTCTCCAGGTATTATGGCTCCCACCAGTGCAGAAAGTAAAAGACAAAGGACACATAATCATGGCCTCTGGGAAACCACAGGAGGACTGGGATCACAGGGCTGCCACCCCAGGACAAGGCGCTGGCCACTCAGCTGGATTACAAAACAATTTTCCCCAGAACTGAGGGTCCTCCAAAGCCTGGAGCTGCAGGTAGAGTTTACCACCTTGGGATGGCACATGGAGGTCACCAGAATCCCGGAGTCTCCCTCACGGGGGACACTCAGCAACTCACTCAAGTCTGACTCTGCTCAGGCTGTCTTGGCTTTTACACAGGCGGGGTGGGAGGATGGTGGCTCAGGGAGGCTGAGGAAGGCCACCACGTGCCACAGATTCTCATGGCATCCCATAGGGACAAGGCTCCTGAGGGGACTTTCTCTGCCCCTACCCTGGTTGCAGGGTCCGTTTTTAAGCAGCTTGACCCAGGATGCTCCAGTTTCACACCTGCTGCTTGGGCCTATCTGATAACAGACTTCCCACATTCATTCTCAGGAGAAGGCCCTAGTTGCCCAATAAATGGCATGATGACCCAGGCCTGGAGCCAGGAATGCTCGCCTGTCTCACATTCTGCTTTGCACATTTAGAACCAGTGTGGAAGAGATTGTGGGCAGTTTTGGGCCTGTGGTGGGGTGTGTGTGTCTGTGTCCAATAATGCTTGAGCTCACACCCCTTTGCTAGTGTGAGTTAACTTGTGTGTGTTTGTGTGTGTGTGTGTCTGCTTGGGCGTATTTGACATGAATGTTTGTGTCTGCACGTGCATGTGTCTCTTTGTGTGCATGTGTTTGTGATTTTATTTCTGGTTGCAGGGTCCCTTGTGAGTAAGTGCATTGTGTCTGTGGTCTGTGGGTGCCTGCCTGTGTGAGTGAGAGTAGGCAAATGAACACGTGGCAGAGACACCCTGCCTGCACACCCTGATATCCAGATCAATGTGTTCACATGGCTTGACTGGAAAAAAAAGAGACAGAGGACAAGTTGCCAAAGCTCCTAATGGCTCAGGATTACACACTTCCAACATCCTTAAGGAGAATGGGAAATAATGGCAACCCATGAGGTACGAGGTAAGGGTGCGTTCACCACGACATTTTACTTAAATATAACATGTGGGCAGCTTTTTGGTGGACCAGAGGGACTAAACTGATGACCTTCATCTGTGCTCCTGTAAGAAAGAAAGTGAAGCTTTCTCCAGGCCTAGTGCTGCAGACAGACATCCAGCATAACCAAGGAGCAAAAGAAGAAGCAGTCTCCTAGAACACTTGCCCACCCAAATCCAAAAGTGAAGTGAAAAAGAGAAGCATAAGAAGAGGCAAAAGCAAAGAAAAAAAAATTAAAAAGAAAAAAAAAGAGACAGAGGAGGAGGAGGACGAAGAAGAAGGAGAAAGAAAGGAAGAGGAAGAGGAAGAAGAAGAAGAACAACAACAACAATAAGAAGAAGAAGGAGGAGGAGGAGGAAAAATAGGAGTAGAAGAAGATGGAGGAGAAGATGAACTGGAAGAGGAGGAGCAAGAGGATAAAAAAAGGAAAATTAAAGAAAAAAAGTAGGAGGAGGAAGAGGAAGAAAAATCAGAAGGAGAACAAGAACAGAAAGGTCCATGCCACTGTAGTAGTCCTGAAGTATCCAGTTCAGGAAGACGTCAATGCATGGTGACATACATAATGAGGAACAAGGAGCCACTGGTCATGTTCCGCTTAAAGGACAAATAATCAGGAAGCTTCTTTTCGTTGGGATCTTTCCTGAGTGGAATCAAAACTTTGATCCACAAATAGGCCTACAGAAGCTACAGAGGACACAGGTGCAGGTTGAACATTGCCCTGAGAATGTCATCAGCCAACTGCAAAGAGCTACCCTGCCCCAAGTCTACAAGGCCAAGGCAGGGAAGGACCCCCCAAAAAAGAGGAAGATAATAAATGGGGATGAATCGGACACCAGGGAAAAGAGGTAGTCACCCACCAATGGCAATACGGAGACAGAGCAGAAATGGGAGGGAAATGCCAATTTCTCCCCACAGGGGTCAGCTAGAGTTATCCTAATTTCCTTAGGAAAAGTAAGCCTGTTTTCCCTAAGGGTGACCCCTCCCCCAGTAGACCATGACTTCCAGGCTGCTCCTGACCTTGCCAAACAAAAGTGGACAAAACGTAAAGACAGTGAAGAAGAAAAAAGTGAAGGGAGGAAAACTCCAAATGTACACGGAGAAACAGAGTGAGCAATGAGGTTGAGAGCAAACTGGAATGCAGAGTGCCTCAGGTGGACAGCTGGCAGCCTTGTGAGTGGCCTTCCGTGGCTTCACAGAAGAAGAGCCACCAGCCAAGAGAAAGCGTCAGCCCCTTAAGACTGGGTTTGCACCACATCTGCACAGAGGCCTGTTGGGCCAGGAGGCTGCCATGCTCCCCACTGCGCCCACCCCAACCCCATCCGCACGATCTGCCAGCAAATATTGGGAAGTGAGGCAGAAAGCGACAAGAAAGGTGAACAAGAGGGAACCTGAAAGCTGAGAAACTGCCCCTTAAGAGTTGCCTAGACAACCAGATCTGGGAGTGAATGGTGTCTGGGCAGGTGCTTGTTAGTATGCATGGTGAGATGTGTATGTATCTGAGGACCTTTGGAAGCACAGATGAAGACAGGAAAATGTTGAGACGTAATGGGAGTTAAAAGTTAAAAACGAGGACCTCTGAAACTCAGAGTTGCCATGTCACTCCTAAAGACGCAGTCAGATCTTCCTGCATTCTTTTCTTCTCCCATTGTACCTAGGCAGGGCCGGAGGTGCCCCGTGGTGCATGCTACCTACTTATGAGAAAAGAATCTGCATTTGTTGACAAGTGACCAAAAGGGGGTGACTCCTGTTCCATAGTCATGTGGGTCTTCTTCCCAGAATGCCCTGAGAGTAGAGGCCCACACACGAGATTGACACTGCTCTTGTGATGTGAGAGTGGTTCACACACCCCTGAGTGTGGGAATCAATACCCATGGGGTGAATTTTCTGTCCTATGAAGCTCTGCTTGTTCACAGTGTGGTCTACACATCCAGGAAGATTTGTAACAAGCAAAGAAAGAAAACATTTGCAATATTCGAAGAGCTGTGTGTTCCATACTGCTGCCCAGGCATCAAGCAGCATGGGTAGCATATGTAACCTTTAGAGCAACGCGGTCATGGCTTCGCATCCCAAAATGGGCTCTGTATGATGGCCCAAGTGAGGCTTTCTTATGTCTTCCTGGAGACCCTAAAGGGGCAGCATAATTTGTCCTCGACTGTCTCATTCATTTTTCTGGATGAATATCCGGCAAGCACCAGAGTTTAGCTTGAGGACCTCAGAGAGCTCTGTATCAAACAAAGGCACAGACACTCCACCACACCCCCCACCAACACACTCCAGGCTCAACCTCCATTTCGACACGCAGAACAGGAACAAAGATAGGGCCCAGGAGAAGGCAAGCACTGTCTGGGCTCTGGCTACCCATGCACATGGGAAGAATGACCAAGATGCCAAGGCAAATAACTGGTGAACCACCACGTTCCAGTGAGCATGCACGCTCAGTAAGACATGACAAGTGGCTCTCTCTCCAGGAGAGCCACCTGTGAAAAAACCTGGAAAATCCCTCCAACCCCTGGACCCCTATGAGTGCCTGGGCTCCAGAGAGAGAGGTAGCTGAAGGCCTCGAACAGGAGTCAGTCCCATGCAGTCCCATCTCAACAAACATCCGACCCAACTCCCTGCTGCTCCATGGCTCAACAATGTGTGGATGCCTGTTGGACCTGGCTGCTTTCCATCCAAGATTTTGTCCCTTCCCCAAGAGGAAGAGTGCTACCTAGGGACAAGTGTGGTGCATGCCATCATGAGGCCTGGTCTCTTGCTTTGGGGACCTGGGCCAATTCCTAGAGGAATCTGCAGTGGCCTGCATGCAGGCCCACACACTCACACATCCCTCTCCTGTACCCCATCATACTGCCCCCAGTACAACCTACCCCCACCATGACACAGCCCTAAGGGTGGGATTTCATGAGAACAGACTCCTCTGGTTCACTGGGTACCCTGCCCAGAGAAGAATCCAGAGGGAAGGAGGGAGGCAAAGAACCTCCTACTGTTGCAGGTTCCCCCAAAGTGACCACGTAGGTGGGGATCCCTGCTGTAGGTGAGGTGGGTGATCCTTGGCCAGTTTCTTCGTTGTTTCTTTGCTTTTTGTTTTTGGCATTTGTTTTATTCCGTTGGCAGCAAATGGAGAAAGACAAGGCAAGGTGGGGGAAGGAAAAGACGTGACTGCCATTTGCGGAGCCACAGTGCCACCCAGAGGAAGATGTTTCTGAACATGACAACAGGCTGCAGGGACACTCGCCTTCTGCCAGGCACAGAGATCAGTGAAAATGTGCGGGGCTGGGTGGACTCTGCTTAAGCCAGGGTTTCCCCAACTGGGGTTTAGAGCCCTAGAACAAAGAGTGCCTGCCACTGGGACCCCTTGGAGAAGCAGTTACTCTAGAGGCCCTGACACAGGGCAGCCAGGCAGCCCCAAGACGAGTCAGTCCACACAGTGAAGCTGCCCCCCAGCCATTTTGAGATACGCATAAGGGAAGCCACTGGCCACTGACAGCCAGAGAATGAAGTGGTTTACTCTGGTTTCTTCTGTGGGCAGTTACAGCTTGCCCTCCTTGGCTGGGGCCACAGTAAGGCCAGAAGGCCCCTATCTTCCTGGTAAAAAAAAAAAAAAAGGAGCTACGGGGTGCTGAGTGTGGGGCGACTCATGCCCGGCAGTTCCTGGAAACTGCCAGGGGAAGCCATGGTGGGCTGCCCCAACTGCCCTTTCTTACATGCAGCTGTGGAGCCAGGGCACCATCCTGGGAATGAGCCCAGGCCAAGGGCCAGTGAGGAGCTCCTCTCTCATCCTGCTTCAGTCTGGGGGCCCCATGCCACCATCTGTTTTGTGCCCCTGGGCTTTCCCCAGCACTTGTGCCCAGCTCCCTCCCATTTCCAGAAACAGTTTCCACTTGATGGCAGTATGGCTCCACAAATGCCAACTACAACCATAACCTTGCTTCTCTAAGCTGATGGTCTCTGCCTTCTCCCATGTGAATAAAGAGGAAGGAGAAAAAAATAAAAAAGATAAGGAGAAGAGAAAGGAACAAGCCACCTGGTCCCAGGCTGACAACCAAACTCAGGGGACTCTAGCACCAAGGACCAGTAGCCTGGAGACCCTGCGGGAATGCTATGGAGGCAGCCAGCCTTTGCCCTTCCTTTGGTCCTCTCTAGGTTTCATGGCTCCCGCAGGTGCAGAAAGTAAAAGACAAAGAACACATTATCATGGCCTCTGGGAAACCACAGGAGGACTGGGATCATAGGGCTGCAGCTCCAGGACGAGGCGCTGGCCACTCGGCTGTCTTATACAAGGATTTGCCCCCAGACTAGGAGACTTCCCAAGGCCTGGAACTGCAGGTAGAGTTTGCCAACTTGGGATCATAAATGGAGGTCACCAGAATGGGCCACTGGGGCCACCCACTCAACAGGCAGCTACAGGGCCTGAGGCCAGAGTCTCCTCACAGGGGACACTCAACACCTCACTCAAGTCTGACTCTGCTTTCACACAGGCAAGGGTGAGAGGAGGGTGGCACAGGTTGGCTGGGGAAGGCCACCACACACCAGATTCTCATGGCATCACACAAGGACAAGGATCCCAAGGGGACTTTATCTACCCCTACCCCAAAGTGGGGTCCCTTTTTAAGCAGCTTGACCCAGGATGCTCCAGTTTCACACCTGCTGCTTGGGCCTATCTGATAACAGACTTCCTGCATTTATGTTCAGAAGAAGGCCTTAGTTGCCCAATAAATGGCATGATGACCCACACCTGCAGCCAGGAATGCTTGTTTGTCCCCCGTTCCCCTTTGCACATTTAGAGCCCATGTGGAAGAGATTGTGGGTAGCTTCAGGCCTGTGGTGGTGTGTGTCTGTGTACAACAATGCTTAAGCCCACGCCCCTTTGCTAGTGTGAGCTTACTTCTGTGTGTTTGTGTGTGTGTGTGCGTGTGTCTGCTTGGGCTTGTTTAACGTGTGTGTTTGTGTCTGTGTGTGCATGTGTCTGTGTGCATGTGTGTTTGTGATTTCATTTCTGGTTCATGTTCCCTTGTGAGTGCGTGCATTGTGTCTGTGTCTGTGGTCTGTGGGTGCCTACCTTTGTTAGTGAGAGTCAGCAAATGGACGTGCAGAGACACCCTGCCTGCACACACTGAAATCCGGATCAATGTGTTCACATGGCTGGACTGGAAAAAAGGAGAGAGATGACAACTTGACAAATCTCATAATGACTCAGAATTACACACTTAGAGCATCCAGAAGGAGAACGGGAAATAATAGTGAGCCATGAGGTACTGGGTGAAGGGGGCATTCATTCACCACGACATTTCATTTAAAAGTAACATGTTGGCAGCTTTTTGGTGGACCAGAAGGACTAAACTGGTGACCTCAATCTGTGCTCCTTTAAGAATGAAAGTGAAGCTTTCTCCAGGCCTAATGTTGCAGAGGAACATCACACATCACAAAAGAGCAAAAGAAGAAGCAGTCTCCTAGAACAATTGCCCGCCCAGATCCGACAGTGAAGGGGGGAAAAAAAGCTGAAGCAGAAGCAAAAGCAAAAAAAGAAGAGGCAAAGGAGGAGGAGGCAGAGGCACAAGAAGAAGAAGAAGAAGAAAAAGAAGAAGCAGAAAGAAGGAGAAGGAGGAGAAAGAAGAAGGAGGAGGGAGGAGATGATGGAGGAGAAGGAGGAGGAGAAGGAGAAGAAGAGGATGTTGGAAGAGAAGGAGCAAGAGGATAAAAAAGAGGAGAAGAAGAATTAAAGATGAGGATTAGAAGGAGGAAGATGAAGAAGAACCAGAAGCAGAAAAAGAACAGAAAGTGGGAGGTTCACGCCACTGTAGCTGTCCTGAAGGATCTAGTTCAGGAAGACCTCAATGCATGGTGATGTACACAACAAAGGACAAAGAGCCATAGTCACAGCCCTTTAAAGGACAAACAACTAGGAAGCTTCTTGTCAATGGGATCTCTCCTGAGTGGGATCAAAACTTTGATCCACATATGGGCCTGCAGAAGCTACAGAGGACACAGGTGCAGGCTGAACCTTGCCCTGAGGATGTCATCAGCCGACTACAAGGGGCCACCCAGCACCAAGTCTACAAGGCCAAAGCAGGGAAGGACCCCCTACCCCACCTCCAAAAAAAAAGATAATAAACAGGGATGAATCAGACACCAGAGAAAAGAGGGAATCAGCCACCCATGGCAATATGGAGAGAGGGCAGAAAGGGGAGGGAAATGCCAATTTTTCCTCACGGGGTCAGCTAGAGTCCTTCTAATTTCCTTAGGAAAAGTAAGCCTGTTTTCCCTGAGGGTGTCCCCGCAACCAGTCAACCCTGTCTTCCAGGCTGCTCCTGACCTCCCCAAACAGAAGTGGACAAAATGTAAAGACAGTGAAGGAGAAAAAAGTGAAAGGAGGGAATCTCCAAAAGTACACAAAGAATCAGAGAAATCAATGAGGTTGAGAGGGAACTGGAATGCAGAGTGCACCAAATGAATAGCTGGCAGCCCTGTGAGTGACTTCTTGTGTCCTCACAGAAAAAGAGCCACCAGCAAGAAGAAAGTGTCAGCCCCTTAAGCCCGAGTCTGCACCGCGACTGCATAGAGGCCTGTTGGTTCAGGAGGCTGCCCTGCTCTCTACTGCCCCAACCCCAACCCCATCCCGCACACACCATCAGCAAATATTGGGAAGCCAGACAGGAAACAACAAGAAAGGTAAACAAGAAGGAAAGGGAAAGCTGAAAAACTGCCCCCTGAGAATTGCCTAGACGACTGTACCCGGAGGTGAATGAAGGTGTCTGGCCAGACACTTGTGAGTGTGCGTGGGGATACGTGTATTTGTCTGAGGAACTATGGAAGCACAGATGAAGATGGGAAAAAGTTGAAGCGTGATGGGAGTTAAAAGTTAAAAACGAGGTCCTCTGACACTCAGAGTCGCAATGCCACCCCAAAGACACAGTCCAAATCTTCCTGCATTCTTTTCTTCTCCCTTTGTCCCTAGGAAGGGGCAGAAGCACCCCCTGGTGCATGCTACCTACATGTGAAAAAAGAATCCGCATTTGTTGACAAGTGACAGAAAGGGGGTGACTCCTGTTCCATGGTCATGTGAGTCTTCTTCCTGGAATGCCCTGGGAGTGCAGGCCCACACCCGAGATTGATGTTCCTCTTGTGAGAGTGGTTCACACTCTCATGAGTGTGAGAATCATTACCCGTGGCATGAATTTTCTGTCCTATGAAACTCTGCTCATTCCCAGTGCGGCCTACACATCCAGGAAGATTTGTAACAAGCAAAGACAGAAAACATTTGCAATATTTGAAGAGCTGTGTGTTCCATGCTGCTGCCCAGGCACTGAGCGGCATGGGTAGCATATGTAACCTTTAGAGCAACGCGGTCATGGCTTCGCATCCCAAGAAGCGGGCTGTATGATGGCCCGCGTCAGGATTTCTTACGTCTGCCTGGAAACCCTAAAGAGCCGGCAAAATTTGTCCTCGACCGACTCATTCATTTTTAGGGCTGAATATCCCGCAAGCACCAGAGTTCAGCTTGAGGACCCCAGAGAGCTCTGTATCAAACCAAGGCACAGTTGCCCTACCACCATCCCACCCAACACATTCCAGGATCCACCTCTACTTCCACACGCAGAACAGGAACAAAGACAGGCCCAGGAGAAGGCGAGCACTGTCTGGAACCTGGCTACCCATGCACTTATGCAGAATGACCAAGATGCCGGGGCAAATAACTGGTGAACCACCACGTTCCAGTGAGCACGCATGCTCAGTCAGACATAACAAGTGGCTTTCTCTCCAGGACAGCCACCTGTAAAACAACCTGGAATACCCCTCCCACCCCTGGGCACAGATGAGTGCCTGGGCTCCAGAGAGAGAGAGGGAGCTGAAGGCCTCCAACAGGAGTCCTTCCAGTCCAGTCCCATCCCAACAAACATCCAGCCAAACTCCTTGCTGCTCCATGGGTCAACAATGTGCGGAAGCCTGTTGGACCGGACTGCATTCCATACAAGATTTGGTCCCTTCCCCAAGAGGAAGAGTGCTACCTAGGGACAAGTGTCGTGCACCTCAGCATACGGCCTGGTCTCTTGCCTAGGGGGAGCTGAGCACATTCCTAGAGAAATCTGCAGCAGCCTGCATGCAGGGCCACACATCCACACACCTCTCCCCCTGTACCCACTCACACTGCCCCCAGTGCGACCTACCCCCACCATGCCACAGCCATAAGGGTGGGATGTATTGAGGATAGGCTCCTCTGGTTCACTGGGACCCCTGCCCAGAGAAGAATCCAGAAGAAGGAGGGAGGCAGAGAACGCTCCTACTGTTGCACCTTCCCCCAAAGTGACCACGTAGGTGGGGAGCCCTGCTGTAGATGAGGTGGGTGCTCTTTGGCCCGTTTCTTTCTTTGTTTCTTCGCTTTGTGTGTGTGTTTTTGTTTTATTCTGTTCGCAACAAATGGAGAAAGACAAAGGCAAGGGAAGGGAAGGAAAAGACGTGACTGTCATCTGTGGAGCCACAGTGCCATCCAGCGGAAGGTGTTTCTGAACATGACAACAGGCTGCAGGGACACTTGCCTTCTGCCAGGCACAGAGATCCGCGAAAATGTGCGGGACTGGGTGGACTCTGCCTAAGCCAGGGTTTCCCCGACTGGGGTTTAGAGCCCTAGAACAAATCGTACCTGCCATTGGAACCGCTTGGAGAAGCAGCTACTCTAGAGGCCCCGAGACAGATCAGCCAGGCAGCCTGAAGACCCGTCAGCCCACAGAGTGGAGCTGCACCAGCAGCCATTTTGAGATACGCATAAGGGAAGCCACTGGCCACTGACAGCCAGAAAATGGGGCCGTTTAATCTGGTCTCTTTTGTGGGCAGTTCTGGGATGCCCTTGGCTGGGGCCACAGTGGGGCAAGAAAGCCCCTATCCACCCAGGAAACAAAGGAGCTTCGGCGTGTTGAGTGTTGGGCGACTCATGCCCGGCAGTTTCTGGAGACTGCCAGGGGAAGCCATGGCTGGCCGCCCCGACTGCCCTTTCTTACATACAGCTGTGGAGACAGGCCGCCATCCTAGGAATGAGGGCAGGCCAAGAGCCAGCAAGGAGTTCCTCTCTTGTCCCGCCTCAGTTTGAGGGCCACACGCCACCATTTACAGCCCCATTTACAGCCCGAGTGGAAGACATTGTGGGCAGTTTCGTGCCTGAGGTGTTGTGTGTGTCTGTGTACGATAATGCTTAAACCCGCACATTTGTACTAGTGTGAGCTTACTTCTGTGTGTGTGTGTGTGTCTGTGTGTATCTGTGTGTGTGTCCGCTTAGGCGTGTTTAATGTGTGTGTTTGTGTCTGTGTGTGCATGAGTCTCCATGTGCGTGTGTGTTTGTGATTTAATTTCTGATTGGGGGGTCCCTTGTGAGTGTATGTATTGTGTCTGTGTCTGTGGTCTGTGGGTGCCTGCCTCTGTGAGTGAGAGTGGGCAAATGGGCATGTGGCGGAGACACCCTGCAAAAACTGAAATCCGGATCAATGTGTTCACATGGCTGGACTGAAAAAAAAGGAGACACGGGACAACTTGCCAAACTTCCTAATGGCTCAGGATTACACACCTAGTGCATCCACGAACAGAACAGGAAATAACAGCAAGCCATGAGGAACTGGGTAAAGGATCTGTTCACCATGACATTTCACTTAAAAGCAACATGTGGGAAGGTTTTTGGTATACCAGAGAGACTAAACTGGTGACCTTCATCAGTGCTAAATTAAGAACAAAAGTGAAGCTTTCTCTAGGCCTAGTACTGCAGAGAGACATGCTGAATCACCAAGGAGCAAAAGAAGAAGCAGTCTCCTAGAACACTTGTCTGTCCTGATCTGAAAGTGAAGGGAAAAAGAGAAGCAGAGGCAAAAGCAAAAGACAAAAAAGAAGAAGAGGCAAAAGAAGAGGAGAAGGAAAGAAGAAGGAGGAGGAGGAGGAGAAGATGGAGGAGGAAGAGTAAGAAAACAAAAAAGAGAAGAGGAATTAAAAGAGTAGGAGGAGGAAGAGGAAGAATAACCAGAAAGAGAACAAGAACAGAAAGTGGGAGGTCCATGCCACTGTAGCTGTCCTGAAGGATCTAGTTAAGGAAGACCTCAGTGTGTGGTGACATACACAATGAGTGACAAGGAGCCCCAGGTCACCTCCCGTTTAAAGGACATACAAACGAGAAGCTTCTTGTCGATGGGATCTTTCCTGAGTGGGATCAAAACTTTGATCCACAAATTGGCCTGCAGAACTACAGAGTACACAAGTGTAGGCTGAACCTTACCCTGAGGATGTCATCAGCTGACTGCAAGGGGCCACCAAGCCCAAAGTCTACAAAACCAAGGCAGTGAAGAACCACCCAAAAGAAAAAGATGAAAAACGGGGAGGAATCGGACACCAGGGAAAAGAGGTAATCAGCCACCCATGGCAATATGGAGACACGGCAGAAAGAATAAGGAAATGCCAACTTCTCCTCGCAGGGTTCAGCTGGAGTCCTTCTAATTTCCTTAGAAACAGTAAGCCTGTTTTCCTTAACCATGTCCCCGTGCATAACTGACCCTGCCTTCTTGGCTGATTGTGACCTCCATAAACAGAAGCGGACGAAAAGTAAAGACAGTGAAGAAGAAAAAAGTGAAGGGAGGAAAACTCCAAAAGTACACAAAGAATCAGAGTGAGCAATGAGTTACAGAGTAAACTGGAAAGCAGAGTTCATCATATGGAAAGCTGACAGCCCTGTGAGTAGCCTCCTGTGTCCTCACACAGGATAAGGCGCCAGCCAGAAGAAAGCATAAGCCCCTAAATCCCGGGTCTGTACCGCGTCTGCACAAAGATCTGTTGGGCCAGGAGACTGCCCTGTTCCCTGCTGCCCACACCTCAACCCCATCCCGCACACTCCATCAGCAAATATTGGGAAGGCAGAGAGAAAGCAATAAGAAAAATGAACAGGAGGGAACGTGAAAGCTTAACAACTACCTCCTGAGGGTTGCTTAGATGACGGGAAACAGTTGTGAATGAAGGTGTCTAGGCAGAAGCTTGTCATTACTGGAGAAGATACTTGTATGTGCCTGAGGACCTATGCAACCACAGATGAAGACAGGATATAGTTCAGACGTGATTGATGTTCAAAGGTAAAAACAAGAACCTCTGACACTAAAACTAACAACACCAAAGTTCCTGCGTTCCTTACTTCACCCGATGTCCCAAGGCACAAAAGGAGGGGCCCCGAGGTGGATGGTATACACTTATGAGAAAAGGACACACATTTGTTGACAAGGAAACAGTTGAGATGTGATGGGAGTTAAAAGTTAAAACCGAGGACCTCTGACACTCACAGTCCCAGTGCCAACCCTAAAGACGCAGTCCAGATCTTCCTGCATTCTTTTCTTCTCGCGTTCTCCCTAGGCACCGCCAGAGGCGCACCCTGGTGCATGCTACCTACATATGAGGAAAAAAAAAAAAAAAAAAAAAAAAAATCCGCATTTGTTGACAAGTGACAGAAAGGGGGTGACTCCTGTTCCATGGTCATGTGGTTCTTCTGCCCGGAATGCCGTGAGAGTGCAGGCCCGCTCACGAGATTGACATTCCTCCTTGTGAGAGTGGTTCACACACCCCCAGCGTGGGAATCATCACCCGTGGGGTGAATTTTCTGCCCTAAGAAGGGCTGCTCGTCCCCAGGGTGGCCTACACATCCAGGAAGATTTGTAACAAGCCAAGACAGAAAACATTTGCAATATTCGGGGAGCGTTGTGTTCCATGCTGCTGTCCAGGCACCCAGCGGCATGAGTAGCCTATGCAACCTTTAGAGCAAGGCGGTCGCGGCTTCGCATCCCAACATGGGCACTGTATGATGTCCCGCATCAGGCTTTCTTATGTCTGCCTGGAGACCCTAATTATGGGCGGCATAATTTGTCCTTGACGGTCTCATGCATTTTCTGGGCTGAATATCCGGCAAGCACCAGGGTTTAGCTCGAGAGCCCAGTGAGCCCTCTACCAAACCAAAACACAGCCCCCCGCCCGAGCCCCTTCTCCCCCAAAATACTCAAGGCTCAACCTCCACCTCCACACGCAGCACAGGAAATCAGACGGGGTCCAGGCGAAGTGGGGCAGGCTGGGCCCTGGCTACCCATGCACTTGGGTACAAGGACCAAGATGCCTGGCAACTAAGTGGTGAACCACCACGTTCCACTGAGCACGCGTGCTCCGTCAGACATGCCAAGAGGCTCTCTCTCCAGGAGAGCCACCTGTGAAACCCACCCGGCATGCTCCTCCCACCACTGTGCACAGACGAGTGCCTGGGCTCCAGAGAGGGAGGGAGCTGAAGGCCTCAGACAGGAGTCCGTCCCGTCCAGTCCCATCATCCCAAGAAACATCCGGCCCGACTCCCTGCAGCTCCATGGCTCAACAAGGTGCGGATGCCTGCTGGACCTGGCTGCTTTCCATCCAACTTTGATCCCTTCCCCAAGAGGAAGAGTGCTACCTAGGGACAAGTGTGGTGCGCACAGGCATGCAGCCTGGTCTCTTGCTCAGGCGGCCTGCGCAGATTCCTAGAGGAATCTGCAGCGGCCCGCATGCAGACCCACACACCCACATATCCCTCCCCCTGTACCCCCTCACACTGCCCCCAGTGCGACCTACCCCCACCGAGCCACAGCCCTAAGGGTGGAATTTCTTGACGTTCTCTGGTTCACTGGGAACCCTGCCCGGAGAAGAATCCAGAGGGAAGGAGGGAGGCAGAGAACCCTCCTACCGTTGCAGGCTTCCCCAAAGTGACCACCTAGGTGGAGAGCCCTGCTGTAGGTGAGGTGGGTGCTCCTTGGCCGGTATCTTTCGTTGTTTCTTGGCTTTTTTTGTTTTTGGCGTTTGTTTTATTCTGTCGGCAGCAGATGGAGAAAGATAAAGGCAAGGTGGGGGAAGGAAAAGACGTGACCGCCATTGGCGGAGCCACAGTGCCATCCAGCGGAAGGTGATTCTGGACATGACAACAGGCTGCAGGGACAGGGACACTTGCCTTCTGCCAGGCACCGAGAAGAGTGAGGATGGGCGGGGCGGGGTGGACTCTGCCTAAGCCAGGGTTTCCCCGACCCGGGCGTAGAGCCCTAGAACAAAGCGGACCTGCCATTGGGACCCCTTGGAGAAGCAGCTACTCTAGAGGCCCCGAGACAGATCAGCCAGGCATCCCGAAGACCAGTCAGCCCACAGGGTGCAGCTGCCCCGGCAGCCATTTTGAGATACGCATAAGGGAAGCCACTGGCCACTGACAGCCAGAGAACGGGGCCGTTTACTCTGGTCGCTTTTGTGGGCAGCTCCGCGATGCCCTTGGCTGGGGCCACAGTGGGGCCAGAAAGCCTCTATCTTGCCGGGAAATAAAAAAGTTTCGGAGTGCTGAGTGTGGGGCGACCCATGCCTGGCAGTTCCTGGAGACTGCCAGGGGAAGCCATGGCGGGCCGCCCCGCCTGCCCGTTCTTACATACAGCTGCGGAGCCAGGGCGCCATCCTGGGAATGAGCCCAGGCCAAGGGCCAGCGAGGAGTTCCTCTCTCGTCTCGCTTCAGTCTGGGGTCCCACACCACCCTCCCTTTTGGGCTCCTGGCCTTTCCCCAGTACTTGTGCCCTACAGCCTCCGGTTTCCAGAAACGGTTTCCGCTTGATGGCAGTATGGCACCACAAATGCCAAGTACAACCACAACCCTGCCCCTCCAATCCGAGGGCCTCCGCCCTTTCTCGTGTGAAAAAAGCAAAGAGGAAGGAGAAAACATAATAATAAAAGAAAGACACGGAGAAGGGAAAGGAACCAGCCACCTGGTCCCAGGTTGACCGCCAAACTCAGGGGACCCTAGGACCAACGACCAGCCGGCTGGAGAACCTGCGGGAATGCGGTGGAGGCAGCCAACCTCTGCCTTTCCTTTGGCCCTCTTCAGGGATTTTGGCTCCCGCTGGTGCAGGAAGTAAAAGACAAAGGACACATAATCACCGCCTCTGGGAAACCACAGGAGGACTGGGATCATAGGGCTGCCGCCCCAGGACAAGGCGCTGGCCACCCAGCTGGCTTACACAAGGATTTGCCCCAGGACCGGGGGTCCTCCCAAGGCCTGGAGCTGCAGGTAGTGTTTACCACCTTGGCATGGCACACGGAGGTCACCAGAACGGGGCCGAAGGCTCAACAGGCAGCCACAGGGCTGAGGCAGGAGTCTCCCTCACAGGAGACACTCAGCAACACACTCAAGTCTGACTCTGCTCAGGCTGTCTCGGCTTTCACACAGGAGAGGGTGGGAGGGGGGCGGCTCAGGGAGGCCTGGGAAGGCCACCCCGCGCCACAGATACTCATAGCATCACACAGAGCCAAGACTCCAGGGGGACTGTCTCTGCCCCTCCTCCAAAGTGGGGTCCCTTTTTAAGCAGCATAACCCAGGATGATCCAGTTTCATACCTGCTGCTTGGGCCTATCTGATGACACACATCCCGCATTCATTCTCAGGAGAAGACCCTAGTTGCCCAATAAATGGCATGATGACCCAGGACTGGAGCCAGGAATGCTCGCCTGTCTCCCGTTCTGCTTTGCACATTTAGAGCCAGCGTGGAAGAGGTTGTGGGCGCTTTCGAGCCAGTGGCGGTGTGTAGGAGTCTGTGTCCGATAATGCTTGAGCTCACACCCCTTTGCTAGTGTGAGCTGACGTGTGTGCGCACGTGCGTGTGTTTGTGTATGTATGCGTGTGTCTACTTGGGCGTGTTTAACGTGTGCGTTTGTGTCTGCGTGTGCATGTGTCTGTGTGTGCGCGTGTATTTCAGTTTGGGTTGCCGGATCCCATATGATTGCGTGCCTGTGTACCTGAGTCTGCGGTCTGTGGGTGCCTGCCTGTGTGAGTGACAGTGGGCAAATGAACACGTGGCAGAGACACCCTGCCTGCACACATCTGGATCGATGTGTTCACATGGCTTGACTGGAGAAAAAGGAGACAGGGGACAACTTGCCAAAGCTCCTAATGGCTCAGAAAGGCACACTTAGAGCATCCACAAGGACAATGGGGAATAACGGTGAGACATGAGGTACTGGGTAAACGGTGGGTTCACCACGACATTTCACTTAAAAGTAACACGTGGGCAGCTTTTTGGTGGACCAGAGGGAATAAACTGGTGACCTTCATCAGTGCTCCTTTGAGAACAAAAGTGACGCTTCCTCCAGGCCTAGTGCTGCAGAGGGACATGTCGAATCACCAAAAAGCAAAAGCAGCAGCAGTCTCCTAGAACACTTGCCCGAACAGATCTGAGTGTGAAGGGAAAAAGGGAAGAAAAAGCAGAAGCAAAAGCAGAAAAAGAAGAAGAGGAAAAGGAGGAGGAGGAGGAGGAGGAGGAGGAGGAGGAGGCGGAGGAGGAGGAGGAGGAGGAGGAGGAGGAGGAGGCAGAAAAAGATTAAGAAGAAGAAGAAAAATGAGAAGAAAAAGAAGAAGGAAAAGGAGAACGAGAACGAGAAGAAGGAGGAGGAGGAGGAGGACAAAAAGGAGGAGCATGAGGAGGAGGAGAGGAAGTTGGAGGAGGAGGAGCAAGAGGTAAAATAGAGGAGAAAGGGAAGAATAAAAGTAGAGAAGAAGAAGAAGAAGGAGGAAGAGGAAGAAGAATCAGAAGAACAAGAAAGAGGGAGGTCCATGCCACTGTAGCTGTCCTGGAGGATCTAGTTCAGGAAGACCTCAATGCATGGTGACATGCACAACGAGGGACAAGGAGCCACCAGTCACGTCCCGCTTAAAGGACGAACAACCAGGAAGCTTCTTGTCGATGGGATCTTTCCTGAGTGGGACCGAAACTTTGATCCACAAATCGGCCTACAGAAGCTACAGAGGACACAGGTGCAGGCTGAACCTTGCCCTGAGGATGCCATCAGCCGACTGCAAGGGTCACCGAACCCCAAGTCTACAAGGCCAAGGCAGGGAAGAGCCCCCCCCCCAAAAAGAGGAAGGTAATAAACGGGGAGGAATCAGACACCAGGGAAAAGAGGTAATCGGCCACCCACGGCAATATGGAGACAGGGCAGAAAGGGGAGGGAAATGCCAATTTCTCCTCACAGGGGTCAGCTAGAGTCCTCCTAATTTCCTTAGGAAAAGTAAGCCTGTTTTCCCTAACGGTATCCCCGCGCCCAGTCGACCCTGCCTTCCAGGCTGCTTCTCACCTCCCCAAACAGAAGTGGACGAAAAGTAAAGAAAGTGAAGAAGAAAAAAGTGAGGGGAGGAAAACTCCGAAAGTACACAAAGAATCAGAGTGAGCAATGAGGTTGAGAGCGAAGTGGAATGCAGAGTGCCCCAGCTGGACAGCTGGCAGCCCTGTGAGTGGCCTGACAGAAAAAGAGCCACCAGCTAGGAGAAAGCATCAGCCCCTTAGGCCCGGGTCTGCACCGCGTCCGCCCAGAGGCCTGTTGGGCCAGTAGGCGGCTCTGCACCCTGCTGCCCACACCTCAACCCCATCCCGCACACTCCGTCAGCACATATTGGGAAGCCAGGCAGAAAGCGACAAGGAAGGTGAAGTGAACAAGAGGGAACCCGAAAGCTGAAAACCTGCCCCCCTGAGAGTTGCCTAGATGACCGGCCCCGGCTGTGAATGAAGGTGTCTGGGCAGACGCTTGTGAGTATGGGTGGGGATACGTGTACGGGCCTGCCTCAGGACCTGTGGAAGCACAGATGAAGACAGGAAACAGTTGAGATGTGATGGGAGTTAAAAGTTAAAACCGAGGACCTCTGACACTCACAGTCCCAGTGCCAACCCTAAAGACGCAGTCCAGATCTTCCTGCATTCTTTTCTTCTCGCGTTCTCCCTAGGCACCGCCAGAGGCGCACCCTGGTGCATGCTACCTACATATGAGGAAAAAAAAAAAAAAAAAAAAAAAAAAATCCGCATTTGTTGACAAGTGACAGAAAGGGGGTGACTCCTGTTCCATGGTCATGTGGTTCTTCTGCCCGGAATGCCGTGAGAGTGCAGGCCCGCTCACGAGATTGACATTCCTCCTTGTGAGAGTGGTTCACACACCCCCAGCGTGGGAATCATCACCCGTGGGGTGAATTTTCTGCCCTAAGAAGGGCTGCTCGTCCCCAGGGTGGCCTACACATCCAGGAAGATTTGTAACAAGCCAAGACAGAAAACATTTGCAATATTCGGGGAGCGTTGTGTTCCATGCTGCTGTCCAGGCACCCAGCGGCATGAGTAGCCTATGCAACCTTTAGAGCAAGGCGGTCGCGGCTTCGCATCCCAACATGGGCACTGTATGATGTCCCGCATCAGGCTTTCTTATGTCTGCCTGGAGACCCTAATTATGGGCGGCATAATTTGTCCTTGACGGTCTCATGCATTTTCTGGGCTGAATATCCGGCAAGCACCAGGGTTTAGCTCGAGAGCCCAGTGAGCCCTCTACCAAACCAAAACACAGCCCCCCGCCCGAGCCCCTTCTCCCCCAAAATACTCAAGGCTCAACCTCCACCTCCACACGCAGCACAGGAAATCAGACGGGGTCCAGGCGAAGTGGGGCAGGCTGGGCCCTGGCTACCCATGCACTTGGGTACAAGGACCAAGATGCCTGGCAACTAAGTGGTGAACCACCACGTTCCACTGAGCACGCGTGCTCCGTCAGACATGCCAAGAGGCTCTCTCTCCAGGAGAGCCACCTGTGAAACCCACCCGGCATGCTCCTCCCACCACTGTGCACAGACGAGTGCCTGGGCTCCAGAGAGGGAGGGAGCTGAAGGCCTCAGACAGGAGTCCGTCCCGTCCAGTCCCATCATCCCAAGAAACATCCGGCCCGACTCCCTGCAGCTCCATGGCTCAACAAGGTGCGGATGCCTGCTGGACCTGGCTGCTTTCCATCCAACTTTGATCCCTTCCCCAAGAGGAAGAGTGCTACCTAGGGACAAGTGTGGTGCGCACAGGCATGCAGCCTGGTCTCTTGCTCAGGCGGCCTGCGCAGATTCCTAGAGGAATCTGCAGCGGCCCGCATGCAGACCCACACACCCACATATCCCTCCCCCTGTACCCCCTCACACTGCCCCCAGTGCGACCTACCCCCACCGAGCCACAGCCCTAAGGGTGGAATTTCTTGACGTTCTCTGGTTCACTGGGAACCCTGCCCGGAGAAGAATCCAGAGGGAAGGAGGGAGGCAGAGAACCCTCCTACCGTTGCAGGCTTCCCCAAAGTGACCACCTAGGTGGAGAGCCCTGCTGTAGGTGAGGTGGGTGCTCCTTGGCCGGTATCTTTCGTTGTTTCTTGGCTTTTTTTGTTTTTGGCGTTTGTTTTATTCTGTCGGCAGCAGATGGAGAAAGATAAAGGCAAGGTGGGGGAAGGAAAAGACGTGACCGCCATTGGCGGAGCCACAGTGCCATCCAGCGGAAGGTGATTCTGGACATGACAACAGGCTGCAGGGACAGGGACACTTGCCTTCTGCCAGGCACCGAGAAGAGTGAGGATGGGCGGGGCGGGGTGGACTCTGCCTAAGCCAGGGTTTCCCCGACCCGGGCGTAGAGCCCTAGAACAAAGCGGACCTGCCATTGGGACCCCTTGGAGAAGCAGCTACTCTAGAGGCCCCGAGACAGATCAGCCAGGCATCCCGAAGACCAGTCAGCCCACAGGGTGCAGCTGCCCCGGCAGCCATTTTGAGATACGCATAAGGGAAGCCACTGGCCACTGACAGCCAGAGAACGGGGCCGTTTACTCTGGTCGCTTTTGTGGGCAGCTCCGCGATGCCCTTGGCTGGGGCCACAGTGGGGCCAGAAAGCCTCTATCTTGCCGGGAAATAAAAAAGTTTCGGAGTGCTGAGTGTGGGGCGACCCATGCCTGGCAGTTCCTGGAGACTGCCAGGGGAAGCCATGGCGGGCCGCCCCGCCTGCCCGTTCTTACATACAGCTGCGGAGCCAGGGCGCCATCCTGGGAATGAGCCCAGGCCAAGGGCCAGCGAGGAGTTCCTCTCTCGTCTCGCTTCAGTCTGGGGTCCCACACCACCCTCCCTTTTGGGCTCCTGGCCTTTCCCCAGTACTTGTGCCCTACAGCCTCCGGTTTCCAGAAACGGTTTCCGCTTGATGGCAGTATGGCACCACAAATGCCAAGTACAACCACAACCCTGCCCCTCCAATCCGAGGGCCTCCGCCCTTTCTCGTGTGAAAAAAGCAAAGAGGAAGGAGAAAACATAATAATAAAAGAAAGACACGGAGAAGGGAAAGGAACCAGCCACCTGGTCCCAGGTTGACCGCCAAACTCAGGGGACCCTAGGACCAACGACCAGCCGGCTGGAGAACCTGCGGGAATGCGGTGGAGGCAGCCAACCTCTGCCTTTCCTTTGGCCCTCTTCAGGGATTTTGGCTCCCGCTGGTGCAGGAAGTAAAAGACAAAGGACACATAATCACCGCCTCTGGGAAACCACAGGAGGACTGGGATCATAGGGCTGCCGCCCCAGGACAAGGCGCTGGCCACCCAGCTGGCTTACACAAGGATTTGCCCCAGGACCGGGGGTCCTCCCAAGGCCTGGAGCTGCAGGTAGTGTTTACCACCTTGGCATGGCACACGGAGGTCACCAGAACGGGGCCGAAGGCTCAACAGGCAGCCACAGGGCTGAGGCAGGAGTCTCCCTCACAGGAGACACTCAGCAACACACTCAAGTCTGACTCTGCTCAGGCTGTCTCGGCTTTCACACAGGAGAGGGTGGGAGGGGGGCGGCTCAGGGAGGCCTGGGAAGGCCACCCCGCGCCACAGATACTCATAGCATCACACAGAGCCAAGACTCCAGGGGGACTGTCTCTGCCCCTCCTCCAAAGTGGGGTCCCTTTTTAAGCAGCATAACCCAGGATGATCCAGTTTCATACCTGCTGCTTGGGCCTATCTGATGACACACATCCCGCATTCATTCTCAGGAGAAGACCCTAGTTGCCCAATAAATGGCATGATGACCCAGGACTGGAGCCAGGAATGCTCGCCTGTCTCCCGTTCTGCTTTGCACATTTAGAGCCAGCGTGGAAGAGGTTGTGGGCGCTTTCGAGCCAGTGGCGGTGTGTAGGAGTCTGTGTCCGATAATGCTTGAGCTCACACCCCTTTGCTAGTGTGAGCTGACGTGTGTGCGCACGTGCGTGTGTTTGTGTATGTATGCGTGTGTCTACTTGGGCGTGTTTAACGTGTGCGTTTGTGTCTGCGTGTGCATGTGTCTGTGTGTGCGCGTGTATTTCAGTTTGGGTTGCCGGATCCCATATGATTGCGTGCCTGTGTACCTGAGTCTGCGGTCTGTGGGTGCCTGCCTGTGTGAGTGACAGTGGGCAAATGAACACGTGGCAGAGACACCCTGCCTGCACACATCTGGATCGATGTGTTCACATGGCTTGACTGGAGAAAAAGGAGACAGGGGACAACTTGCCAAAGCTCCTAATGGCTCAGAAAGGCACACTTAGAGCATCCACAAGGACAATGGGGAATAACGGTGAGACATGAGGTACTGGGTAAACGGTGGGTTCACCACGACATTTCACTTAAAAGTAACACGTGGGCAGCTTTTTGGTGGACCAGAGGGAATAAACTGGTGACCTTCATCAGTGCTCCTTTGAGAACAAAAGTGACGCTTCCTCCAGGCCTAGTGCTGCAGAGGGACATGTCGAATCACCAAAAAGCAAAAGCAGCAGCAGTCTCCTAGAACACTTGCCCGAACAGATCTGAGTGTGAAGGGAAAAAGGGAAGAAAAAGCAGAAGCAAAAGCAGAAAAAGAAGAAGAGGAAAAGGAGGAGGAGGAGGAGGAGGAGGAGGAGGAGGAGGCGGAGGAGGAGGAGGAGGAGGAGGAGGAGGAGGAGGCAGAAAAAGATTAAGAAGAAGAAGAAAAATGAGAAGAAAAAGAAGAAGGAAAAGGAGAACGAGAACGAGAAGAAGGAGGAGGAGGAGGAGGACAAAAAGGAGGAGCATGAGGAGGAGGAGAGGAAGTTGGAGGAGGAGGAGCAAGAGGTAAAATAGAGGAGAAAGGGAAGAATAAAAGTAGAGAAGAAGAAGAAGAAGGAGGAAGAGGAAGAAGAATCAGAAGAACAAGAAAGAGGGAGGTCCATGCCACTGTAGCTGTCCTGGAGGATCTAGTTCAGGAAGACCTCAATGCATGGTGACATGCACAACGAGGGACAAGGAGCCACCAGTCACGTCCCGCTTAAAGGACGAACAACCAGGAAGCTTCTTGTCGATGGGATCTTTCCTGAGTGGGACCGAAACTTTGATCCACAAATCGGCCTACAGAAGCTACAGAGGACACAGGTGCAGGCTGAACCTTGCCCTGAGGATGCCATCAGCCGACTGCAAGGGTCACCGAACCCCAAGTCTACAAGGCCAAGGCAGGGAAGAGCCCCCCCCCCAAAAAGAGGAAGGTAATAAACGGGGAGGAATCAGACACCAGGGAAAAGAGGTAATCGGCCACCCACGGCAATATGGAGACAGGGCAGAAAGGGGAGGGAAATGCCAATTTCTCCTCACAGGGGTCAGCTAGAGTCCTCCTAATTTCCTTAGGAAAAGTAAGCCTGTTTTCCCTAACGGTATCCCCGCGCCCAGTCGACCCTGCCTTCCAGGCTGCTTCTCACCTCCCCAAACAGAAGTGGACGAAAAGTAAAGAAAGTGAAGAAGAAAAAAGTGAGGGGAGGAAAACTCCGAAAGTACACAAAGAATCAGAGTGAGCAATGAGGTTGAGAGCGAAGTGGAATGCAGAGTGCCCCAGCTGGACAGCTGGCAGCCCTGTGAGTGGCCTGACAGAAAAAGAGCCACCAGCTAGGAGAAAGCATCAGCCCCTTAGGCCCGGGTCTGCACCGCGTCCGCCCAGAGGCCTGTTGGGCCAGTAGGCGGCTCTGCACCCTGCTGCCCACACCTCAACCCCATCCCGCACACTCCGTCAGCACATATTGGGAAGCCAGGCAGAAAGCGACAAGGAAGGTGAAGTGAACAAGAGGGAACCCGAAAGCTGAAAACCTGCCCCCCTGAGAGTTGCCTAGATGACCGGCCCCGGCTGTGAATGAAGGTGTCTGGGCAGACGCTTGTGAGTATGGGTGGGGATACGTGTACGGGCCTGCCTCAGGACCTGTGGAAGCACAGATGAAGACAGGAAACAGTTGAGATGTGATGGGAGTTAAAAGTTAAAACCGAGGACCTCTGACACTCACAGTCCCAGTGCCAACCCTAAAGACGCAGTCCAGATCTTCCTGCATTCTTTTCTTCTCGCGTTCTCCCTAGGCACCGCCAGAGGCGCACCCTGGTGCATGCTACCTACATATGAGGAAAAAAAAAAAAAAAAAAAAAAAAAAATCCGCATTTGTTGACAAGTGACAGAAAGGGGGTGACTCCTGTTCCATGGTCATGTGGTTCTTCTGCCCGGAATGCCGTGAGAGTGCAGGCCCGCTCACGAGATTGACATTCCTCCTTGTGAGAGTGGTTCACACACCCCCAGCGTGGGAATCATCACCCGTGGGGTGAATTTTCTGCCCTAAGAAGGGCTGCTCGTCCCCAGGGTGGCCTACACATCCAGGAAGATTTGTAACAAGCCAAGACAGAAAACATTTGCAATATTCGGGGAGCGTTGTGTTCCATGCTGCTGTCCAGGCACCCAGCGGCATGAGTAGCCTATGCAACCTTTAGAGCAAGGCGGTCGCGGCTTCGCATCCCAACATGGGCACTGTATGATGTCCCGCATCAGGCTTTCTTATGTCTGCCTGGAGACCCTAATTATGGGCGGCATAATTTGTCCTTGACGGTCTCATGCATTTTCTGGGCTGAATATCCGGCAAGCACCAGGGTTTAGCTCGAGAGCCCAGTGAGCCCTCTACCAAACCAAAACACAGCCCCCCGCCCGAGCCCCTTCTCCCCCAAAATACTCAAGGCTCAACCTCCACCTCCACACGCAGCACAGGAAATCAGACGGGGTCCAGGCGAAGTGGGGCAGGCTGGGCCCTGGCTACCCATGCACTTGGGTACAAGGACCAAGATGCCTGGCAACTAAGTGGTGAACCACCACGTTCCACTGAGCACGCGTGCTCCGTCAGACATGCCAAGAGGCTCTCTCTCCAGGAGAGCCACCTGTGAAACCCACCCGGCATGCTCCTCCCACCACTGTGCACAGACGAGTGCCTGGGCTCCAGAGAGGGAGGGAGCTGAAGGCCTCAGACAGGAGTCCGTCCCGTCCAGTCCCATCATCCCAAGAAACATCCGGCCCGACTCCCTGCAGCTCCATGGCTCAACAAGGTGCGGATGCCTGCTGGACCTGGCTGCTTTCCATCCAACTTTGATCCCTTCCCCAAGAGGAAGAGTGCTACCTAGGGACAAGTGTGGTGCGCACAGGCATGCAGCCTGGTCTCTTGCTCAGGCGGCCTGCGCAGATTCCTAGAGGAATCTGCAGCGGCCCGCATGCAGACCCACACACCCACATATCCCTCCCCCTGTACCCCCTCACACTGCCCCCAGTGCGACCTACCCCCACCGAGCCACAGCCCTAAGGGTGGAATTTCTTGACGTTCTCTGGTTCACTGGGAACCCTGCCCGGAGAAGAATCCAGAGGGAAGGAGGGAGGCAGAGAACCCTCCTACCGTTGCAGGCTTCCCCAAAGTGACCACCTAGGTGGAGAGCCCTGCTGTAGGTGAGGTGGGTGCTCCTTGGCCGGTATCTTTCGTTGTTTCTTGGCTTTTTTTGTTTTTGGCGTTTGTTTTATTCTGTCGGCAGCAGATGGAGAAAGATAAAGGCAAGGTGGGGGAAGGAAAAGACGTGACCGCCATTGGCGGAGCCACAGTGCCATCCAGCGGAAGGTGATTCTGGACATGACAACAGGCTGCAGGGACAGGGACACTTGCCTTCTGCCAGGCACCGAGAAGAGTGAGGATGGGCGGGGCGGGGTGGACTCTGCCTAAGCCAGGGTTTCCCCGACCCGGGCGTAGAGCCCTAGAACAAAGCGGACCTGCCATTGGGACCCCTTGGAGAAGCAGCTACTCTAGAGGCCCCGAGACAGATCAGCCAGGCATCCCGAAGACCAGTCAGCCCACAGGGTGCAGCTGCCCCGGCAGCCATTTTGAGATACGCATAAGGGAAGCCACTGGCCACTGACAGCCAGAGAACGGGGCCGTTTACTCTGGTCGCTTTTGTGGGCAGCTCCGCGATGCCCTTGGCTGGGGCCACAGTGGGGCCAGAAAGCCTCTATCTTGCCGGGAAATAAAAAAGTTTCGGAGTGCTGAGTGTGGGGCGACCCATGCCTGGCAGTTCCTGGAGACTGCCAGGGGAAGCCATGGCGGGCCGCCCCGCCTGCCCGTTCTTACATACAGCTGCGGAGCCAGGGCGCCATCCTGGGAATGAGCCCAGGCCAAGGGCCAGCGAGGAGTTCCTCTCTCGTCTCGCTTCAGTCTGGGGTCCCACACCACCCTCCCTTTTGGGCTCCTGGCCTTTCCCCAGTACTTGTGCCCTACAGCCTCCGGTTTCCAGAAACGGTTTCCGCTTGATGGCAGTATGGCACCACAAATGCCAAGTACAACCACAACCCTGCCCCTCCAATCCGAGGGCCTCCGCCCTTTCTCGTGTGAAAAAAGCAAAGAGGAAGGAGAAAACATAATTATAAAAGAAAGTTAAGGAGAAGAGATAGGCGAGAAGTGGAGCACAGTAGCTGCTGGCCCAGTTGCTAAGCCCCTCACTGCCCTGGGCAGGCAGGTCCAACTGGCTGCTCGGAGTGCGGGGCCCGCCGAGCTCATGCCGACCGGCAACTCCCGGTGGCCCGCAAGCGCGGCGAGTAGCTCGTGTTACCGCCCGCGGCTCTCCCTCCACACCTCCCCGCAAGCTGAGGGAGCCGGCTCCGACCTTGGCCAGTGGAGACAGGGGCTCCCACAGTGTAGCGGCGGGCTGAGGGGCTCCTCAAGGGCGGCCAGAGTGGACGCCAATGCCGAGGGGGCGCCGAGAGCGAGCGAGGGCTGCCAGGGCTGCCATCAGACTTTCACCTCTTAAGGGGACCCTAGGATCAAGGATCAGTAGGCTGGAGACCTTGTCGGAACGCTGTGGAGGCAGCAAGCCTTTGACTTTCCTTTGGACCTCTCCAGGTTTCATCGCTTTCGCTGGTGTAGAAAGTAAAAGAGAAAGGACGTATAATCATGGCTACTGGAAAACGGCAGAAGGACTGGGATCACAGGGCTGCCGCCCAAGTACAAGGCAGTGGCCACCCAGCTGGCTTACACAAGGTTTTGCTGGAGAATTGGGGGTCCTCCCAAAGCCTGGAGTTGCAGTTAGAGTTTACCACCTTGGGATGGCACATGGAGGTCCGAAGAACGGATAGACAGCTCAACAGGCAGCCACAGGGCCTGAGGCAGGAGTCTCCCTCAGCGGGGACATTCAGCAACTCACTCAAGACTGACTCTGCTCAGGCTGTCTCGGCTTTCACAGAGGTAGGGTTGGGAGGAGGGTGGCTCAGAGAGGCTGGGGAAGGCCACCAAGTACCACAGCTTCTCATGGCATCACACAGGGACAAGGCTTGGGGGCCCTTTTTAAGCAGCTTGACCCAGGATGCTCCAGTTTCATGCCTGCTGCTTGAGCCTATCTGATAACAGACTTCCCGAATTCATTCTCAGGAGAAGGCCCTAGTTGCCCAATAAATGGCATAATGACTCAGGCCTGGAGGCAGGAATGCTCCTCTGTCTCCCTTTCCCCTTTGCATATTTCGAACCCCTGTCGAAGAGAATGTGGGCAGTCGCATGCCTGTGGCGATGTGTGTTTGTGTCCCATAATGCTTGGGCCCCTACCCCTTTGATTTTGTGAGCTTACTTTATGTGTGTGTATGTGTGTGTTTGTGTGGGTATGTGTAAGCGTGTTTTTGTCTGGGTGTGCATGTATCTCTGTGTGTGTGTTTGTGATTTTATTTCTTCTTCTGGGGGTCTCTTGTAAGTGCCTGCATGTGTGTCTGTGTGTGCCTCCCTGTGTGAGTGAGAGTGGGCAAATGAACACGTGGCAGAGACACCCTGCCTGCACACACTGAAATGTGAGCAAATGAACACGTGGCAGAGACACCCTGCCTGCACACACTGAAATTCAGATTGATGTGTTCACATGGCTTGACTGGAAAAAAAGGAGTTAGGAAACAACTTGCCAAGGCTCCTACTGGCTCAGGATTACACTTACAGCATCCAGAAGGAGAATGGGAAATAACAATGAGCCATGAGGTATTGGGTAAAGGGTGCGTTCACCATGACATTTCACTTAAAAGTAACACGTGGGTAGCCTTTTGGTGGACCAGAGGGACTAAACTCATGACCTTCATCTGTGCTCCTTAAAGAACGAATGTGAAGCTTTCTCCAGGCCTAATTCTGCAGAGGGACATCCCACATCACCAAGGAGCAAAAGAAGAAGCAGTCTGCTAGAACACGTGCCCACCCAGATCCGCAAGTGAAAGGAAAAACAGAAGCAGAATCAGAAGCAGAAGCAAAAGCAAAAAAAGAAAAAGAGGCAAAGGAGAAGGAAGTGCAGGGGGAGGGGGAGGAGGAGTAGAAGGAGGAAAAAGAAGAAAAAGAAAAAGGAGGAGTAGGAAGATAAGAAGGAGTTGGAGGAGGAGGAGCAAGAGGAGAAGGAGGAGAAGGAGAAGAATTAAAGAAGAGGGGTAGGAGGAGGAAGAGGAAGAAGAATCAGAAGGAGAACAGGAAGTGAGAGGTCCATGCCACTGTAGCTGTCCCGAAGGATCTAGTTTAGGAGGGCCTCAACGCGTGGTGACATACAACGAGGGGCACGGAGCCACTTCTGACATCCGGCTTAAAGGACACACAACCAGGAAGCGTCTTGTTGATGGGGTATTTCCTGAGTAAGATCAAAAGCTTTGATCCACAAGTAGGCCTGCAGAAGCTACAGAGAACACAGGTGCTGGCTGAACCTTGCCCTGAAGATGTCATCAGCTGACTGCAAGGGGCTACCAAGCCCCAAGGCTACAAGGCCAAGGCAGGGAAGGACCGCCCAAAAAAGAATAAGATGAAAAACGGGGAGGAATTGGACACCAGGGAAAAGAGATAATCA
Organism: Homo sapiens; assembly: GCF_000001405.40. Classification (NCBI taxonomy): domain Eukaryota; kingdom Metazoa; phylum Chordata; class Mammalia; order Primates; family Hominidae; genus Homo; species Homo sapiens. The sequence continues at coordinate 56,765,262 of NC_000023.11, read as the reverse complement.
GCCACCCACTGCAATATGGAGACAGGGCAGAAAGGAGAGGGAAACGCCAATTTCTCCTCGCAGGGGTCAGCTAGAGTCCTACTAATTTCCTTAGGAAAAGTAAGCCTGTTTTCCCTAACGGTGTCCCCGCGCCCAGCTGACCCTGCCTTCCAGTCTGCTCCTGGAGCAGAAGTGGAGAAAAAGTAAAGAGAATGAAGAAGAAAAAAGTGAAGGGAGAAAAACTCCAAAAGTACACAAAGAATCAGTGAGCAATGAGATTGACAGCGAACTGCAATGCAAAGTGCCTCAGATGGACAGCTGGCAGCACTATGAGTGGCCTCTTGTGGCCTCACAGAGGAAGAGCCACCAGCCAGGAGAAAGCATCAGCCCCTCAAGCCCGGGTCTGCACCGCGTGGGCACAGAGGCCTGTTGGGCCAGGAAGCTGCCCTGCTCCCTGTGGCCCCCACCCCTACCCCATCCTACTGTTGCCGGTTCCCCCAAAGTGACCACATAGATGGGAAGCCCTGCTGTAGGTGAGATGGGTGCTCCTAGGCCAGTTTCTTTTTTTTTTTTTTTTTTTTGGTGTTTGTTTTGGTTTTTGGCACCAAAAACAGAAAGAGGGAAAGAAAATGGGGGAAGGGAAAGACAAGACTGCTGTTTGTGGAGCCACATTGCCATCTAGTGGAAGTTGTTTCTGAACACAACAGGATGCACGGACACCTGCCTTCTGCCAGGAACAGAGATCAGCGAGGATGTGCTTAGACTATGTCTAAGCCTGGGTTTCCCCCACCGGGGTTCTGAGCCCTTGAAGGAAGTGTACCTGGCATTGGGACGCTTTGGAGAAGCAACTACTCTAGAGGCCCCAGGACAGAACAGCCAGGCAGCCCCAAGACCAGTCAGCCCAGAGGGCGGAGCTGGCCCGGCAGCCATGTTGAGATGGACATAAACGAAGCCACTGGCCGAGACGGGGGCCGTTTACTCTGGTGTCTTTTGTGGGGAGTTCCGGGGTTCCCTTGGCTGGAGCCACGTGTTGGCAAGGGGGCCCCGATCCTCCCGGGGAACAAAGGAGCTTCGGGATACTGGAGACGTGGCAACCCAGGACCAGCAGTACCTGGAGATGACCAGGGGAACCCATGGTGGGTCGCCCCTACCTGCCCTTTTTTTCGGAGAGAGCTGTGGAACCAGGGAGGCATCCTGGGAATGAGCACAGGCCAAGGGCCAGCTTGGAGTTCCTCTCTTGTCCTGCTTCAGCCTGGGGGCTCCATGCCGCCATCTCTTTTGCGCTCGTGGGGTTTCCCCAGCACTTGTGCCCAGCTGCCTCCGGTTTCTAGATACAGTTTCCGCTTGATGGCAGTATGGCTCCACAAACGCCAACTACAACTGTAACCCTGCCACTTCAACTCCAGGGCCTCCGCCTTTTCCCATGTGAAAAAAGGTAAAGAGGAAAGAGAAACAAAAAAAAAGACAGAGGAGTGAAAGGAATCAGTCACCTGGTCCCAGATTGATCACCAAACTCATGGGACCGTGTGACCAAGGACCAGGACCAGTAGGCTGGAGATCCTGTGGGAATCCTGTTTAGGGAGCCAGCCTTTGCCCTTCCTTTGGCTCTCTGCAGGTTTCATGGCTCTTGCCCGTGCAGAAAGTAAACAACAAAAAACATGATCATTACTGGGACACCACAGGAGGACTAGGATCATAGGGCTACTGCCCCAGGACAAGGTGCTGGTCACCCAGCTGGCTTACACAAGGTTCTGCTGCAGGACTGGGGGTCCTACGAAAGCCTGGAGCTCCAGGTAGAGTTTACCGCCTTGGGCTGACACATGGAGGTCATCAAAATAGGTGGACTGCTCAACTGGAAACCACAGGGCCTGAAGCAGGAGTATCTCTCAGAGAGGACACTCAGCAACTTGCTCAAGTCTGACTCTGCTCAGGCTGTCCTGGGTTTCACACAGATGGGGGTGGGAGGAGGGTGGCTCAGGGGTGCTGGGGAATGCCACCACACACCACAGATTCTTATGGCATCACACAGGGCCAAGGCTCCCAAGGGAACTCTCTCTGTCTCTAACACAAAGTGAGGTTCCTTTTTAAGCAGCTTGACCCAGGATGCTCCAGTTTTACACCAGCTGCTGGATCCTATCTGTTAACAGACTTCCCACATTGATTCTCAGGAGAAGGCGAGAGTTGCCCATCAATCAATGGCATGATGGCCCAGGCCTGGAGTCAGGAATTCTCCCCTGTCTCCTGTTCCCTTTGCACATTTAGAACCTGTGTGGGAGAAATTGTAGGCAGTCTCGTGCCTGTGGTGGTGTGTATGTGTCTGTGTGGGAGAATGCTTGGGCCTGCACCCCTGTGCCCCTGTGAGGTTTCTTGTTTGTGTGTCTATGTGTGTGTTTGTGTGTGTCTGCATGTGTCTCTGTGTGCGGGTGTGTTTGTGATTTCATTTCTGAGGTCCCTAGTGAGTGTGTGTATGTGTATCTGTGTCTATGGTTTGTGGGTGCCTTCCTGTGTGAGAGTGGGTAAACTGGCACATGGCAGAGACAGCCTGCCTGTATACACTGAAATCCGGATAGTTGTGTTCACATGGCTTGACTGGAAGGAGAGGAAATGGGGGAAAACTTGCTGAGGCTCCTACTGGCCAAGATTACATTATTAGATCGTCTTCAAGGAGAACAAGGTAGAAGGATGAATCGTGAGGTACTGGTAGGAAGTGCATTCAGAATGACATTTCACTTAAAAGTAACACATGGGTGGTTTTTTAGAGGACCAGAGGAACTGAACATGTGACCTTCATCTCTGCTCCTTTCAGAACAAAAGTGAAGCTTTCTCCTTGCCTAGCACGCAGAGGGACATCCCCCATTACCAAGGAGCAGAAGAAGCAGTCTCCATAGAACATTTGTCTCGCCAAGATCTGAAAGTGAAAGGAAAAGAGAGAGGAGGAGGAGGAGGAGGGAAGAAAAGAAGAAGAAAAAGGAGGAGGAGGTGGAAAGAAAGAAAGAAAAGAAAAGAAAAGAGAAAGAAAGAGGAAGAGGAGGAAGAGGAAGAAGAACCAGATGGAGAAAAAGAACAAGAAATGGCAGCTTCATGCCACCTCAGCTGTCCTGAAGGATAGAGTTCATGGGTGCCTCAATGCGTGGTGACATACATAACGAGTGACAAAGAGACAACAGTGACATCCCAGTGAAAGGACACACCACCAAGAAGCTTCTTGTTGATGGGATCCCTTGTGAGTCGGATCAAAAGCTTTGATCCACAAATAGGTCTGCAGGGGCTACAGAGGACAAAGATGCAGGCTAAACCATACCCTCTGGATGTCATCTGCAAACCGCAAGGGGCCACGAGCCCCTAGTCTACAAGGCCAATGAAGGGTAGGACCCCAGAAATGGGAGGAGAGAGGAAAAACGGAGAGGAAAAGGACACCAGGGAAAGGAGGTAATCAGCCACCTATGGCACTAGGGAGAGAGGGCAGAAAGGAGAGGGGCACCCCGATTACATCTGGCAGGAGTCAACTGAGGTCTTTCTAATTTCCTGAGGAAAAGAAGGCGTGTTCTCCCTAAATATGTTCGCTTGCCAACCGGACCCTGCCTTCCAGGCGAATCCTGACCTCCCCAAACCAGAAGTGGACGAGAAGTAAAGACAGTGAAGAAGAAAAAAGTGAAGGAAGAAAAACTCCAAAAGTATACTAAGAATCAACGTGAGCAATGAGGATGACAGCGAACAAGAATGCAGAATGTCCCAGATGGACAGGTGGCAACCCGAGTGACCTTCTGTGGCTTCACAGAGGAAGAGCCACCAACCAGCCAGGAGAAAGTGTCAGCCCCTTATGCCCAGGTCTGCACTGCATGTGCACAGAGGCCTGTTGGGCCAGGAGGCTGCCCTGCTCCCTGCTGTCTCCACCCCCAACACATCCCGCACCCTCCGCCAGCAAATATTGGGCAGCCAGACAACAAGGGATGAGGAAGATGAACAAGATGGAACCGGGAAGCTGAAGAACCCTGCCCTCTGAGAGTTGCCTGCACAACAGGACCCAGGTATGAGTGGAGGTGCCTGGGCAGACGCTTGTGAGTGAGTATGAGTAGGGACACATATATGTGCCTGAGGACATTTGGAAGCACAGGTGAAGACAGGAAAAAGTTGAGATGTGATGGGAGTTAAACGTTAAAAACGGAGACCTCTGACAATCAGAGTCACAATGCCACCCCTAAGGATGCAGTCCAGATCTTCCTGCATTCTTATCTTCCTGCTTTTTCTCTAGGCACGCGCCAGTCTCCTTCTTAGGAGGCCTATGCAGATTCATAGAGAAATCTGCAGTGGCTGGAATGCAGACCTACACACCCACACACCCGCCACCCTGTAGCCCCTCACACCTTCCCCAGTGCAACCTCCCCACATCATGCCACAGCCCCAAGGGTGGGATTTCTTGAGGATAGGCTGGTTCATTGGGACCCCCTGCACAAAGAAGAATCCAGAGGGAAGGAGGAAGGCAAGTTTCCCCAAAGTGACCATGTAGGTGAGGAGCAATGCTGAAGATGAGGTGGGTGCTCTTTGGCCGGTTTGTTTCTTTGTTTTTTTTATTTTGTTTTGTTTGTTTGTTTGTTTTTTGAGACAGAGTTTCACTCTTATTGCCCAGGCTGGAGTGCAATGGTGCAATCTCGGCTCACCACAACCTCCGTCTCCCGGGTTCAAGCGATTCTCCTGCCTCAGCCTCCCCGTAGTTGGGATTACAAGCATGTGCCACCACGCCCAGCTAATTTTCTATTTTTAATAGAGACAGGGTTTCTCCATGTTGGTCAAGCTGGTCTCGAGCTCCTGACCTCAAGTGATCTGCCTGCCTCGGCTTCCCAAAGTGCTGGGATTACAGGCGTCAGCCACCGCACCCAGCCCCAGTTTCTGTTTTCTGGTCTTTGTTTTGTTTGGTTGCCAGCAAAAGGAGGGAGAGGAAGGCAAGGTGGGGGAAAGAAAAGGGGTGACTGCCATTTGTGGAGCCACAGTGACATCCAGTGGAAGGTGTTTCTGAACTACAGGCTGCAAGGAAACTTGCCTTCTTCCAGGCACAGACAACAAACAGTGAGGATGTGCCAGGCTGGGTAGACTCAGCCCAAGGCAGGGTTTCCCCCCACCGGGGTTCAAAGCCCTTGAAGGAAGTGTACCTGCCATTGGGACCTCATGGAGAAGCAGCAACTCTAGAGGCCCTGGGACAGAACAACCCGGCAGCCTCAAGACCAGTCTACCCAGTGGGCAGAGACACCCTGTCTTGTGATGGGCATAAGGGAAGCCACTGGGCACTGATGGTCGAGACTGGGGCTGTTTACTCTGGTCTCCTTTGTGGGGAGTTCCAAGGTGCCATTGGCTGGGTCCAAGCTGGGGCCAAGGGGTTCTTATTCTCCCTGGGAACAAAGGAACTTCGGGGTGCTGGGGGCGGGGCGATTCATGCTTGGAAGTCCCTGGAGACTGCCAGGGGAGCCCATGGTGGGGTGCCCCTGCCTGCCCTTTCTTTCAGAGAGAGCTGTGGAGCCAAGGCGCCATCCTGGGAATAAGCACAGGCCAAGGGCCAGTCAGGAGTTCCTCTCTCCTCCTGCTTCAGCCTGTGGACGGCTTGTCGCCATCTGTTTAGCACTCCTGGGCTTTCCCCAGCACTGGTGCTCAGCTGTATCCCAGTGCCAGAAACTGTTTCTGCTTGATGGCAGTAGGGCTCCACAAACACTAACTATAACTGTAACCCTGCTCCTCCACCCCGAGGTCCTCCGCCTTTTCCCATGTGAAAAAAAAAAATAGGAAGGAGAAAGAGAAAAAGTGGGGAGAAAAAGAAAACAGCCACTAGGTCCCAGGTTGACCACCAAACTCAGGGGTCCCAATGACCAAGGCCTGGTAGGCTGGAGACCCTGTGGGAATCCTGTTTCGGCATCCAGCCTTTGCCCTTCCTTTGGCCCTCTCCAGGTTTTGTGGCTGCTTCTAGTGCAGAAAGTAATGACAAAGGACACATAATCATGGCCACTGGGACACCACAGGTGGACTGGGATCATAGGGCTGCCATTCCAGGAGAAAGTGGGAGCCACCCAGCTGGCTTACACAAGGATTTACCCAAGGACTGGGGGCCTATGTAAACCTGGAGCTCCTGGTTGAGATTACCACATTGTCCTGGCACATGCAGGTCACCAGAATGGGCTGATGGCTCAATAGGCAGCCACAGGGCCTGAGGCAGGAGTATCCCTCAGTGGAGACACAGAAAACCTTTTCAATATTCTGAGAGCATTGTGTTCCATGCTGCTCTCCAGGTACCAAGCGGTATGGGTAGGACATGCAACCTTTAGAGCAACGGGGTCATGGCTTTGCACCCAACATGGGCTCTGTATGAAGGCCCTGCACCAGGCTTTTGCATGTCTGCCTGGAGACCCTAAAGGGGCAAAATAATTTGTCCTCCACCGTCTCATTCATTATCTGAGCTGAGTATCTGGCAAGCACCAGAGTTTAGCTTGAGGAGCCCAGAGAGCTCTGTATCAAATCAAGGCACAGCTGCCCCACCACCCTCAAAGACACTCTAGCCTCAACCTCCACTTCCACACCCACCACAGGAACACAGAGGGGCCCAGGAGAAACTGAGCACTGCCGGGGGCCTGGCTACCCATGCACTTCAGCAGAATGACCAAGATGCCGGGGGTACTAACTAGTGAGCCATCACGTTCCAGGGAGCCTGCATGCTCCATCATCAAATATGCCAAGTGGGTCTCTCTAGGAGAGCCACCTGTGGAACCCATCCGGAATATCCCACCCATTCCTGGGCACATATGAGTGCCTGGGTTCCAGTCAGAGAGGTAGCCAAATGCCTCAGACAATAGTCTGTCTCGTCCTGTCCTGCCCCATCCCGACAGATGCCTTTCTCGACCCTGTTCTGCTGGATGGGTCAACAATGTGCAGATGCCTGTTGGACCTGGCTGCCTTTCTTTTTTTCTTTCTTTTTTTTTTTTTTTTTCGAGACAGAGTCTCACTCTGTCACACAGGCTGGAGTGCAGTGGCACAATCTCGGCTCCCTGAAACCTCTGTCTCCTGAGTTCAAGCAATTCTCTTGCCTTAGCCTCCCAAAGTAGCTGAGATTACATGCTAATTTTTGTAATTTTAGTAGAGATAGGGTTTCACCATATTTGCCAGGCTGGTCTCAAATTCCTGGCCTCAAGCAATCTGCCCACCTTGGCCTCCCAAAGTGCTGAGATTACAGGTGTGGGCCACCATGCCTAGCGGACCTGGCTGCTTTTAATCCAAACTTTGATCTCTTTCCCAGGAGGGAGTGTGCTGCCTAGGGACAAGTGTGGTGCACACAAGCAAGTGGCTTGTTTTCCTGTTTATGAGACCTGAGCAGGTTCATAGAGGATTCTGTAGCCACCCTCCTCCAATACCCACACACACCTCCCCTGTTTCCCGGAAATACAAGCTCCCCTCACCATACTACAGCCCCAGTGGTTGTATTTTTTGAAGACAAGCATTCCTTCCTTCCTTCCTACAAGCTCCCCCCACCATGCTACAGCCCCAATGGTTGGATTTTTTGAAGACAAACCTTCCCTTCCCCGCTCCCTTTCTCCTCCCCTCCCCTCCCGTTCCCTTCTCTTTCCCTTCTCTTCTCTTCTTTTTCCCTTTCCGAGAGAATAATCTAGAAGGAATGATGGAAGCAGAGAATCCTCCTACTTTTGCAGGTTTCCCCAATGTGGTCAAGTGGGGGGAGCCCTGCTGAAGTGAGAAGGGTGTACCTTAGTTGGTTCCTCATTTTGTTTTTTAGGTTTTCTTTTGTTTTTCGGATGTCAAGTGCTCACTGCAAAGGGCCACTGAATTGATGGTGCACGAAGCGAAGGAAGGGATGCCCAGAATTAGTGTGTTTAGTGGTTACAATTTTTGTTGTTTATGAAACCACAATGAATAGTTATATATAGTTGCTGTGAAATCAATGCTGCCTTCTTATTTAATCAACGTGCATTTTAAAATTATTCCAATTAACCCTGAGTTCATTTGTCATCCTATTCCTCTGCAGAGTACAAGATGCACTTCTACAAACCTTCAGAAAAATCTAATATAAGGAAATATATTAATGTATTATGAAATAGAACATGTCTCTTGTGGACACTGAATTCTCACAATTAGAATTTTCAATTAACACCTTCCTAAAGTTCTTTAGCAATATATTCTAATTCTGATCATATTTGAGAATTATACTTATCAAAAGCCAGTCAATATTATTTATCGTTGTTATTACAGTTTAATCAGTACTGTTGTGTTAAATAATTTACATTATGTAAATACTAAAATGTGTCTAGGGTCATTTTCTTTTCTTTTCTTTTCTTTTTTTCAGGGAGAGTCTCACTTTGTCACCCATGGTGGAGTGGAGTGGCGCAATCTCGGCTCACTACAACCCCCGCCTCCTGGTTCAAGTGATTCTCATGCCTCAGCCTCCAGATTCACTGGGATTATAGGCATGCACCACCAAGTCCGCTAATTTTTTGTAGAGACAGGGTTTCACCATGTTGGACAGCCTAGTCTCAAACTCCTGACCTCAAGTGATCCGCCCAGCTTGCCCTCCCAAAACATTGAGATTACAGGAGTGAGCAACTGTGCCTGGCCATTTTAGTTTTCCTATATTTATTTACTAAATCTTGCACATTATTTTTCCTATTCGTCTGTTGCCTTCCTTAATGCACTTCGCTAATATGTTATTCTTTTTATTCATTGACAGAGGCAATGTTTTTAAGTACATTATACACTAACTCTTTTTTTATAACCTGATCTTGGTCTTGTTTATGTTTTCTTTCAGTGTAAGTATTTTCTTTATTTAGGTTGTCAATTGTGTTACTTTTTTTTTTTCTTTTTTAGCTGTTGTTTCATGTATCAGGCTTACTTTAATAGGGTGTATCCTTTTCCAAATGGATCTTTTAATTGTTTTTTATTTAGCTGTGGATAAATTAATATATTATAAATTTAACCATTTTATTATTTATTTATTTATTTTATTATTATTATACTTCAAGTTTTAGGGTATATGTGCACAATGCGCAGGTTAGTTACATATGTATACATGTGCCATGCTGGTGTGCTGCACCCATTAACTCGTCATTTAGCATTAGGTATATTTCGTAATGCTATCCCTCCCCCCTCCCCCCACCTCACAACAGTCCCCAGAGTGTGATGTTCCCCTTCCTGTGTCCATGTGTTCTCATTGTTCAATTCCCACCTATGAGTGAGAACATGCAGTGTTTGGTTTTTTGTCCTTATGATAGTTTACTGAGAATGATGATTTCCAATTTCATCCATGTCCCTACAAAGGACATGAACTCATCATTTTTTATGGCTGCATAGTATTCCATGGTGTATATGTGCCACATTTTCTTAATCCAGTCTATCATTGTTGGACATTTGGGTTGGTTCCAAGTCTTTGCTATTGTGAATAGTGCCGCAATAAACATACGTGTGCATGTGTCTTTATAGCGGCATGATTTATAGTCCTTTGGGTATATACCCAGTAATGGGATGGCTGGGTCAAATGGTATTTCTAGTTCTAGATCCCTGAGGAATCACCACACTGACTTCCACAATGGTTCAACTAGTTTACAGTCCCACCAACAGTGTAAAAGTGTTCCTATTTCTCCACATCCTCTCCAGCACCTGTTGTTTCCTGACTTTTTAATGATTTCCATTCTAACTGGTGTGAGACGGTATCTCATTGTGGTTTTGATTTGCATTTCTCTGATGGCCAGTGATGATGAGCATTTTTTCATGTGTCTTTTGGCTGCATAAATGTCTTCTTTTGAGAAGTGTCTGTTCATATCCTTTGCCCACTTTTTGATGGGGTTGTTTGTTTTTTCCTTGTAAATTTGTTGGAGTTCATTGTAGATTCTGGATATTAGCCCGTTGTCACATGAGTAGATTGCAAAAATTTTCTCCCATTTTGTAGGTTGCCTGTTCACTCTGATGGTAGTTTCTTTTGCTGTGCAGAAGCTCTTTAGTTTAGTTAGATCCCATTTGTCAATTTTGGCTTTTGTTGCCATTGCTTTTGGTGTTTTAGACATGAAGTCCTTGCCCATGCCTATGTCGTGAATGGTATTGCCTAAGTTTTCTTCTAGGGTTTTTATGGTTTTAGGTCTAACATTTAAGTCTTTAATCCATCTTGAATTAACTTTTGTATAAGGTGTAAGGAAGGGATCCAGTTTCAGTTTTCTACATATGGCTAGCCAGTTTTCCCAGCACCATTTATTAAATAGGGAATTGTTTCCCCATTTCTTGTTTTTGTTAGGTTTGTCAAAGATCAGATGGTTGTAGATATGTGGCTCCATTCTCATTTCTGATTTACTTATTATTTCAGGTATTTGGTAACGTTTTGTCAATTTTGTTGATATTTTCAAAAAAATCAACTTTTGGTTTGTTTTTCCCTTTATTGTTTTTCTATTCTCTGTTTTGTTTATCTCCACTCTAATCTTTATTATTTCCTTCCTTCTTCTAGTTTTGGGTTTGTTTTGCTATTATTTTTCTTGTTCCTCTAGGTGTAGAGTCAGGTTTCAAGATCTTTCTGCTTTTCTAATGTTGACATTTACAGCTACAAATTTCCCTCTGAGCACTGATCTTACTGTGTCCCTTAAGTTCTGGCATGTTTTCATTTTCATTTATTTCACAATTTTGTCTAATTTCCCTTAAGATTTCTTCTTTGAACCATTTATTAAAAATGTTATATGATTTTCCAGTTTTCCTCTGTTATTGATTTTTAGATTCCTTCCATTGTCATTGTAGAAGATATTGTATGACTTTCATCTTTTTAAATTTATTGAAGCTTGTTTTGTGGCCTAATATATGGCCTATCCTGGAGAATGTTCCATGGCACTTGAGAAAAATGTGTATATTCCTGTTGTTAGATGAAGTGTTCTATACATGCCTGTTAGGTCTATGGGACAGTGCTGTTAGGTCTTTACAGTCTGTTAGATCTACTGGTTTACAGTGCTGTTCAAGTTCACTATCGCTTTATTGATCTTCTGTTTACATGTCTTATCCATTATTGAAAGTAAGGTATTTAAGTCTCCAACTATTATTGTGGAACTGTTTATTTCTCCCTTCAATTCTCCTCCTCTCCTAAGGCATACTCTTCCACCTCTGCTCTGGATCCCATATAATCTCACTTCCTTCGAACTATTCATTATACTCACTTTTTCCTCTCTCTTCAGCTATTCCTCTTTATTTGATCTTTCCTACTGACATTTAAACAAGTTTAAGTCTTTTCCATCTTAAAAGATGGTTCCTTTAACCTTGTTCCCCTCCTATTATAACTTTCTTCCCCTTTTGCTACTCATCACAGCTCAAATTCCTGGAAGCAATGTCTTCCCTATCTTCACCCACTTCCTCACACTCCTCCATGCACTCTTCAATCCACTACAATCTTTTTTCTGTCCCTTCTATGCCAATAAATCTTCTCTTACCAAAGTCACTAATACAGGACCTCCTTTGATAGACTCAATGTTTTTTTTTCCTTCCCTTCTGTCCCCATCACCAATGGATGCTTTTAAATCCTTCTCTTATAAAAATATTTGACACTGTTAACCACACCCTCTTTCTTGAGATAGTTTCTTCCCTTAGGTTTCAGGAATCCTCATTTTCTGCTTACCTTTTTTACTTTTTTTTGTCAATTCAGTTTCCTTTCCAGGACCCACTTCCTCTCCCAGTCATTTCAATGTTTGTGTTCTTCAAAATTTTCTTCTTGACCACTTTTTCTTCTCACAATATACACTTTCCCATGGCTTCAACTCTCATCTATATGATGACAACTCTCACCTATATGCTGATTATCATTCAAGTCTGCATTCTTTGCCTATATTTCTGACATTCTAGTGGACATCTTCACTTGAATGTCTCACAGGTACCTCAAATTCACATGACTGAAAACTAAATACCTTGCTAACTTTCTTCACCTGAATGCCTCCTATTTATAATGTAAGTTTAATTCAAGCCCTATATCTTCCAAGAAGCCTTCTGTGTCTGGGATCACTATCTATCCTTTGTGCTTCCTAGCTTTAGCTTCTTCCTTACAGAAAGATCTTGTCTCCAGCATTAGACTGAGTAGTCTTCAAGAACAGGTGCATGGTTTAGTAATCTGGGTGTCCCCTTTGTCTCATATAGTGCCTAACACAGCAAGTGTTCAGTAAGTGTTGACTGAATAGAACTGAGTTAATTTCAAATTAACACCCTTTCTTTCTTGGAAACGTTTAAGATCTCTTCTTCCACAGTCTCTTCAAATTTCTGGATATTTCATTTTGCCTTCAAGTAGATAACACATTAGATAAACATTCTATTTCACTGTGAGGACACCCATCCAAATAATCATAGGCTTTCTGATTTTTATGATTCAATAGTTGCTGGCTGGGTACGGTGGCTCATGCCTGTAATCCTAGCACTTTGGGAGGCCGAGGCAGGTGGATCACTTGAGGTCAGGAGTTCGAAACCAGCTTGGCCATCATGGTGAAACCCCCGTCTCTACTAAAAATACAAGAGATTATCTGGGCATAGTGGTGTGCACCTGTAATCCCAGCTACTCGGAGGCTGAGGCAGGAGAATCACTTGAACCTGGGAGGTGGAGGTTGCAGTGAGCTGAGATCTTGCCACTGCACTCCAGAGTGGGCAACAGAGTGAGACTCCATCTCAAAAAAATAAATAAATAAAATAAAAATAAAAAGAGTTGTTGAAGTCTTGCCTTCCTCTTGGAGCATCCCCTCAAGAGCTGTTTCAATATCTCTTTCCTCACAGATATCATTAGGGTGCAGCAGAGTTCTAAGGTACTGATAAGGCTTCAAATAAAAACCTATCTGACAAAAGAGTACAGTCTTGTGAAGTGCAAATCAAAACCACAATAAAAAAAATCTCACACCAATCAGGATGGCTACTATAAAAAGTCAAAAAACAATAGCTACTGGTGAGGCTGTGGAGCAATGGGAACACGTATACATTGCTGGTGTGAATGTAAATTAGTTCAGCCACTGTGGAAAGCAGTTTAGATTTCTCAAAGAAATTTTTAAAACAGAGCTACCAATTGATCCAGCAATCCCATTACTGTATACATAACTGATAATAAATAGATCATTATACCAAAAAGACACAAGCACTCGTATGTTCACTACTGTACTATTCACAATAGCAAAGACATTAAATCAACCTAGGTGCCCATTAGTGGTAGACTGGATGAAGAAAATGTGTTTCATGTACACCATGGAATACTATGCAGCCACAGAAAACAATGAAATTATGTCCTCTGCAGCAATATGGATGGAGCTGGAGTCCATAATCCTAAATGAATTAATGCAGAAACAGAAAACCTAATACCACATGTTCTCACTTATAAGTGGGATCTAAACATTGAACACATATGGACATAAACTTGGGAGCAATAAACACTGCAGATTACTAGAGGCAGGAGGGAATGGATGTCAGTGCAATACATCCATGTAATAAACCTGCGTATGTAGCCCCTACAAGTAAAATAATAGTTAAAATTTTAAAAAGAGTACATATTCTGTGATTCCACTTAAATAAAGTTCAAGAATATGCGAAACTAATCAATGGTGACAGATGTTAGAATAGTGGTTACTTTTTGTGAATGTTAACTTGAAAAGGACACAAATGTGCTTTCTAGGGTATTGGAAGTGTTTTATATTTTGATCTAGGTGTTGTTTACACTAGTATATAAGTATATGTACAAATTCATTGAGCTATATACTTAAGATTTATGTACTTTACTATGACTTATACCACCATAAAAAGCAAAAACCTAGAAACAAATGAAGTAACTTCTGTTGTGCATTGTAATTCTTTTTAAAATTCCTAATCAACCAGATGGAAAGGTACTACACTGAGAATTCAATGTACATTCACCAAGTTATTGTTTGACATGTGCAATAATAGACAAATACCAGGCACAGAAATAGTAAAGAGGAAGCAATTATTTTTAGAGGCTGAAGACAGAGGATGAGGAAAAAAAATATTGAGGCTATGACAAATGAGCAGGAATTTGAAGAATGAAGTTCACTAGGTAAACAAGGGTGTAAAGATGTTAGAGGGAGTCAAATGTACAAAGAAATCTGCATGAAATAATAGTATGTTCAAGAAAACCCTAGTGGCACATAAAATCCAAAAAAAAAAAAAGTTGTGTGAGTTTGGGATGAGGTGTAGGAATTGGTGGCAACAGATAAGGCTTGATTAAGAGGTATGCCATACAGAATCTTTTAGGTCATGCTAAGACTTTAGACATTATCATAGAAAGCAAGAAATCATTAAAGGATTTTCATAGGAAGCAAAAAATCATTAAAGGATTTTAAGTAGGGGAGCAATGTGATCAGATATTTATTTTAGAGGCTATTCTAAAGGCTGTGCCAAGAGTCAGTACACAGTACTGGAGGCAGGAGATCAGTTAGAAAACTATTATTGTCATTCAGGAGAAAAATGTTGAGGGTCCAAACCGGGGAATGGGACTAGAGTTTTGGAAATGAAAGATAGAAGAAAAAATCATGGAATATTTTGAAGAAATAACCATTATGACTTGGTGACAGATTAAAAAGTGGAGGTAAGAGAGAAGAAACATGACATATACCCTAGTTTTTGCCTTAGAAGTACTAGTACAAACAATAAAGAATAAAGAGGTTTGTGGTGCTGCTGGTGGGGTGATGAAGAGTTCAGTTTTGGTAACATTCAGTCTAAGGTGATAAGGCAATCACACAGAAAGAGCAGGCAGGTGACTATATGAGTTTGAGCCTGGCATAAAGCTTGTGCTAGAAATACAGATTTGGAAGTCGTCTGCATATATTTTTTTTATTTAACCCAGGACAGTGGGTGAGATTGCCAAGAAGAAGTGAGGATTGAAATAGGAAGATTCAGGAACCACTCAATTTAAGGATCTAGGCTGAGGAGGTACTCAGAAAAAAATAGTTAGAAACAATGGCCAGATATGTAAAAGGAGAACTAGAAGAGAAGAATGTTGTAGAATGGAAGAAAGCAGAGAATTTTAAACGTTGCAGAAGGATCAAGATAAAACCCAAAATCCAGTCATTGGATTTGGGAATTAGAACTATGGTAACCTCTTCCACAAAGCATAATGCATTAGCCATTCTCACAAATCTCTTCATTGTTGTTTAAAAATCGGCATTTTCACTCATTCTTATCTTATTTCTCCTGTGCCAATGGTTTCCAATTCTATCTGGCTCCCTTTCTTAAATATTTTAATGCTTTATTATATTAAGATAAAAATTTCAAAACATCTATAATATGAAATAGAAATAACAAGAAAGTAATTTATAATAAAATATAATGTATTTTAAGACGTAAATGTGCAGCCAGGCATGGAGGTTCATGCCTGTAATCCTAGCACTTTGGGAGGCTGAATCGGACAATCACTTAAGCTCAGGAGTTTGAGACCAGCCTGGGTAACATGGCAAAACCCCGTTTCTACAACAAACGCAAAAATTAGCTGGGCATGACGGCATGTGCCTGTGGTCCCAGCTACTTGGGGGGTTGAGGCAGGAGGATCGCTTGAACCCGGGAGGTCGAGGCTGCAGTGAGATGGGACTGTGACACTCTACTCGAGCCTGGGTGTCAGAGTGAGACCCTGTCTCAAAAAAAAAAAAAAAGGATGCAAATGTGGGGACATGACAACACTAGAAGACAATGAAGTATGCAAAAAATATACAGAGAATGCCTGTAAAGGTGGCAGCTATAATTACTGACTGATGCATGTGTGTTGTTATCTGGATTTCAAATATCCAAGAGCAGCGTTTTTGTAGGTATCACGATTTTCCAAAATGATAAACATTCTTGATAAGATTCTGAACAAAACAAAGGTTTTTACCTTGGATTACATGGTAGTTACATTCCTGGAAAAGTTAGTGTGTATTAAAAACTTGCTTATATATATATAGAATGGAGTTCAATTCAAGGTCTAGATTAACAAAAATAAGTGTTTAATCTGATGATATATTTAAAAGTTGTATGGGATATAGAAAATTTCATTGTGCAGGCTGTCTTGCATATTGCAGGTTATTTAGCAATACTGACCCTGCCCACAATATGTCAGGAAGCACTTCAATAATGATTATCTTAAATGCCTTTCACAAACTTTCCAATCACCCTCTCAGGATTATACTACCTCCATTGAGTACCAATACCCTAGTCTTATCCAAAGAATAAAACAAGTCCTTCTCTTGTCACTGCACCCTCTCTAACAACCAGGCCTATTTCTTTTATTTCTCAGTAACTTTGAATTCTCTTATGTCCTATATCTTCAGTCTCTACCCCTTTTCTTGTTACTTTAAGTCAATAAAACTGCAAGTTCCTACCATTATTTTTTAATACTCCCTTGGCTCTTAATCTTCTTACAGTTATCATTTAATTATAAAATATTGTCCAATTTTTATCCTCCATTCTCATCCCATCTCGTATGCCAGCTACCCTCAACTTGGCACTTCCTAGTAACTCTTCAACCCACTGTAATCTGGCCTCTGCTCTCACAACACGGAAACCGTTAATGCTAAATTCACCAATAAACTTAATTTACAAATTAATAAATATTTTTCAGTACTGAACCCTCTAATGTATATTATGTTGCTGTTCACTACATTTTTCTTAATCGGCATCAGACTTTTTCAGGTTTCCCCCTCATCCTATTACTCCTTTATCTGTTCATCTTTCTCTAGATAATCCTTAAATGTTAGTGGTCCCCAGAATTTCCTTCTCAATCCATAACTTTTCTCTATATATACCTTCTTCTAGATTATTTAATTTACTCTCCTGGTTTTATCTATCACCTTTATGCTGATGGTTATCTAAATATATTTATATGGACAACACTTCTCTTGCAATCTCAGATCTTTACCTGCTTGCCAGGAACCTCCATCTAGGTATCTTACTGAAAATGTTGAAAACCTGCTCTTTTTCTTGTATTCTATAACTCAGTTAGTGATTTCATGTAATACTCAAGCCACATACTTGAGAACTACCCTCTATTATTCTGTTTCCCTTGACATCCCATCTGTGATTGTCTTTTGATGTGTTAATTTGGCTAGGCTAGAGTCCTCAGTTATTCAATTTAACTAGGTTTTGCTGTGAAGCTATTTTGTAGATGTGATTACTGTCTATAATCAGTTAACTTTAAGTAAAGGAGATTATCCTAAATAATTTGGGTAGACCTGATTCAATCAGCTGATGGACCTTAAGACCAGAGCTAAGGTCTCCCTGAATAAATTTAACCTGAGGACATCAGCTTCAGCCCATGTCCAGGAGTTCCAGTCTGTCCTTCCTGAAAGCCCACTCCACAGATTTCAGGCTTGCCTACACAGCCCCCACAAGCCAATTCTTTATAATACATTTCTTAATATATATCTCCTACTGGTTCTATTTCTCTGGTTGAACCCTGATTGATACACCATCTAATCAATAATACTTCATAAAACTTTCTCAAATTCACTGATCTGTGCTCCATCCCAACTACCATTGGCTGAGTTCAAGCCTTCATCACTTTTTGTCGGGATTTTCATACAAGCATCTTAAATGATCTTCTTACCCCAATCTTGCTCTACTATACTATCCTCCACATGGCCACTAGTATGACCTATATAAAATATAAATGTGAACACAGCACTCTCTTTCAAGATTGTCAGTCACATCCCATTTCCTACAGATCTATCTTGAGCCTTTGTAGTGCACAAAGTCTTCATGTTTATGCTTCAGCTTGCTGATCTAGCTCCATCTCTCCACTCCAGGAAAACTACCTACCATACATCTCACCTCCTCCAAAAACCAGCCTACCTCGAGTTCTGTAACTTTGGTCATTATTTTCTCACTGCTTGAAGTTCTTTACCCATCTACAATCATCCATCCTTACTTAGTACCTCATTTCATTTCAAAGACTGAGCTTAGATATTGATCAATACAGGAGGCCATTCCTGGCTCTTCTAGTCTTGCTCATGTGCCTTCTTGTATTCTCTTATAGAACTCTGTGCCAATCTCTATCTACAGAACTTACCAAACCAGTTTATGAACTCCTTGGTGAGTTAGATGTTATATTTTTGTAACCCTGGCACATAAAACAATGCCTGGAATTTAATACATGCTCAATTTAATAGGCATTCTTTAATATTTGTGTTGGTTGAATAAAAGAATGGATGAATCACACACTCGGTGTCAGGTTATGGCTTGCTGCTATAATAAAATCTGTGGTAGGCAAAATGATGGCCACCCAAAGATGTCCACACCACAATTACAAGAATCCATGACTATGTTATTTTACAAGGCAAAAGGAACTTTACTGATGTGATTAAGTTAAGGATCTTGAGATGGGGGAGAATATTCTGAATTATTTGGGTGGGCATACTCTAATTGCATATATCTTTAAAAGCATATCATCTGAGTCAGTGAAAGATGTAATGACAAAAGAAAATGGAGAAATTCTAAGTATGAGAGGGACTCAATTTGCCATGGTTGGCTTTGAAGATGGAGAAAAGAGATGACAATCTAAGGAATTTGGGTGGCCTCTAGAAGCTAGGAACAGCTCTTAGCTCATAGCCAGCAAGAAAGGGATCTCAGATCTACAGATCTACAGTGGCAAGGAACTGAGATCTACAGATCTCAGATCTACAGTGGCAAGGAACGGAATTCTGCCAATAACCAAATGAGCAGGACATATCCCCCCAGAGCCTCTAGAAAGGAATGCAGCCAGCCAACAGCTTGACTTCTCATCAGGTCTGATGAGACCCATAGCAGGCTTCTGGCCTCCAGAACTATAATAAATATGTTCTTTTAAATTTCTAAATTTGTGATCATTTTGTTATGGTAGAAATATAAAACTAATACAGAATCCATGCAATAAAATCTGGCTTATCTTCCCAGAGACAGAAGACCCAGATGCTATGATAACATGTCAGGAGGTAAGAATAACAGGAGAGGAACTCGATCATATCATATTTGCCTCTTAAAAATGATCAATATAGAGTAGTATGAGAAAGTCTTTATACAATGAGAGGGAGAAAAGTGACCAAGTCATAGGAAAAAGTACTTAAGGAGACTGCACATGAAGCTGCTGAAAAAAAAAACTTTATTCCCTATTGAGTTGATTGTGAAAGTTTGTGAATACACAGACAGACAACCAACCGGACTAAGTAAATGCTCTGAAGTAGGAAAATGTGATGGCAGAACAGATATAGAAACTCCTCTTCATGCTGAGCATTTCTGTAAACAGGTAACCTAGACATGGAATATGGTGCAAATTATAAACCATAATTTGACCCGTGTCCAGAAAAGTAACTTTCTTAAGGGGGAAGTAAAAAATACCCACCTAGCTATCTGTAAAATCCCCAAAGGTATCTATGCTCTTGGGATAAACTAGAATTTTGTGCCTAAGAAGGACAGAACATCGCCCATGTAGTCTTCTTGCTAAAAACGCTTAAACTAATCATGGGAAAACAATCAGACACATTTCATACTGTGAGACATATAGAGGAAAACTACCTGGACTCATCAAAAATGGCAACGTCACAAAAAAAGGACAAGAAAAAAAAAGGGAGGGTGCTATTCTAGATTTAAAAAGACTAAAAAGGAGCATGACAACTAAATACAATGCATGACCCCTGACTGGATCCTGGACCAAAACAAATAAAAAGCTATAAAGGATATTGTTAGGAAAATTGTGAGAACTTGATATGGATAGTATATTAGATAATAGTATTGTATCAATGTTAAATTTCTCTGGGTGTAATAGTAATTTAATTGTTCTTAAGAGATATATGATTTAGTGTTTAGGGTTGAAGTGTCATGATATCTGCAAGTTACTTCCCAATGGCTCAGCAAAAAAATCTGTGTATGTATATATACATATATGTATATAGTATTTAGAAAAAGAGATAAGCCATATGTAGCCAAATTGATGCCCTGATGAATCTAAAGTGGTCCCCCCTCATCCACAGTTTCAGTTACCCATGATTAACTGCAGTCTGAAAACAGTAAATGGAAAATTCCATAAACGACTCATAAGTTTTAAATTTCACACCACTGTGAGTAGTGTGATGAAATCTCATGTTTGCTCCAGATGTGAATCATCCCTTTGTCCAGCACATCAACGCTGTATTCCTTACCCGCCCATCAGTCACTTGCTAGCCATCTTGGTTATCCAATAAACTGTTGCAGTATCACAGTGCTTATGTTCACGTAATCCTTATTTTACTTAATAGTAACCCCAAAGTGCAAGAATGATAATGCTGGCAGTTCACATATGCTAAAGAGAAGCTGTAAAATGCTTCCTTTAAGTGAAAAGGAGGAAGTTTTCAACTTAATAAGGGAAGAAAAAAATCATGTGTTGAAGTTGCTAAGACCTATGGTAAGAATGAGTCTTCTATCCATGAAACTATGAATATTGTAATAATTGTTCTATTTTATTACTGTTGTTGTTAATCTTGTATTGTGCCTAACTTATAAATTTAACTTTATCATACATATGTATGTATAGGAAAAAAACATAGTTTATATAGGATTAATTACTCTTCATGTTACCAGGCATCCACTGGGGATTTTGGAATGTATCTCCCTTGGAAAAGAATGGCACTACAATACATGAAAGATATCTTTTGACTTTTCTGTAGAGTTTAAATTCTATAAAATAAAAAATTAGTAAAGAAAGATAATGTTTGGATATATAAAGCTTATCCTTAATACTAATTATAAATTCTATTGGTAAATTCAGAAACAAACAAATCAATGCATTGATTTTTTGGCAGAACATTTTGTAAAAGATAAAAGAAAGAAAAAAGTGAATGAGTAAAACAATGGAAAAAGAAATACCACCAAAAAAGGAAAGGTGGAGTAGCTATGTTAACAGCAAGGAAACATTGGACAGGTCTTCCGAACAGAAAATCAACAAAGAAACATCACACTTAATCTGTACTGTAGACCAAATGGACCTAACAGATATTTACAGAACATTTCATCCAACGGCTGCAGAATATACATTCTTTTCCTCAGCACATGGATCATTCTCTAAAGCCACCATGTTAGGTCACATGACCATATGTTAGGTCACAATACAAGTCTTAAAACATTCAAAAAAATTGAAATAATATGAAGCATCTTTGACCACAATGGAATAAAAATAGAAATCAATAACAAGAAGAATTTTGGAAACTATACAAATACCTGGAAATTAAACAGTATGTTCCTGAATAAGCAGTGGGTCAATGAAGAAACCAAGAAGAAAATTGAAAAATTTCTTGAAACAAATGATAATGGAAACACAACATACAAAAACCTACGGGATAAAGCAAAAGCAGTACTAAGAGGGAAGTTTATAGCTATAAAGTTTAGTTATATATAAGTTTAGTTATTTAGTGCCTAAATAAAAAAAAAGTAAAACTTAAAATAAAGAAACCAATAATGAATCTTAAAGAACTAGAAAAGCAAGAGAAAACTAAACTCAAAATTAGAGGAAGAAAAGAAATAATAAACACCAGAGCCGAAATAAATGAAATTGGAATGAAGAAAACAATACAAAATAAATAAGTAAATGAAATAAAAAGTTGGTGTTTTGAAATGTGAAACAAATTTGGCAAACCTTTACCCAGACTAAGAAAAAAAGAGGGAAGATCCAAATAAATAAAACCAGAGATGAAAAAGGACACATTACAACTGATACTGCAGAAATTCAAAGGATCATTAATGGCAACTATGAGCAACTATATGCCAATAAAGTGGAAAATCTAGACTAAATAGAGAAACTCCTCTACACATATGACATATCAAGACTGAACCATGAAGATAATCCAAAACCTGAAAAGACCAATAAAAAGCCATAATAAAAAGTCTCCCAGTAAAGAAAAGCCTGGGACCTGATGGCATCACTGCTGAATTCTACCAAATATTTAAAGAAGAACTAATATCAATCCTACCTGAACTATTCTGAAAAATACAGGAGGAAGGGATACTTCCAAACTAATTCCATGAGGCCTGATACCAAAATCAGACAGAAACAAATTAAAAAAAAACAGGCCAATATCTCTGATAAATATTGATGCAAACATCTTCAACACACTACTAGCAAATCAAATTCAACAATACATTAAAAAGATTATTCATCATGACCAAGTGGGATTTATCCCTGGGATGGAAGGATGGTTCAACAGTGGTGATACATAGTATCAACACAATGGAGGACAAAAACCATATGGTCATTTCACTTGATGCTGAAAAAGCATTGGATAAAGTTCAACATGCCGTCATGATAAAAACCTTCAAAAATGGGTATAGAAGGAACATACCTCAACATAATAAAACCCATATATAACAGACCCACAGCTAGTATCATACCAAATAGGGAAAAACTGAAAGCTTTTCCTCTAAGATCTGAAACATGACAAGGACGCCCATTGTCACCACTGTTATTCAACATAGTACTGCAAGTCCTAGTTAGAGCAATCAGACAAGAGAAAGAAATTAAGGGCATCCAAATTGGAAAGGAAGAAGTCAAATTACCGTTGTTTGCAGAGGATTTGATCTTGTGTTTGGAAAAGCATAAAGATTCCACAAAAACTATAAGAACTGATAAATTCAGTAAAGTTGCAGGATACAAAATCAACATACGAAAATCAGTAGCATTTCCACATGCCAACATTGGGCAATCTGAAAAAGAAATTTAAAAGTAATTCCACTTACAATGGCCAAACATAAAATTAAATACCTAGCAATTAACTCAACCAAAGAAGTGGGAGATCTCTTTAATAAAAACTGTAGAACACTGATGAAAGAAATTGAAGAGGACACCAAAAAATGGAAAGATAGTCCATGTTCATGAATTGAAAGAATCAATATTGTTAAAACGTCCATGCCACAAAAAGCAATCTACAGGTTCAATGCAATACTTATAAAAATACAAAAAACATTCTTCACAGAAATAGAAAAAACAATCCTAAAATTTATATGGAGCCACAAAAGACCCAGAATAACCAAAGCTATCCTAAGCAAAAAGAACAAAACTGGAGGAATCATATTACCTGACTTCAAATTATACTACAGAACTACAGTAATCAAAACAGCATGGTATTGTCACAAAAACAGACACATAGACCAATGAAAGATAACTGAGAACCCAGAAACAAATCCACACACCTAACAAACTCATTTTCCACAAAGGTGCCAAGAACATACACTATGGAAAAGACAGTCTCTTCAATAATTGGTGCTGGGAAAACTGGATATCCATATGCAGAAGAATGAAACTAGATAGCTATCTTTTGCCATACACAAAAATCAAATCAAAATGTATTAAAGACTTAAGTCAAAGACCTCAAACTATGAAACTACAACAAGAAAATATGGGAAAAATCTCCAGGACATTGATCTGGGCAAAAATTTCTTAATTAATACCCCACAAGCAAAGGCAATCAAAGCAAATATGAACAAATGGGATCACATCAAGTAAAAAGCTTCTGCACAGCAAAGCAAACAGTCTATAAAGTATAGGTGCAATGGGAGAAAATATTTGCAAACTACACTTTTGACAAGAAATTAATAACCAAAATATATAAGGAGCTCAAACAACTCAATAGGAAAAAATCTAATAATTTGATCAAAATTGTGACAAAGATTTGAATAGACCTTTCTCAAAAGAAGATATACAAATGGCAAACAGGCATGTGAAAAAGTACTCATTGTAGTTGATCATCAGGGAAATGCAAATCAAAACTACAATGGGATATTATCTCACTTCAATTAAAATGGCTTATATCCAAGTGACAGGCAATAACAAATGCTGGCAAGAATGCGGAGAAGAGGGAATGCTTGTACACTGTTGATGGGAATGTAAATTAGTACAACCACAATGGAGAACGATTTGAAGATTCCTCAAAAAACTAAAAATTGAGCTACCATATGACCCAGCAATCCCACTGCTGGGTATATACCCCAAACAAAGGAAATCAGTATTATCAAAGAGATATCTGCACTCCCATGTTTGTTGCAGCACTGCTTACAACAGCTAAGATTTAGAAGCAACCTAAGGGTTCATCAACAGATACATGAACGAAGAAAATGTGGTATATATACATAGTGGAGTACTAATCAGTCATAAAAAAGAATGAGATCTAGTTATTTACAACAGCATGGATGGAACTGGATATCATTATGTTAAGTGAAATGGGCCAGGCACAGAAAGACAAACATCACATGTTCTCACTTATTTGTGGAATCTAAAAATCAAAACAATTGAACTCATGGAGATGGAGAGTAGAAAGATGGTTACCAGAGGCTGGGAAGGGTAATGGGTGGTGGGGGAGAGTGGGGATGGTTAACGGGTATACAAAAAGAATGAATAAGACCTATTATTTGATAGGACAGCAGGGTGACTATAGTCAATAATAATATAACTGTATAATTAAATTGTCTGTAACACAAAGGATAAATGCTTGAAATGATGGATACCCCATTGTACATGATGTGATTATTACACTTTGCATGTATCAAAACATCTCATATACCCCATAAATGTATACAACTACTAGGTACCCAGAAAGATTTTACAAAATTAAAAAGACCCAGCAAACAAAAAAAATTTACATTCAAAAAGATAAAAAGAGTTCCTAAAATTGTAAAATATGTATCTATTCTAGACTTGTATGTACATACTAACAATGCCTCAAGTATACAAAGCAAAAATTGTCAAAAGTGTAAGAATTTGACAAATACACAAATACAGTGGGAGATTTTAACTCTCTTGGTAACTGATAGGTCCAGCAAACAAAAAACTTAGGAATAGAGAAGATTTAAACAACACAGTTAAATTTAATGAACAGAACACTACACGCAAAAATTAGATACACAATCTTTCCAGGCACACATAAAACACTAGTTGATCATGTTCTCTAGGACATAAAGCAAGTTTCAACAAACACTAAATAATCATTATCACATAAGCAATATTGTCTTTTAAATGGAAAACAATGACAAAATGTTAAGCTAAAAAACAGCTATATACAATGACTTAGTTTCTAAATACTGTCTCCATAAAAGATAACAGAGGTCTATAGAGAAATGATTAATGGGGTAGGAAGTACAAGACAAGCTTGAAAGTAAGGAAGTAAAAAAATTTTAAAGTAAGTAAAAAGTGTGTTTAAGAATGATGACACATGTCAAAAGACAGGGGAGCCAACTTGAATGGGCAGCCAGTCACTAAATCTGAGACAATTTGGGTATTAAAATAAATAATAACAATAGGGTATTTTTAAAATAAAGTAAAAATCTATGTGTCCAAAGTAATTAATAAACAAATAAATGGAGAAAAAGCTCTACCTTGATGTAGAATATAAACTAATAAATGTACTAAAAATGATGGAGTTTGAAAATTACCATTTTGCATTCATCATAGCAATATCTGATTCAGTCAAGAATTATCAATGGATTTGAAAACCAGTGGATGATAATTTAATGAGGAACAGGATATTTACATAGTCTCAAAGTATCCCCAGCAAAATCATTAATTATAAAGAGGAAAATGATAACTGTAAAGTGGATTAATCTAGCAACTATTCACCACATTAACCAAGTAATCAAAGTTAACTTTACTACTAAAGGGTCAAACCAGCATCATGTACCACCATTATGATGCCCTGAGAACAATACATTACTTCTGTGGTGCTTTTGCTAATATGCGTACTCTGAATAATGGGGAAATGGCACACAAATTTAAATTAAAGGACAATCTATGAAATAAGTGTCCTGTATTTACCCAAGTGTCAATTGTCGATGTGTGATATTGTGATATATATATATTGGTTTTTGTCCATGGTTCCTGGCTTATAACTCCCAAATCTCTTGTTATTTCCTAAGTGACTAAAGAAATAAGCATATCTCTTGTTAAAGTATTTGGTCTTTTGTCTTTGGTTCCTGAAGCAGCTTTGAAACAGCTTCAGAGAAATAAAAGTGAGAGACAGTTTCTCTCTCTCTCTCTCTCTCTATATATATATATATAAAAATATATATATATACATACATATATATATATATATATATATATACACACACAAACACACATATATATGTATAATGTTGGGGCACTTTAGGCTTCACAAAACAGAATCTCTCTCTGACTTTCTCCTGCCCTCCTTTTACCTGCTTTTTTTTTCTCCCAAAGGCAAGCCATAGAAACTAAAAATATACTCTAATCTTCACCCAGCTTTCTGGCTTGGAGCTGGTCGTAAAGAAATTCTCTGACCTACCTAGTTTGACTGTGGGTCATAAGACTCCCATTTCAGAAAGAGTCCTGCCCCATACCCAGGAGGAAGGAATGCTGCACAGAGAAACCAAGAAGAATCTGAACAGACAAGCCTTGCTGGGTTTCTCCACCAAGTCTATTGGTATTAGATCATACCCTTTAGTCCAGTCACATTTCTACATGGTTGTTCATGCTTCATTAGTGCCTATCAGATAAAGTCTTCATAAAAAGCACAAGAGGACAAAGTACAGCTGAATTTGTGGAGGATTTCAGAAAGGTGACAAATAACTCATCCACATGCCAGGAGGGTGGCACACCCTAACTCCACAGGAATGGAAGCTCCTGTGCTCAGTAGCCTTCCAGACCTCACTCTATGTATCTCTTCATCTGGCTGTTAATGGGTAAATGTAAGTAAGTGTTTCCCTGAGTTCTGTGTGTTGTTCTAGCAAATTATTTGAGCCTAAAGAGAGAGGTTGCGGGAACCCTAACTTGAAGCTGGTCAGTTAAAAGTTCCAGAGGCCCAGATTTGAAACTGATGTCTAAAGTTGAGGCAGTCTCGTGGGACTAAGCCCTCAATCTGTGGGATCTGATACTTTCTGTAGGGAGATAGCTTCAGAATTGAATTGGATTGGAGAACACCCAGCTGGTGTCCACTGCAGAATTGTTTACTTGCCTGTCGGTGAGAAAAAATCCCAATACATTTGTTCACAAGCTTTCTGTGTTGGTTGCTGTGGTACAAGAGCCAAAGAAAAACTTTTTTTCCACACAATCAGTGTCAGAAGTGGGGTTGTGAGAATATAATGAGAGAAACTAAGTTTGTTTTTCTATAAACATAAAAGACAAAGAAAGGTCAAGGAATTGTTCCATATTAAAAACTGAAGAGACATGACAAGTAAATGTAATGCATCATCTTGGATTAGCACTTTGACCAAGGAAAGAAAATAACCACAAAAGACATTATTGGGACAACTGATAACATTGGAATATGGCGTAGATTATGATATTGAAACAATGTCAAATTTCTTGATTGTGACACATTTACTGAGGATGTATAAGAGGAAATCATCATTCTGAGGAAATACACACTGACATATTAAGAGGTAAAGGAGAATGATATTTGCAAACTACTGTCAAATAGGAGAAGGAGGAGAGGAAGAGAAAAACAGAATGATAAGGCAAACGTGATAAAATGTTAATTGGTGAATCTGGGTAAAGGACATTCTGGGAGTTCTTTGTAATATTCCTGGTTTTTCAAGTGTGAAATTAAATAAAAATAAAAATTTTAAAAACAC
This sequence comes from Homo sapiens, assembly GCF_000001405.40. NCBI lineage: Eukaryota > Metazoa > Chordata > Mammalia > Primates > Hominidae > Homo > Homo sapiens. The sequence continues at coordinate 56,737,749 of NC_000023.11, read as the reverse complement.
AAATATAAAATTCAATAATAACTACATCAATAAATATCAATAACCACACTTTTTCTATGTATTTAATGAAAGAAAATGTTTTATATTGCCAAATTCTGTTGGGATGAGCAGCCAGTGTATAATTTTTGTATCTTGTTATAAGAAGGATTAAAAAAAATTAAAGCAGGTCAAAATGGCTGGCAAGCAGGCCATTTCAGCATCAGGCAAGTGGCTGGATGGTATTCGAAAATGGTATTACAATACTGCAGGATTCAATAAACTGGGGTTAATGAGAGATGATACAATATATGAGGATGAAGACATAAAAGAAGCCATAAGAAGGCTTCCTGAGAACCTTTATAATGACAGGATGTGTCACATTAAGAGTGCATTGGACCTGACCATGAAGCATCAGATCTTGCCTAAAGAGCAGTGGACCAAATATGAAGAGGAAAATTTCTACCTTGAACTGTATGTGCAAGAGGTTATTCGGGAAAGAAAAGAAAGAGAAGAATGGGCAAAGAAGTAATCATGTAGTTGAAGTCTGTGGATGCAGCTGTTATGAAGATGGTTAAACTTGAAACAAACAATTTTAAGAATTATTTGGTCTGCAGATGTTTTACTTTAAATAAATGTCTATTGTAATGGCTGGAGTTATTCCAAACCTTATACTGAATAACTACTGAATCCATTTACTGTTAAATTTTTTTCCAAATTTTCAAGATGTTTTTAGTAGTGTTTAACTACTTCCTGGAGCTCAGAGGCCACTTTATCAGTTTTCCTCACTGGTTGGATAGCCCATCAGTTTATGTAAGGATGTAACTTCCATGAGTTATAGCCTTATGGAAGCTACTAAATAAAAAAGGGGGTATGCACCCCCTAGTTTGCCAGGATTGAAAAACAGCCTCTTCACTGCTATCCAAATAGATTTGATTTTGCATCCTATCATTTAAAAAGAAATTCTGTATGCACTCCAACATAGGTATACTTAAGTAATATATATACTCCTGTGCTAACATGTAGACTAGAAAACAAAAAGTAGACATTAGAAAAATAGAAGTACAAAAACAAATCATACTTTTCCCCATATCCCAGTGACTTTTCCACTTTGGAAATGATTGTTATAAAGTTTAAGGGTTGGATACTCATCAGTTAAAAGTTTTAAGATTATAAGGTAATTTTTAAAAATATAAATTAGAATCATTGGCCGGGCGTGGTGGCTCACGCCTGTGGTCCCAGCACTTTGGGAGGCCGAGGCAGGCAGATCTCCTGAGGTCAGGAATTTGAGATCAGCCTGACCAACATGGTGAAACCCCGTCTCTACTAGGGATGCGGAAAATTGGCCGGGCATGGTGGCGGGCACCGGTGGTCCCAGCTGTTTGGGAGGCTGCGGCAGGAGAATTGCTTGACCCCGGGGGGCGGAGGCTGCAGTGGGCCTAGATTGCGCCACTGCACTTCAGCCTGAGCGACAGTGGCTCTGTCTCAAAAAAAAGAAAAAAATAGAATTATTCAATGTTGTCATCATTTCCACCCCTAAATTCTGAAATGCTTTCTTTGGTGGAGGTGAGAGTGTGGAGCCACAGCTAGTAGAGAAGGAACAGTAGGATATGCAGCCTCCCTGGTTTTCCAGGACGAGTCATTGCTGCGTGCGGCAGGAATGCCTTACCTCAACTAACAAAACAGTGTGAAAAACAAATTTGTGTTACATTTAAAATTTGTAAAGCAACGAGAAATGTGTGTATCATAAAGAGCATATTTAAATTTTTGCTAAAATATCAAGTCTCATATTCCCTAGGAACCACCCCCCATTTTTTTTTTTTTTTTTGCTAGTCAGATTATTTTTCTAAACCTATCTTGAAATCATGTCAATTTTCTTTTGTCTGGTTCAAGACAACTAAATCACTTGATAATGGTTTTGCTCAGGTCACATTGTGACAAGGTTTTAGTGTAGCCCTACTTCGCAGAAGGAGGCAGAAAAGACGGACTGTCTAGAACCCCCTTTAAAAGCATTTGTCTATTCAGAAAATTTTCCTGAGTAGATCTCTCCAAAGTCTCTTTTAATTGTGATTTCAAGATCACTTTTGCAGGACTCTGGTCTATTTGTTCAGACATCTACTGTGCACAATTACAAGGAGACTAGAACTGAGGCATCTCAAAGAGCACTGTCAAGGTGTGTAGGGAGCCGGGTGGGTGGAGGGAGGCTGGGCTCTGACCCTAGAAACCATGCTTATGAATGCTGTTAATGTTTAAAGCAAGCCTAAGGGCACTGCTGAAGGACAGGGGAACAAATAGAATGGACCAAGATTGAGGTATAACAAGAACTCCCAGGCTATCCACCTGCTCAAGGTAAAAAGTGTGATATTACATAGGGCAACCTCTGATTTTGTGAGAGTTCTTCCTAAAGTCACAGTGTATGCCTATTCTATGTTTCCAGATTACTTCATTCTTCCAAACGAGACCAAGTGTGCAAAAGTTCTTTGAACACTATATCAATGTTTTGTGTTCATTATAAATTATGGTTATCGTCCTGCTTGTTATGAAGACTAAGAAAGTAGATCTAGTATTTGGCTCACATAGGTGAAAAGGTGAGAATTTGTTAATCCATCAGTGAAGTCCTTTCATTTGAAAGAGAGGGCCTTTCTATTATCAAAAGCTGTCCTGTGTGAAAAATCACCATGAAAGTACCTGAAACACACAGGCTTGTTGTCCTGTAGACAGAATGGTAGAGTGATTCAGAGCTAATTCTGGGTTAGACTGCACAGGTCTGAATCTATTTGCTCACTGTGTAGTGCTTTAGGAATACAATTTAACCTCTCCGTGCTTCAGTTTCTTTGGCCCTAAGATAGAGCTAATGATAGAAACCAACTTTACACAGTTGTGAAAATTAACTGACTACATGTCAAACAGTCTCTGGCACATAGTATGCATAATGTAAATTATGTGATGAGAAGCGAGAAAAAATAACTTGGGAAAACACTGAATATCATCAAAGTTGAATAGCTAACCAGTAGCTAAAGTCCAAGGTCCCCTCTCTTCCTTCTATGTGGCACTCTTGTTTTTGGTCCATCTACTCCCCTTGGGTGTTACCTCCTTGAGTGAAGTACCTGCTGGAGATGAGAAGAGTGGAACTGGATCTGCATGACAGCTTTGATTAGGATGGAGCTAAGACTTGGTTATCTCCCTGTTTTGTGTTTTGGATGGGTGACATTTTAAAACTGCCAACATTAAAATCTTGCTAATTTGCTTTGTACAGTTTAAAATGTTTGATATCTTTTATTGTTTAAAGTTTGAGATTGGTTTTGAATATATGGTTTTCCTACATCTTGAAGAAGGATATGTTTGTTTGCTCTGAAGTGGTCTATGTTCTGTTTTTCTATTTTATTATACTTTGCAAAAAACAGATGGCTGGCTTATGTTCACTGTTGTAGTGCACTACCTAGTATCACTCAGCCTTCCTGTTGTCAAGGTGTAGGAAGCAGTGTAAGGGATGTTGGGCCTTCAGACCCCCAATTGCCAACTCTGGTCCTAGTTCCAGATTGCATGGACATATTTGATAACATTCCTGCACTGAGTTATCACGGTCTGAATATTTATGTGATGCTCTACGAGTGGTACCAAAATGTTAGTGATGGAATTTTCACTAATGGCACCTTTTCCTGTTTTTAAATTCTAGAATCTTAATAAATCCAAAGTGTACATTTTGGTAATGATTTCATTTAGCTATTTACTCTAAGGACTGCCTTTTAAAGCATTAACTCTGCAATAACTTTAACTTATGAAAAGATTCAGCAGTAAGAATAAAAACTAGGCCAAAGCACAAAGTAATAATCCTTCACAAATAAGATGGAGTTATAAAAATATGGGCATCCTGTGTGTAGCTTTGAAAATAACCGAAGTACTTGGAACTAAAAAGTTAGGTGAACATAAAAATTGTCATAACCAAATCCTTGACAGCTTGATGGATGAAAAGCAGATGGGTTTACACTGTATGGGAGGAGGCATGGATTTTAGGAAGGACAGCATCAGAGAGGGATGGTTAGAAAGTGAACAAGACACATTGCTCTTTGGAAAACAAGGAAAGTCCCTTAATTAGAACAAGGCATGAAATTCTGCCACTAGGTGGCGATGCCCTATAACTTTACAACTTAGGGTACATCACACCAGCACTATGGAAGGTTTCTCCATTCTGCACCCCACCAGCTCCCTCCCCTCCTTCATTTTTCAGGATGACAACACCTTAGAGGTTTATGGCCATCAGGAGAGTTTACTACTAAGCTATATACTGATCTAATGAAACCTAATATATGTTGTGCAATGAATTATGAGTTATTTAGTTTCAGGATTTTATTAATTCAATCAGTTATGACCATATTTCCTTTTATATGATTGTTCACTCTTTATACATACCAGATGACTGTATAAAGAACATCTAATAAAGTCTATAGATGTAAAAAAAATTAAAAAAGAAAAATAAGATAAAGTTAAACTAGAATGGGAATAATGTAATGATTTCATAATATATTTTTTAAAAAAGGAATCCCATATGATTAGAAATTGAAAAAAAACAAACCATGGGTCAAAAAAATCATAAGAGAAATTTAAAAATAATAAATATTGAATGATAAAAATACTATATATAAAAGTCTGTGAAATATTTCTAAAGTGGTAGAAGAAAATTTATAGTTCTAAATTCTTATTTTACAGAAGAACATTGAAAATTAAGATGCTAAAGATTCAACTCAATAAATTAGAAAAAGAACAATAAAAGGAAAGTAGAAGAAAGTTCAATATAAAAATAAAAGTCAAAATGATTAAAATAGGAACCAAATATCCAATGACGAGGCTCGATGAAAGCAAAAGCAAGAAATACATTAGAAAATTGATTATTGTAATTTATCACATGGTCACACTGTGATATTAATGGTGAAGAAAGGATATGAAAGTGGCAGTACATATAGACGGGAAAAAACTTCATAATATTTGTAATAAAACCTCTCAGCAAACTAGGAACATTAAGAAAGTTCCTTAACTTGAGAAAGACAATCTACTAAAAAAGGTGAAACTTTTGTAGAATTTAGGAACAAAATAAGGAAATCCTCTACCAATGCTGTTGTTCCTCTTTGTACTGAAGATCCTAGCTAGCACAGTAATATAAGGTAAAGAAATATTGTAAAGAAACTGTCATTATTCAAAATATAATTAATTAACAGATAATCCAAGAAAATCTATACATTATTAGAATAAACAGAATTTAAGAAGGCTCCAGCATATAAAATAAATATACAAAAATATCAATCATGTTCCCATTTACTAGAAACAATTAGAAAATGTAGTTAAAAAGATGATATATTTCACAGTAATAATAGAAACTATAAGTACAAGTGAATCTAACAAAACATTTCTTCAGATTACACTATTATTATGAATATGTTTTCATATAATGTAGAATATAGTTTCAATTTTATCATTTGCTGCTATCTTTTTGAGTTTTGTTTGGCTACTTTTTAATGTGTCAAAACCAACTCTTTTTTTTCTCTTCCTCCTCTTAATAATTTTTGGTAAAGAGATTACCTTAAAAAGCACAACTTCCAGGTTCAGGACACCAGAAAAAGCAGGGTAGCATTGTAAATAATCTTCATTGTTTTCACCAGGTGAACTATTATATGAATGCACCAGGGAAATGGAGTCATACTGCAATCACTCAAAGACTGAAAAATAGTAAAAAATATTGTGGCATCATTTTTTCTGTTTTTGTCCATCTCTTTGTCCCTTGGTCTCCTCAAATCATTATCCTTCCCATACCTCTATTTCAATGATTTATTCCTATAAAACAGTTGTATACATAGTATTAGAAGGGATGTATTATATAGAAGTTTAGAGCATAAACTCTGGAATCAGGTGTTCTGGGTTCAAAGCTCAGCTCAGCTACTTCTTGCTGTGTAACTTGTGGCAAGTCATACAACTTCCCTTGGTCTATACAAACTTCTCTAGTAGAGTTGTGATTAAATAAATTATAACATGCAAAGCCCTTTAGAAAATTGGCACATAAATCTTCAGTAAATATTGGCTATTATTACAATTATCAGTGATTTGAATCACTTGGAGGGGAAATTATGTAGCTACTGCACTTATTGTTTTGTTCTTTTGTTTTCTTTTCTTTTTCCTTTTTATTTTTTAAAATTATTTATTTATTTATTTTTTACACCGAGTCCCGGTCTGTCGCCCAGGCTGGAGTGCAGTGGCATGATCTCGGCTCACTGCAATCTCTGCCTCCTGGATTCAAGCGATTCTCCTAATTCAGCGTCCCGAGTAGCTGGGATTATAGGCACACAACACCATGACCGGCTATTTTTTTTTTTTTTTTTTTTACTTTTAGTAGAGATGGGGTTTCGCCATATTGGCCAGGCTGGTCTCGAACTCCTGACCTTAGGTGATCTGCCCACCTCAGCGGCACAAAGTGCTGGGATTACAGGCGTGAGCCACTGCGCCCGGCTGCTCTTTTGTTTTCTATCTGAGCAATTTTCTCCCTACTCCCTGCAACCTTCCACTCCACTACCCCTTTGAATAGAGGTAAACATGTGAGAAGTAAAACTGTATGGAATGACAGGGAGATGCTTTCAAGTAAAATAGATTTCTATTTTTTTTTTTCTATGCATTACCACCAAACCCAATGTCTAAAACTTTTTTGGTCGCCAAAGTTGTCCCATCATTCATTGATTTATTTATTGAAATATCTGTTTCACTCCTATTATGTACTAGGCACTATGCCTTGGCCATCCATCCCCTACAGCTCTCAGAATAATTCCTACCCATTGCAAGGGCTTCATAAAGGTTTACTGCACGAATGAAGAAAAGATGCTTCTCTCCTTTGAATTAAAAGGATCTATAAAACTTGGGTCAGATTCAGTTTTATAATTTGCATTCTATAAAGTTCATCTAAATATCAGAGATTCCTTTTCTGATAGTAAGAATAGGAATCTTAAAATACAAATAGTAGCACTTGATGGATATTGGAATGAAGTATATGCTCAGCATAACATTTAAGGCCCTGAAGCACTTTATCTTCACCTCCTAGTCCTTCTTGTAGATTCAAAATTATAGCCAAGCTGTTTCCAGAAGAATTCTGCCTTTTCTCTGGAAACCCTCGGCCTGAAAAGCATTCCCTGCCCCTCCACATGGCAGATGTCACTCAACCTTTAAGGCCCACCCAAAGTTCCTCCTTCCTTTTTTTTTTTTTTTTTTTTTTTTTTTTTTTTTGAGACGTAGTTTTTTGCTATTGTCGCCCAGGCTGGAGAGCAATGGCGCGATCTCGGCTCACTGCAACCTCTGCCTTCCAGGTTCAAATGATTGTCCTGCCTTAGCCTCCCGAGTTGCTGAGATTACAGGCGTCCACCATCACGCCTGGCTAATTTTTGTAACTTTAGTAGAGACGGGGTTTCACCGTGTTGGCCACGCTGGTCTCGAACTCCTGACCTGATCTGCTCACCTCGGCATCCCAAAGTGCTAGGATAATAGGCGTGAGCCACCGCGTCCGCCCCCCTACTCCTCCTTTTTGATGGCTCATGATTACTACCAGGCAGTGACTTGGTCCATCCTCCACCCTTCCTGAATACCTTGAACAAGCAAACATTATGGCACTTGGATTTGACTATCACATTGTAGCTTTAAAAAAAAAAATTCAACTCTCCTGCCTTACACAGAGAAAGACATACACTTCTGAAGGCTGGCCTTCAACAGATGCTTTTTATTGGCCTTGAACCAGCCTTTTTTTTTTTAACAAAAAAATTTTCCAATGCACGCAAAAGTAGAGAGAATAATATAATAAATCCCTACATATACATCACCCAGCTTTAAATTATCAACTCATGAGCATTTTTATTACACTTTCCCTCCACCTTGGCACCAATGACTTACTTTCAAGCAAATCAAAAGATTCAAGTCTATTTCTTAGAAAATATAACTACAATTATTTCATCTAAAATATTACAAATAATTATTTAATGTCGTTAAATATCCATCATTTCATTCAAGCATATTTTGTGAAAGAGCTGCTTAATCCCTGCATGTTATTTTTTCTATTTTGAAATCATGGAAAGAACAGGGAAAAGGGGAAGGAAATTTGTGAGAATGCATAAATAAGTTTCAAAGAGCCTAGATGTCCTAGATGAGAAAGAATCTGACCTGGTTTAGGGTGGGAGAAATTTATTTCTCTACTTCTCCGGAGGAGGAGGGTGCGACTTCAGGCCGGCTGATGCAGGAGGAGGTGCGGAGGGTAGAGTGGTACTACCTCCGTTGGGAGTTCCTTCCGGATAATCCCAACGCGGAGCGAGGAGGCAGCGCTTTTTTGGAGGCTTGGCTTCCCGTGCGTTTCCAGGTGGGAGAGTGGATCTCCCGGAGGCACAAGGTTGGTCTCCCATAAGGATTACAGAAACGGGTCGTCAGTTTTCTCCGGTGGGCCCTGGCAAAGCCAAGAGACCTGAGATGGCGGCGAGTCCCCTCCAGGCACAGAGCTGGCTTCCTCCTGTTTCGCTCTTACCGTATTTCCTGTATCCTGAGACGTACATCCCTTCTCCGCCTCCACCCCTCCTCCCTACCCCATTCTATTTTAATGTTTCTATTAGGATGGGTGTTAAAAACCGATGTCGTTATTTAATATAGTGTTTTTCCATCGCGCCCCACCCCCACTAAATGTAAATAAATTTATTGAGAATTTAATATAATTTATGCAATTTTAAGATGAGAAGAAATTCAAGTTTACCTTTAAGTGGTAAACTCTGAATGGCTTATATGTGTGGGAGGGACGCGGGGGTGGGCGGTAACCAAATAAATTATTGAAGAGCTTTACAAGCCAGCTGCAGATGCACATCACAGAGCTGTGAAACTAGCTACAAACATTTAAAAAGCAATATGCAAACATGTAAGTTGACTAGAGTGCAGAATAGCACACTAGCACAAACCATGGAAATTGAATGTGGAAAATGAATTCACCGTATGTCATAGAATCTAAGATCATTTTTTCTTTATTTTTTAAGCAAATTTGTAATTTTTGAAGGCTTATTATGTTTTTCCCCAAATTTGAATATCTAGGAAATCTCTGCGACCTAACAATTGATGGTACACTATACTTTAGTTGGCAGCTTTTTTTTTTCTTTCTTGTAGGTATGGAAAATAATGACCCATCTTACTAGTGATGATATGTTATATTCTATGATTTATGGTAACCAGAAGAAAGTACCACGTGTCTCAGAAGAAAAGGCTTCTGGAACTTCTTAGACCTTCATTATTAAAATAGCCTACACATCCATCTCCCTTTAGCTATGGACAAACTAGATCACACTTCTTCAGCTTTGTTCTCAGTGCTTTTTGTTTGTTTTTTGTTTTTTTAAATGGAGAGAGCTTAGTCCTTAATGCCAGAGTAGAAGTGCCTGTTAAACTCTGCTGTTTACAAGCTCTGAGCTCTTTGAGTAATTATTTAAATTCTTGGAACTTTGGTTTCTAGGCCATAATTTTTTCCTTGCAAAGGTGTTTCCATAACCAGGGATAATACATGTAAAGCATTTACTACTATAACTATCTCTTATCTCCACCCTTCTACCTTCCTCCAAGTAACCAGCACAGCCCTTTACACAAATTAGGTACTCAGTAAATATTTGGGAAATAAATGACCCCGTGGTTTTGTGCCAAATGCTACTAATAAAGACAGAAAAGTCAGATGTAGCTGTAGCTTAATGAAAAGATGTGAGGGAGGCATTGAGAGAGGCAATATTTTAGAGCTAGAAGAGTAGTTGGAACTAGACATACTGATGTGGGAGACAGCAACATAGAGGTGATAGTTAAAGACAAGGGAATGGATTATATCCCCAAGAGAAAATCTAAAGGAAAAATAATTGAGCTAAAAACAGAATATTGAGTAATTAGAGACAGATAGAAGAAAAGAAGTCTGCTGCAAAGGCTGAGAAAGAGTGGTCAAAGTCAGCGAAGAAGATTCTAACCCAGAGTTTCTCAATCTTGGTGCTATTGACATTTGAGGCCAAATCAATCTTTGTAGTGGTTGCCAGAGTTTACCGTTTAGCAATGTCCTAAGCTAAGCCTCTACCAACTATATGCCAGTACTACTCCCTACTCCTCAAGTTGTGATAACCAAAAAGATTTCCAAACATTGCCAGATGTCCCCTCGGGTACACAATTGTCCCCAGTTGAGAACCATTGGTCTATCCTTAATCCACCAAATTTGCTCCTTTCCTAGTTTTTTTTTTCTTTCATCTCAGTGAAATGTTATGCCTTCCACTCAGATATACAAGTCAAACTTTGGAGTCTTTATTTTTAGAAACTGAAGAATATTTTATTATTTATTCAAGTAAATGAAGTAACAATTTCACAGTCTTTTTACATAGGTCTCTAAATCTTCACGACTAAAGACATTAAGAGTTGCAGTTAAGTCGTTCTATAGCTATAGTTTTAGCAAATTAAGAGAAATATGTGCCTCGTTAGTAAAGTAACAGGAATTAAAAATTTTATCAACTCCAGCTAGGTTTAATTTACGGTAAACATTTGACTTGAGGTGAAAACAGTCCCAACTTAGAGTTGCTTCTATCAACATTGACTATTTATACCACAATTAGATTTATTTATTTATTTGTTTATATGCTTTGTGGTAAAGCATACATAACATAAACTTTACCATCTTAACATTTTTTAAGTGTACAGTTCAATAAGGTAAAGTATATTCTCATTGTTGTACAACCAATCTCGAGAACTTTTCCATACCTATCAAACAACTCTCCATTTTACCCTCCTTCCAGCTGCTGGAAACCACCATTATACTTGCAACTGGAATTTTGTTTGTTTTCATTATATTAAAACGGAGATCTAAAGCCTTTATTATTCCAGGTTTCAAAACAGGTTTTTTTTCCATCATCTTTTTTTTTTCAACATCAGTGAACCAGCTGAATGTGAATCATGAAGCCAGAAGAGGGCACTGTTAGGTTGGAGGAACATAGAGGCCAATTTGAGAAGTGCTACAGATCCAACTCTCATAATTTACAATGATCAAAAGATGACAATAGAAAATAAAACTAAACCCACCTCTGAGTGATAGTAAATGGTTTTCATTTAGTTTTTTAAATTGAGAAGTTGGGTGATTAATTTGATTTCTTTTGAAAATTAGCTTTTCTTTTTAAAATTTTCTTAATTTTTAAATTTTTTTATTTCTATAGGTTTTTTGGGGAACAGGTGGTATTTAGCTACATGAGTAAGTGCTTTAGTGGTGATTCGTGAGATTTTGGTGCACCCATCACTCGAGCAGTATACACTGAACCCAGTTTGTAGTCTTTTATCCCTCATGCCCCTCCCACCCGTTCCCTGAGTCCTCAAAGTCTATTTTATCATTCTGATGCCTTTGCGTCCTCATATCTTAGATCCCACTTATGAGTGAAAACATACGATGCTTTGTTTTCCATTCCTGAGTTATTTCACTTAGAATAATACTGTCCAGTTCCGTCCAGGTTGCTGCAAATGCCATTAATTCGTTTGTTTTTAAGGCTGAGTAGTATTCAATCATATATATATATATACACACACACACACACACACACATACATATATATATAACAATATTGTTATATATATATAACAATACATATATTGTTATATATATATAACAATACATATATTGTTATATATATAACATATATTGTTATACATATATTGTTATACATATATATAACAATTTTGTTATACATATATATAACAATATTGTTATAGTGTATATATTTATACATATATGTGTATATGTTTATACATATATATGTATATATTTATACATATATATGTATATATGTATAAATATATATATGCATATGTGTCTATATACCCATATATGTGTATATGTATATATACACATATATGTACACACATATATGTACATATATGTGTATATATACATATATGTGTATATGTGTATATACATATATGTGTATATGTGTATATATGTATATATGTTATATATATGTGTATATATGTGTATATGTGTATATATGTGTATATATGTTATATATGTATATATACATATATTGTTATATGTATATATAACAATATAACAATATTGTTATATGTATATATAACAATATAACAATATTGTTATATGTATATATAACAATATAACAATATTGTTATATGTATATATAACAATATAACAATATTGTTATATGTATATATAACAATATAACAATATTGTTATATGTATATATAACAATATAACAATATTGTTACACACACACACACACATATATATATATATGTATAACAATTTTGTTATCCTCTCGTGTGATGGGCATTTGGGCTGGTTCCATAGTTTTGCAATTGTGAATTGTGCTGCTATACACTTGCATATGCAAGTATCTTTTTCGTATAATGACTTTTCCTCTGGGTAGATATGCAGTAGTGGGAGGATTGCTGGATCGAATTGTAGTTCTTCTATTAGTTCTTTCAGGAATCTTCACACTGTTTTTCATAGTGTTTATACTAGTTTACATTCCCTCCAGCATTGTAGAAGTGTTCCTTTTCAATGGCATCCACACCAACGTCTATTATTTTTTTGATTTTTTGATTATGGCCATTCCTGCAGGAGTAAGGTGGTATCACATTGTGGTTTTGACTTGCATTTCCCTGATCATTAGTGATGTTGAGCAGTTTTTTATATGTTTGTTGGCCATTTGTATATCTTCTTTTGAGAATTGTCTATTCGTGTCCTCAGCCCACTTTTTGATGGGATTTTTTGTTATTTCTTCTTACTGATTTGTTTGATTTCATTGTAGATTCTGGGTATTAGTCCATTGTCAGATGCATAGATTGTGAAGACTGCCTCCCACTCTCTGGGTTGTCTGTCTACTCTGTTCGCTCTTCCTTTTGCTGTGCAGAGGCTCTTTAGTTTAATAGTCCCACCTATTATCTTGGCTTTTGTTTTAATAGTCCCACCTATTATCTTTGTATTTAGTCCAACCTATTTATCTTTGCTTTTGTCGCATTTGCTTTTGGATTCTTGGTCATGAATTCTTTGCCTAAGCCAAAGTATAGACGGATTTTATCAATGTTACCTTCTATATATATACATTTTTTTTTTTGAGACGGAGTTTTGCTCTTGTTGCCCAGGCTGGCGTGCAATAGCGTGATCTCGGCTCACTGCAACCTCTGCCACCCGGTTTCAAGCGATTTTCCTGCCTGAGACTCCCGAGTAGCTGGGATTACAGGCATGCGCCACCACCCTCGGCTAATTTTTTGTATTTTTAGTAGAGAAAGGATTTCTCCATGTTGGTCAGGCTGGTCTCAAACTCCCGACCTCAGGTAATCCACCCACCTTGGCCTCCATGGTGCTGTCATTACAGGCGTAAGCCACCGCACCCAGCCATCTTCTAGAATTTTTATAGTTTCAGGTCTTAGATTTAAGTCCTTGATCCATCTTAATTGGATTTTTGTATAACCTGAGAGATGAGGATACAGTTCCACTTTCCTACATGTGGCTTGCCAATTATCCCAGCACCATTTGTTGATTAGGGTGCCCTTTTCCCACTTCATGTTTTTGTTTGCTTTGTCGAAGATCAGTTGGGGGTAAGTATTCGGGTTTATTTCTGGATTCTCTATTCTGTTCCATTGGTCTCTGTGCCTATTCTTATACTAGTACCATGCTGTTTTGGTGACTGTGGCATTATAGTATAGTTTGAAGTCAGGTAATGTGATGTCTCGGGATTTGTATTTTTTGCTTAGTCTTGTTTTGGCTATGTGGGCTCTTTTTTAGTTACATATGAACTTTAGAATTGGTTTTTCTTTCTGTGAAGAATGTTGGTGTTATTTGGATGGGAATTGCGTTGAATTTGTACTTGCTTTGGCAGTATGGTCATTTTCACAATATTGATTTTACCCATCCATGATCCTGGGATGTGTTTCCATTTATTAGTATCATCTATGATTTCTTTCAGCAGTATTTTGTAGTTTTCCTTGTAAAGGACTTTCACCTCCTTGGTTAGGTATACTTCTAAGTATTTTGTTTGTTTATTTATTTATTTTGCAGCCATTGTAAAGAGGGTTGAGTTCTTGATTTGGTCCTCAGCTTGGTATCTGTTGGTGTATAGCAGAGCTACTGATTTGTGTACTTAATCTTGTATCCTGAAACTTTACTGAATTCATTTATCAGTTCTAGGAGCTTTCTGGAGGAGTCTTTAGTGTTTTCTCGGTATACAGTCATATCATCAGCAAACAGTGACAGTTCAACTCTCTCTTTATTACTCTGGATCCCCTTTATTTCTTTCTCTTGTCTGATTGCTCTGGCTAGGACTTTCAGTACTATGTTGAATAGAAGTGGTCAGAGTGGGCTTCCTTGTCTTGTTCCAGTTCTCTCATGGAATGCTTTCAACTTTTCCCTGTTCAGTATTATGTTGGCTGTGGATTTGTCATAGATGGCTTTTATTACATTGAGGTATGCCTCTTGTATGCCGATTTTGCTGAGGGTTTTAATCACAAAGATGTGCTGGATTTTGTCAGATGCTTTTTCTGAATCTATTGAGATGATTATATGATTTTTGTTTTTAATTCTGTTTATATAGTGTATCACATTTATTTATTTGCCTATGTTAAAGCATCCCCCTGCATCTTTGGAATGAAACACACTTGATCATGGTGGATTATCTTTTTGACATGTTGCTGGATTTGGTTAGCTACTATTTTCTTTCTTTCTTTCTTTCTTTCTTTCTTTCTTTCTTTCTTTCTTTCTTTCTTTCTTTCTTTTTCTTTCTTTCTTTCTTTCTTTCTCTTTCTTTCTCTTTCTTTCTTTCTTTTTTCTGAGATAGAGTTTCGCTTATGTCATCCAGGTTGGAGTGCAATGGCACAATCTTGGCTCACTGCAACCTCCTCCTCCTGGGTTCAAGTGATTCTACTGCCTCAGCCTCCTGAGTAGCAGCTGGGATTACGGCCACCTGCCACCACGCCTGGCTAATTTTTATATTTTTAGTAGAGACGGGGTTTCTCCATGTTGGCCATTCTGGTCTTGATCTCCTGACCTCGTGATTAGCCTGCCTCGGCCTCCCAAAGTGCTGAAATTACAGGCATGAGCCACCACACGCGGCCAGTTAACTAGTATTTTCTTAAGAAATTTTGCATCTATGCTCATCAGAGATATTGGTCTGTAGTTTTCTTTTTTTTTGTTATGTCCTTTCCGGGTTTTGGTATTAGGGTGATACTGGCTTCATGGAGTGATGTAGGGAGGAGTTTCTCTTTATCTTGTGGAACAGTGTCAATAGGATTGGTACCAATTCTTTTTTGAATGTCTGATAGAATTCAGCTGTGAATCTGTCTGTTCCTGGACTTTTTTTGTTGGTAATTTTTAAAATTACCATTTCAATCTCGCTGCTTATTATTGGTCTCTTCAGGGTTTCTGATTCTTCTTGATTTAAGCTTGGAGGGTTGTATATTTCCGGAAATTTGTCCATCTCCTGTAGGTATTCTACTTTGTGCACGTAAATGTTTGCATAGTAGTCTTGAATGATCTTTTGTATTTCTGTGTTGTCAGTTGTAATATCTCTCATTTTTGTTTTTAATTGAGCTTATTTAGATCTTCTCTCTTTTCTTGGTTAATCTTGCTAATGGTCAATCAATTTTATTTATCTTTTAAAAATACCAGCTTTTTGTTTCATTTATCTTTTGAATTTTTTTGTTTCAATTTCTTTTAGTTCTGCTCTGATCTTCATTATTTCTTTTCTCCTACTAGGTTTGGGTTTGGTTTGTTCTTGTTTTTTTATTCTCTTGAGGTGTGACCTTAGATTGTCTATTTGTGCTTTTTCAGACTTTTTTGATATAGGCATTTAAGGCTATAAACTTTTAGCACCATCTTTGCTGTATCCCAGATGTTTCAATAGATTGTGTCACTATTATCATTTAGTTCAAAGAATATTTTAATTTCCATCTTGATTTCATAGTTGACCCAATGATCATTCAGGAGCAGGTTATTTAATTTCCATGTATTTGCATGGTTTTGAGGGTTCCTTCTGGAGTTGATTTTCAATTTTATTTCAATGTCGTCTGAGAGAATACTTGACTTAATTTCAATTTTCTTAAATGTATTGAAATTTGTTTTGTGGCCTATCATGTGGTCTATCTTGGAGAAAGTTCCATGTGCTGATGTATAGAATGTATATTCTGTGGTTGTTGGGTAGAATGTTCTGTAAATATATTTTAAGTTTATTTATTCTAGGATATACTGTAAATTTATTGTTTCTTTGTTGACTTTCTGTCTTGAGGACCTGTCTAGTGCCATCAGTGAAATATTGAAGTTCCCCACTGTTATAGTGTTGCTCTCTACCTCATTTCTTAGGTCTAGTAGTAATTGTTTCATAAATTTGGGAGCTCCAGTGTTAGATTCACACATATGTAGATTGTGATATTTTCCTGTTGGACAAGACCATTATAAAATGTCCCTCTTTGTCTTTTTAAACTACTGTTGCTTTAAAGTTTGTTCACTTTTGGTGTCCATTTCCATGGAATATCTCTTTCCATCCCTTTACCTTAAGTTTATTTGTTTCCTTATGTGTTAGGTGAGTCTCTTGAAGGCAGCAGATAGTTGGTTGGTGAATTCTTACCCATTCTGCAATTCCGTATCTTTTAAGTGGATCACTTAGGCCATTTACATTCAACGTTAACATTAAGATGTGAAGTACTATTTTCTTCATTGTGCTATTTGTTGCCTGAATATCTTGGTTATTTATTTATTTATTCATTTATTGTATTTTTGTTTTTTAGGTTCTGTTGAATTTATGTTTCAAAGAGGTTCTGTTTTGATATGTTGCCAAGATTTGTTTCAAGATTTAGAGCTCCTTTTACTAGTTCTTGTAGTGTTGGCTTGGTAGTGGTGAATTCTGTCAGCATTTGTCTGTCTGAAAAAGACTGTATCTATCTTTCATCTATGAAGCTTAGTTTCACTGAATACAAAATTTTTGGCTGATAATTGTTTTGTTTAAGAAAGCTGAATAGAGGGCCCCAATCCCTTCTAGCTTGTAGGGTTTATGCTGAGAAACCTGCAGTGAATCTTACAGGTTTTCCTTTGTAGATTACCTGGTTCTTTTGCCTTACAGCTCTTGGGATTCTTTTCTTCATCTTTACTTTAGATAAACTCATGACTATGTGCTTAGACAATGATCTTTTTTTCGTGAATTTTCCAGGTGTTCTTTGAGCTTCTTGTATTTAGACGTCTAGATCTCTAGCAAGGCCAGGGAACTTTTCCTTGATTAATCCCTCAAATATGTTTTTCAAACTTTGAATTTCTCTTCTTTCTCAGGAACACCAATTATTCTTAGGTTTGGTCATTTAACATAATCCCAAACTTCTTGGAGGCTTTGTTCATTTTTAAAAATTCTTTTTCTTTGTCTTTGTTGGATTGGGTTAATTTGAAAACCTTGTGTACGAGCTCTGAGGTTCTTTCTTCTGATTGTTTGATTCTATTACTAAGACTTTCCAGTACATTTTGCATTTCTCTAAGTTTTTCCTCT
This sequence comes from Homo sapiens, assembly GCF_000001405.40. NCBI lineage: Eukaryota > Metazoa > Chordata > Mammalia > Primates > Hominidae > Homo > Homo sapiens. The sequence goes on along the minus strand of NC_000023.11, from coordinate 56,720,239 downwards.
CTTGCTGAAGTTGTGGTTGTTTTATGTTTATGCTATCCATTTCACTGAAGATTTTCTTAAGTTGGACTTCACCATTCTCTGGTGTCTGCTCGATTAGCTTAATGATCGACCTTCTGAATTCTTTTTCTGACAATTCAGGGATTTCTTCTTGGTTCCATTTCTTCTTGCATCCATTGCTGGTGAGCTAGTGTGATTCTTGGGGGGTTGCTAAAGAACTTGTTTTATCTTACCAGAATTATTCTTCTGGTTCCTTGTCATTTGGGTAGGCTATGTCTGAAGGAAGATCTGAGATTTGAGGCTGGTTTTCAGATTCTTTTGTCCTCTGGGGTGCTCCCTTGATGTAATACTCTCCCCTTTTTCCTAGGGATATATCTTTTTGAGAGCTGAACTGTATTAATTTTTATTTATTTTCTGGATCTAGCCACCCAGCAGGGCTACCATGCTCTGGGCTGGTACTGGGGGGTGTCTGCAGAGTCCTGTGATATGAACCATCTTCAGTTCTCTTAGCTGTGGATACCTGCACCTTCTCCAGTGGAGGTGGCAAGAGAGTAAACTGGACTCTGTGAGGCTCCTTAGTTGTAGTTGTTTAATGCACTAGTTTTGTACTGGTTGGCCTCCTGCCAGGAGGTGGTGCTTTCAAGAGAGGATCAGCTGTGGTAGTATAAGGGAGGATCAGGTGGTGGGCAAGGCCTTAGAACTCCCACGAGATTATGACCTTTGTCTTCAGCTACCAGCATTGGTAGGGAAGGACCATCAGGTGGAGCCACGGTTAGGCCTGTCTGAGCTCAGATTCTCCTTGGGCAGAGCTTGATTTGACTGCTGTGGGGAGTAAGGTTGTGGTTCCCAGGTCAATGGAGCTATGTTCCCAGAATTATGGCTGCCTCTGTTGTGTCATGCAGGTTGTCCAGGAAGTGGAGGAAAGCTGGCAGTTACAGGCGTCACCTAGGATCCACACAACCCAAAAGGCTGGTGTCACTCCCACCGTTCCCCCCACCCTCCACAGCACTGAGTTTGTTTCTAGGCAGTGGGCAAGGAAGGCTGAAAACTTGTTTCATTCAGCCGGGCTTTTGTGCTTCCTCATCTGTCAAGTCTGCACAACCGATTCATGCCCTCTTCTAAGTTCTGGCCAGGAAACTGAATTTGGTTGGAATTGTCATAAAGTCTAGCTGGAGATTTTCTTCTTTCTGTGTTTTTTTTTCCCAGTTTCTCTGGCAGTGCTCCCCAAGGACCCCTGTGAGACAAGTTAGAAATGGCTTCTCTGGGTACCCAGAGAGCCCACAGGGCTTTTCCTGCTGCCTCCTCTAACCTTGTATTTTGCTCAGCTCTTCAGATTGTCTCAGCTCCAGGTAAGGTCAAATCCTTCTTCTGTTATCTGAACCTTCAGGTTCCCCAGTGAGGGTGTGTATTCAAGGGCAAACAATTCCCGTTTCCCACTCTCACAGTTTGGGCACTCAGAGTACTTGGGCTGTCTTCTGAGTATTGCAGAAGCAGTCTGCTTCTTTCAAAGGGTCTGTTAATTCTCACAGCTTTCCTGGTATTCCCACAGTAGTTCTTGGAGCAAAAGTTTACAATGTGAGTCTCCACATGCTGCTCTGTCCATCTAACTGGGAGCTGCAATTTAGTCCGCCCTTCTGTCTGCCATTTTTATAAATCTTTTGTTGAGCTTTTTAAAATATGTTTGCTGGCCACATGCATGTCTTCTTTTGAATGGTGTTTGTTCCTGTCCTTTGCCCACTTTTTAATGGGATTGTTTTTTTCCTTGTAAATTTGTTTAAGTTCTTTAGAGATACTTGATAGAAGACATTTGCCAGAAGCACGGATTGCAAAAATGTTCACTCATTCTGTAGGTCATCTGTTTGCTGATAGCTTCTTTTGCTGTGCAGAATCTCTCTAGTTTAATTACATCCCATTTGTCAATTTTTGTTTTATTGCAATTGCTTTTGTCATGTTCGTTATGAAATCTTTGCCCATTTCTATTTCCAGAATGGCATTGCTTAGGTTGTTGCATTAGTCTGTCCTCATGCTGCTGATAAAGACATACCCCAGACTGAGTAATTTATAAATAAAAAGAGGCTTAATAGACTCACAGTTTAACGTGGCTCAGGAGGCCTCACAATCATGGTGGAAGGTGAAAAGCAAGTCTTACATGGTGGCAGGCAAGAGATAAATGAAAACAAGTGAAAGGGGTTTCCCCTTATAAAACCATCAGATCTTGTGAGGCCTATTCACTACCACCAGAACAGTATAGGGGAAACTGCCCCCATGACTCAATTATCTCCCACTGGGTTCTTCCCACAACACGTGAGAATTATGGGAGCTACAATTTAAGATGAGATTTGGGCTGGGACACAGCCAAACTATATCAGTTGTTTTCCAGGTTTTTTATAGTTTTAGGTTTTACATTTAAGTCATTAATCCATCTGGAGTTAATTTTTGTATATGGTACTAGGAAGGGCTCCAGTTTTCATCTTCTGCATATGGCTAGCCAGTTATCCCAGCACCATTTATTGAATAGGGAATCATTTCCCAATTGCTTGTTTTTGTCAGGTTTGTCAAAGATCAGATAGTTGTAGGTGTACAGTCTTATTTCTAGGTTTTTTATTCTGTTCCATTGGTGTATATGTCTGTTTTTGTACTAGTACCATGCTTTTTTGGTTACTGTAGCCCTGTAGAATAGTTTGAAGTCAGGTAATGAGATGCCTACAGCTTTTTTCCCCTAGTTTTGTGAAGAAAAGTCAATGGTAGTTTAATAGGAATAGCATTGAATCTATAAATTGCTTTGGACAGTATGGCCATTTTAATGATATTAATTATTCCTATTCATGAGCATGGAATGTTTCTCCATCTGTTTGTGTCATCCTTTATTTCTTTCAGCAGTCTTTTGTAGTTCCTCTTGTAGAGATCTTTCACTTCCCTGGATTGCTGTGTTTTTAGATATTATATTCTTTTTGTGGCAATTGTGAATGGGACTGCATTCCTGATTTGGTTCTCAGACTGATTGTTGTTGAGGTATAGAAATGGTAGTAACTTGTGTACATGCATTTTGTATCCTGAGACTTTGCTGAAGTTCTTTATCAGCTGAAGAAACTTTTGGGTCAAGGCTATGAGATTTTCTACATATAGAATCATGTCATTTGGAAACAGGCATAATTTGACTTTCTCTATTTCTATTTGGATGCCCTTTATTTTATAATCTTGCCTGATTGCCCCGGCCAGGGTTTTCAAACTTGTGTTCAATAGGATTGAGAGAGGATATTCTTGTCTTGTGCCACTTTTCAAGGAGAATGCTTCCAGCTTTTGCTCATTTGGTATAATTTTGGCTGTGGGTTTGTAATATAAGGTTCTTATTTTTGAGGTACGTTTCTTTAATACCTAGCTTATTGAGGGTTTTTTTTTTAACAAGAAGGGGTGTTGAATTTCATTAAAATACTTTTCTGCATCTATTGAGATAATCATGTGGTTTTTGAATTTAGTTCTGTTTATGTGATGAAATATATTTATTGATTTGCGTATGTTGATATGTTGACCTAACCTTCCATCCCAGGGATAAAGTTTACTATATCATGGTGGATAATCTTTTTGATGTGCTGCTGGATTTGGTTTGTGAATACTTTATTGAGGATTTTTGCATTGAGGTTCATCAAGGATATTGGCCTAAAGCGTTTGTTTGTTTGTTTGTTTGTTTTTTTGTTTTGGTGTCTGTGTGTGTCTGCCATGTTTTGGTATCAGAATAATGGTGGCCTCATAGAATGAGTTAGGGAGGAGTCCCTCCTCAATTTTTCAAAACCGTTTCAGCAGAAATGATACCAGCTCTTCTTTGTGCATCTGGTAAAATTCAGCTGTGAATTCATGTGTTTCTGAGCTGTTTTTGGTTGGTAAACTATTTATCACTAATTTAATTTTAGAGCTTGTTATTGTTCTGTTCAGGGATTCTATTTCTTCTTGGTTCAGTCTTGGGAGGGTGTATGTGTTCAGGAACTTATTTTTTTCTATGTTTCAGTTTATGTGCATAGAGGTGTTCATAGTATTCTCTGATGGTTGTTTTTATTGCGGTGCAGTCAATGTTTATATTTTCTTATTTATTTCTAATTTTGCTTATTTGGATTTTCTTTCTTTTCTTCTTTAATAGTCTAGCTAGTGGTCTACTTATTATTTTTTTCCAAACAAACCTTCCTGGATTGATCAATTTTTTGATTAATTTATCGTGTCTCAATCTTCTTCAGCTCTGAGTTTGGTTATTTCTTGTCTTCTGCTAGCCCTGAGGTTGGTTTCCTCTTGGTTCACTGGTTCTTTTAGTTGTGATGTTAGCTTAGTAATTTGAGATCTTTCTAACTTTCCGATGAGGACATTTTGTGCTATAAATTTCACTCTTAACACTGCTTTATCTTTGTCCCAGAGATTCTGGTATGCTATTTTCTTTGTCTCATTGTTTCAAAGAACTTAATTTCTACCTTAATTTCATTATTTACTCAAAAGTCATTGAGGAACAGGTTATTCAATTTCTATATAACTGTATGGTTTTGAGTGTATTTTTTTTTTGAGTGTCTTTCTTAATGTTGATTCCTAATTTGATTGTGTCTGAGAGATTAGTTGTTATAATTTCAGTTCATTTGCATTTACTGAGGAATTTTTTATGTCTGATTATGTAATTGATTTTGGAGTATGTGCCATGTGGCAATGAGAAGAATGTGTATTCTGTTCTTTTTGGGTGGAGAGTTCTGTAGATGTCTATCAGGTCCATTTGATTCAGTGCTGAATTCAGGTCCTAAATACCTTGGTTAATTTTCTGCTTTGATAATCTGCCTAATACTGTCTGTAAAGTGTTGAAGTCTCTTACTATTACTGTGTAGGAGTTTAAGTCTCTTTAAAAGTCTCTAAAAGCTTGCTTTATGAATCTGGGTGATCCTGTATTTGGTGCATATGTATCTAGGATAGTTAGGTCGTTTTTAATTGAACTGTTTTCCATTATGTAATGCCCTTCTTTGCCTTTTTTGATCTTTGTGGGTTTAATGTCTGTTTTAGAATGGCAACCCCTGCTTTGCTGTTTTCCATTTGTTTGGTAGATTTTTCTCCATTCCTTCATTTTGAGCCTGTGGGTGCTATTGCATGTGAGATAGGTCTCTTAAAGACAACATACCAATGGGACTTGGTTCTTTATCCAGCTTGCCACTCTGTGCCTTTTAATTGATGTATTTAGACCATTTACATTCAAGGTTAGTATTGATGTGTGTGGATTTTTTCCTGTCATCATGATGTTTGCTGGTTATTATGCACACTTGTTTATGTGGTTGCTTTATAATGTCACTTGTCTATGTACTTGAGTGTGTTTTTGTAGTTGCTGGTAATGTGCTTTCTTTTCCATATTTAGTGCTTCCTTCAGGAGCTCTTGTATGGTATTACCCAAAGCATTTTATAGTGCAGTGACAGCAGGATCCATCCTTGTTCACACATGTCATCAGTACAGCCTTGGAAGCACAGCATAATGCACACTCATTGGCTGTAGCAGGGTGCTAGTGGGTGCCAGGGTGTTTGCCTCTGTGCAGGATAAAGCTGCCTCAGAGGACATTTGCAGAACTGGGTATTTATAGTCACTGAAAAAATAACGTTAAAATAAGCCTGTTATTAAATACAACACTGTTTAATATCCTACAGGGCAATAAACTATAACCTTTGGGGTAATGTTTATAATCAGACTAAAGTCTGCAAGTTAACATGTAACCTCACAGAGTCTAGGCTCTAACTGACATCAAATAGCAGAGTCAAAGTTATGTACATTCACTGAGAGAATTAAATAATTTGGTGGGCCTATTTAACAATGCTTTATTTAAAGAACGTATCTTCTCTTTATTTTTAAGTTTTGTATTTTTTTTTTTACTAACACATGTATCACCACAAGGCAGGCTTTTTGCTTGATGATATCATTTTGTTTGCTCTATCAATTCTAGAGCTGCAATCTCTGAATGATATTAAAATGCAGCATCTCAGAGGCTAACATTGATGATGGTTTCATGGATCAGAATTTAGCCCTCATCTTTCTATATCAAAAAAACTTCATTTTTAGGACACCTGATTGAATTCTAGGACTAACTCCAAGCAAATGAAGTGAGCAACCTATAAATAAGACTACAAAGTTAGTGATTCCATTGAGAAATACATTTGCTGAACAGATTTCCAATATCTGAATAGTGCATTCATTCATTTATAATCAGTAGGACATCAGTATGTGTGGACTAACAGCAAGGGAATTAGTTGATTGTATTAATGGATGGTGTGATTAGGCAAAAATAAGAGGAAGATGCAAATAAACCAGGTTTTGCAGCTTAAAGAAACCAACATTATTATCTCATAGTTTCTGTGGCTTAGAAATTCAGGTGCAGCTCAGCTGGGTTTCTTTGTCTCTAGGTTTCTTATGAGGTAGCAGTCAAACTGTCAGCTATGGCTGCTGTCATATCTGAAGGCTAGATTGGTGGCAGATCCTCCTCCAAGCTCACTCATATGATTATTTCAAGGCTTGATCTCTTGCCACTTGGACCCTTCTACAAGGTTGCTGGAAGCTCTAGCTTTTCCCAAGGTTGGTGATTAGAGAGAGAATGTCAGAGTTCTAATGATTAAAGCTACAGTCTTTTTACAACTTAATTTTTAGAAGTGATATCCCATTACTTACAGCATATTCTATTAATCAGAAGTTAATCACTAGGTCAAACCTACACCCAGAGAGAGGAGTTTGCACATGGTCATGAATAGCTGAAAGTGGAGTTCATTGAAGGCCAGATCACAAACATCTGTTTGTGTCTACCACAAACAGAAACACACATTTTTTGAAAAGGAAAAAACAACAGACTGTCCAATACTGGAAAGTATGCAACCAATAAGTTGTCAAATAAATGCAAAATTTTTAATTTGCAAATCATAATTGTATATATTTATGGAATACCTGTGATGTTTTGATACATGTGTACAATGTGGAATGATTAAATGAAGCTAATTAACATATTAGTCATTTTATTTACCTATCATTTTTATGGGGAGACATTTAAAATGTACTCTTTTAGTTATTTTAAAATGTATTTATTATCATTGACTATAGTCACCCAACTGTGCAATTGATCTAAAAACTTATTCCTCTCTTCTATCTGAAACTTTTTACCCTTTGACCAACAACTCCCCAATTCTTTTCTCCACCCCACCCACCGTCATTCTACTCTCTACTTTTATGAGTTCAATGAACATTTCTTACAATTAAAAATTAAAAATAAATGTGAATTTAAAAAATGTAGACACTATTTTCACCAACTAATTTAGGAAAAAGACACACAATGCTACTGACAATGCAGAAAAGTGGTACTATAATATATTGTAATTTTTAGTTTATATATGTACAACACTTTTAGAAAGCATATTAAAAGTAGGTGTAAAGTATTTATTTCTTTACCAAGTAATTCCAAATTTCAGAATCTGTCTTTAGGAAAGAAATTTAAGATTTCCAAAAATTTTAACACAAAAATATTTACCACAGTATTACTTTTAATGGTAAAAAATTGGAAAAAAATGTTAAATAAGGGAGGGGCCAAGATGGCTACTTAGAAGCAGCTGCAGTTCATGGCACTTACAGAAAGGAAAAAAAAGGGGCAAGTGAATTCAGCACCTTCAACTGAAATATCCAGGCTCTCACATTGGGACTGACAAGGCAAACAACTCTACCCACGGAGAAGAAAAGCAGGGTGGGGTGATGGCCCACCCAGAAGTGGCACAAAGCCAAAGCAATCCCCACCCCCAGCCAAAAGATGCAGTAAGTAATTGTGCGACTCAACCTGGGAAACCACACTTCTCCCACAAATCTTTGCACCCCACAGATAAGGTGATACACTTATAAGCCCATGCCACCAGGGCCTTGGGGTGCAATAAGTGTGTGTGTAGTCTCAGCAGAGCTGCGTTGAGTCTCAGCAGAGCAGTCACTCAGGCACACACAGAAACCCAGTTATTTTACTTACTCTGGCCCCAGAATCCCTGGCAAGGTGGGAAATCTGTTTGTACATATTCCTAGGAAGGGGGCCAAATCCAGGGAGCCAAATGACATTATTCTGTTGACCCCACTTCCATGGCACCTCACAACTTAAGATCCACTGGCTTGGAATTCCAGCCAGCCAATAGCAACAGACAGGACTCTGCTTGAGATGGGTCCAAGTTCCCAGGGGGAGAGGTGGCTGCCATTTCTGTGGTTTGGTAGACTCAGACATTACAACCTGATGGCTTTGGAGAATACAGATGGTCTAGAAAAGGAAGGTTCCCCCACAATCCAGCAAAGCTGTCTTGCCAGATCATGGCCAGACTGCTTCTTTAAGTGAGACCCCAATTCATTATTTCTTTCTGGGCAGGACTTCCCTGCAGAGGCTTCAGCTACTCCAGCCAGGGTTCTATAGATAGAGCTCTGATCTCTCCCTGAAATGGAGCTCCCAGGAAGAGGGTCAGCCACCATCTCTGCAGTTCAGTCAACACAGCCATTCCAGTTTGCTAGTTTTGGAGAATCCAAACAGTCAGGACAAGGAAGAATTCCCCCTAATGAAGCACACTTGCTCTACCAAAAAGCAGCCCAATTGCTTATTTATTTTTTTACTTATTTTTATTTCCATAGGTTTTGGGAGAACAGGTGGTATTCGGTTACATGGGTGAGTTCTTTAGTGGTAATTTCTGAGATTTTGTGTACCCATCACCTGAGAAGTATACACTGAACTCAATTTGTAGTCTTTTATCTCTCACCCTGCTCCCACTCTTTCACCTGAGTCCCCAAAGTCCATTGTATAGTTCTTATGACTTTGTGTCCTCATAGCTTAGCTCCCACTTATGAGTGAGAACATATAATGTTTGTTTTTTTATTTCTGAGTTACTTCACTTAGAATAATAGCCTCCAGTTCCATCCAGGTTGCTGTGAATGCCATGCATGTTTATGGTTGAGTAGTATTTCATCATATGTATAAATATACCACAATTTTGTTATGCACTCATTGATTGATGGGCATTTGGACTGGTTCCACATTTTTGCAATTGCAAATTGTGCTGCCATAAATATGCATGTGCAAGTATCTTTCTCATATAATGACTTCTTTTCCTCTGGGTAGATACATAGTAGTGGGATTGCTGGATCAAATGGGAGTTTTATTATTAGTTCTTTAAGGACTCTCCACACTGTTTTCCATAGTGGTTATGCTAGTTTACATTCCCACCAAAAGACTGCTTCTTTAAGTGGGTCCCTGATCCTGTTACTCCTTACTGGGTGAGACCTCCAAACAGGGGCCTCCAGCCATTTTCCTGGTTGTTGGGCCAGCAACAGGTCAGTATACCCCAGGGATGGAGCTTTCAGAGGAAGGAGCTGGCTGCCATCTTTGCTGTTTTACAGCCTTTACTGTTGATTCCTCCAGGTATGGGAATAAACCAAGGCAACTACAGTCTGGAGGGAAACCCAGCAAACCACAGCAGCCCTATGGTAGAGTGGCCTGACTATTAAAAGAAAAGCAAACCAACAGAAAGGGAGAATGACAACATCAACAAAGTAGAGCCCATACAAACCCTATTTGAAGGTCAGCAACCTCAAAGATTGAAGGTAGATAAGCCCATAAGGATGAGAAAGAATCAATGTAAAAATGCTACAAACTAAAAAACCAGAGTGTCTCTTCTGCAAATGATTGTGACACTTCTCCAGCAAGGGCACAGAACTGGGCTGAGGCCGAGATGGCAGAGTTGACAGAAGAAGGCTCCAGACGGTGGATAATAATGACCTTCACTGAGCTGAAAGAGCATGTTGTAACTCAATGCAAAGAGGCTAAGAGTCATGATAAAACAATACAGGAGCTTGTAGCCAGAAGAGCCAGTTTAGAAAGGAATATAACTGACCTGATGGAGCTGAAAAACACAGCATGAGAACTTCACAATGCTACCACAAGTATCAATAGCAGAATAGAACAAGTGGAGACAAGAATCTTAGATCTTGAAGACTATCTTTCTGAAATCAGAAAGGCAAACAACAATAGAAATAAGAAGAAATGAACAAAACCTCTGAGAAATATGGGTATGTGTAAAGAGATTGAAACTATGACTGAATAGGGTACCGAAAAGAGACAAGGAGAATGCTGCAACCAAGTTGAAAAACATACTTCAGAATTTCATCCAGGAGAACTTTCCCAACACAGTAAGACAGGCCAACATTCAACTTCAGGAATTGCAGAGAACCCCAGTAATATACTCCATGAGTAGATCAACACCAAGACACATAATCATCAGATTATCCAAGGTCAAAATAAAATAAAAATGTTAGGGGCACCAGAGAGAAAGGCCAGCTCATCTACATAGGAAAACCCATCAGACTAACAGTGGGACCTTTAGTCGAAACCCTACAAGCCAGAAGAGATTGGGGGCCAATATTCAACATACTTAAAGAAAAGAATTTTTAATCCAGAATTTTATATGTAAGAATGTAATGAGCTAAATTTATTGAGCTAAATACCCCAATTAAAATATAAATGAAATAAATACCCCCAATTAAAAGACACAGAATGGCAAGCTTGATAGAGCCAAGACCGATTGGTATGCTGTCTTTAAGAGAACCATCTCACGTGCAAAGGTTCAAAATAAAGGGATGGAGAAAATTTTTCCACGTAAATGGAAAACAAAAAATCAGGGAATTCAATCCTAGTTTCTCACAAAACATATTTTAAACCAACAAAAATAAAAAAAGGCAAAGAGTAACATTACATAATGGTAAAAAGTTGAATTTAACAAGAAGAGCTAACTATCCTAAATACATATGCACCCAATACAGGAGCAGCCAGATTCATAAAGCAAGTTTTTAAAGATCTATAAAGAGACTTAGATTCCCACACAATAATAGTGGAAGACATTAACACCTCCACTGACAATATTAGACAGACCATCGAGACAGAAAATTAACAAAGATATTCAGGACCTGAACTCAGCTCTGGATCAAGTGGGCCTGATAGATATCTACAGAACTCTCCACCTAAAAACAACAGAATATAGATTCTTTTAATCACCACATGCCACTCACTCTGAAATTAATTACATAATCAGAAGTCAAATACACCTCAGCAGATGCAAAAGAACTGAAATCATAACATTCTCTCAGACTATAGCACAAACATAACTCAAAATTAAAAAATTCAGTCAAAACCAAACAACTACATGGATATTGAACAACCTGCTCCTGAATGACTCTTGAGTCAATAATAAAATTAAGGCAGAAATTAAGAAGTTCTTTAAAACCAATGAGAACAAAGAGACAAAATACCAGAATCTCTGGGACATAGCTGAAGTAGTGTTAGGAGGGAAATTTATAGCACTAAATGCTCACATCAATAAGCTAGGAAGCTCTCAAGTTAACAACCTAACATCTCAACTAAAAGAACTAGAGAATCAAGAGCAAATAAACCTCAAAGCTAGCAGAAGAGAACAATTAACAAAGAATAGAGCTGAATTGAAGGAGCTAGAGATACAAAAAACTCTTCAAAAAATTCGTGAATCTAGAAGCTGTTTTTTGAAGAAAGTAATAAAATAGACTTCTAGGCAGACTAATAAAGAAGAAAAGAGAGAAGAAGTACATAGACATAATTAAAGAGGAGAAGGGGGATATTACCACTGACCTCACAGAAATACAAACAACCATCAGAGAATACTATAAACACCTCTATGCACATAAACTAGAAAATCTAGAAAATATGGATGAATTCCTAAGCACATCCACCCTCCCAAGACTGAACCAGGAAGAAATTGAATGCCTGAATAGGCCAATAATGAGTCCTGAAATTGAGACACTAATAAACAATACCTACCAACCAAAAGAAGCCCAGGACCATATGGATTCACAGCTCAATTCTATGAGAGGAACAAAGAAGAGCTGGTACCATTTCTACTGAGACTATCAAATAAAAAAAAAAAAAAAGAAAGAAAAAGAAAAGAAAAAAAAAGAAAGTACTTCTCCCTAACTCATTCTATGAGGCCAGCATCATTCTGATATTAAAATCTGGCGGATATATAACAAATAAAGAAAACTTCAGGACAATATTCTTCATGAACCTCAATGCAAAAATCCTCAATAAAGTACTCACAAACAGAATCCAGCAGCACATAAAAAAGATATCCACCATGATCAAATTGCCCTCATACTTGAGATGCAAAGTTGGTTCAACATACACAAATCAATAAATGTGATTCATCACATAAACAGAGCTAAATACAAAACCACATGATTATCTCAATAGATGCAAGAAAGTCTTTCAACAAAATTCAACATTCTTTCATGTTAAGAACTCTCAATAAACTAGGTATTGAAAAACACACCTCAAAATAATAAGAGCCTTATAGACAAACCCACAGTTAATATCATATGGAATGAGCAAAAGTGGAAGCCTTGAAAACTGGCACAAGACAAGAATGCCCTCTCTCACCACTCCTATTCAACGTAATATTGAAAGTCCTGACCAGAGCAATTAGGCAAGAGAAAGAAATAAAGGGCTTCCAAATAGGAAGAGAGGAAATAAAATTATGCCTGTTGGCAGATGACATAATTTTATATCTAGAAACCTCATAGTCTTGGCCCAAAAGCTCCTCTAGCTGATAAAGAACTTCAGCAAAGTCCCAAGATATGTACAATATCAATGTCCAAAAAATGCTAGTATTACTATACACCACCAAGGGGAATCAGAGAGCCAAGTCATGAATGAACTCCCATTTACAATTGCTGTGAAATAATAAAATAGGCCAAGTGTGGTGGCTCACGCCTGTAATCTCAGCACTTTGGGAGGCTGTAGCGGGTGGATCACAAGGTCAGTAGTTTGAGACCAGCCTGGCCAACATGATGAAACCTCGTCTCTACTAAAAAATACAAAAATTAGCCAGGCATGGTGGCATGCACTTGTAATCCCATCTATTCGGGAGGCTGAGGGAGGAGAACCACTTGAACCCGGGAGGCAAAGGTTGCAGTGAACCGTGATTGCACCACTGCACTCCAACCTGGGCGTCAGTGAGACCCCATCTTGAGGGGGGAAAAAGAATAAGAAGAGAATAAAATACCTAGAAATACAGCTAACAAGGAAGTGAAGAACCTCTTTAAGGCGAACTACAAACAACTACTCAAAGAAATCAGAGAGGACACAAATGGATAAACATTCCATTCTCATGATTAGGAAGAATCAATATTGCAAAAATGGTCATACTGGCCAAAGTAATTTATAGATTTAATGCTATTCCCATTAAACTACCATTGGCATTCTTCACAGAATTAGAAAAAAAAACTTTTAAAATTCAAATGGTACTATAAAAGAGCCTGAATAGACCAGACAATCCTAAGCAAAAAGAACAAAGCTGGGGGCATCATTCTACCTGACTTCAAACTATACTGCAAGGCTACAGTAACCAAAAGAGCATGGGATTGTTACAAGAACAGACCCATAAATCAATGGAACAGAGTAGATAACTCAGAAATAAGACCACACACCTACAAATATCTGATCTTCAACAAACCTGACAAAACAAGCAATAGGGAAAGGATTCCCTATTTAATAAATGGTGCTGGGAGAACTGGCTATCCACATGCAGAAAACTGAAACTGGACCCCTTCCTTACACCATATACAACAATTAACTGGAGATGGATTAAAGACTTAAATGTAAAACCCAAAACTGTAAAGACCCTAGAAGAAAATCTAGGAAATGCCATTTAGGACATAGGTACAGGTGAAAATTTCATGATGAAAATGCCAAAAGCAATTGCAACAAAAGCAAATGTTGACAAATAGAATCTTAATTAAACCAAAGAGCTTCTGCACAGCAAAATAAACTATCATCAGCAGTGAACAGTCAACCTTCAAAATGAAAGAACATTTTTGCAATCTATCCATTTGACCAAGGTCTAATACCTAGTCTACAAGGAACTTAAACAATTTATGAGATAAAGAAATAACCATATTAAAAAGTGGGCAAAGGACATGAACAGTCACTTCTCAAATGAAGACATACATGTGGCCAACAAACATCTGAAGATCAACACCACTGATCCATAGAGAAATGCAAATCAAACCACAATGAGATACTATGTCACACCAGTCAGAATGACCATTATTAAAAGTCAGAAAACAACAGATGCTGGCAAGGTTGCAGAGAAAAAGGAAAACTTTTACACTGTTGGTGTGAGTGTAAATTAGTTCAACCATTGTGGTAAACAGTGTGGCAATTCTTGAAATTTTAGAACCAGAAATACCATTTGACCCAGCAATCCCATTACTGGGTGTATGTCCAAAGGAATAGAAATCATTCTATTATAAAGATGCATGCATATGTATATTTATTGCAGCACTATTCACAATAGCAAAGACATGGAGTCAACTCAAATGTCCATCAACGATAGACTGGATAAAGAAAATGTTGTGCATATACAGCATGGAATATAATGCAGCCGTAAAAAGGATGAAGATCATGTTCTTTACAGGGAAATAGATAGGCCTTGAAGCTGTTATCCTCAGCAAACTAACACAGGAACAGAAAACCAAACACTGCATGTTCTCACTTATAAGTGGAAGCTGGATGATGAGAACACATGGACACATGGCGGGGGAACAAGACACACTGGGGCCTGCTTGGGGGATTTGAGGGGATGGAGAGCATCAGAAAGAATAGCTAATGGATATTGAGCTTAATAACTAGGTGATGAAATGATGCAGTAAACCACCATGGCACACGTTTACATATGTAACAAACCTGCACATCCTGCACATGTACCCTTGAACTTAAAATACAAGTTGAGGAATAAAAATAAATTAATCTTGGAGTGGCTGGCAAGATGGCTGAATAGGAACAGCTCCAGTCTGCAGTTCCCAGCAGAAGGTGGGTGATTTCTGCATTTCCAACTGAGGTACCTAGCTCATCTCATCAGGACTGGTTAGACACTGGGTGGAGCCCACAGAGGGTGAGCCAGAGCAGGGTGGGGCATTGCCTCACCTGGGAAGTGCAAGGGGTTGGGGATCTCCCTCCCCCAGCCCAGGGAAGCCATAAGAGACCTTGCTGTGAGGAATGGTGCACTCTGACCCAGATACTATGCTTTTCCCATGGTCTTCACAACCTGCAGACCAGGAGATTCCCTTGAGTTCCTATGCCACCAGGGCCCTGGGTTTCAAGCACAATACTGGGCAGCCATTTAGGCAGACACTGAGCTAGGTGCAGGAGTTTTCTGTTTTTTGTTTTTTTTGTTTTTTTTTCATACCCCAGTGGCGCCTGGAATGCCAGCGAGACAGAACCGTACACTCCCCTGGAAAGGAAGCTGAAGCCAGGGAGCCAAGTGGTCTAGCGCAGTGGATCCCATCCCCACAGATCCCAGCAAGCTAAGATCCATTGGCTTGAAATTCTCGCTGCCAGCACAGCAGTCTGAAGTCGACCTGGGACCTCCAGCCTGGAGGAGGGGAGGGGCGTCCAACATTACTGAGGCCTGAGTAGGTGGTTTTCTCCTCACAGTGTAAACAAAGCTGCTGGGAAGTTGGAACTGGGCAGAGTCCACCACAGCTTGGCAAAGCTGCTGTAGCCAGACTGCCTCTCTAGATTCCTCCTCTCTGGGCAGGGCATATCTGAAAGAAAGGCAGAAGCCCCAGTCAGGAGCTTATAGATAAAACTCCCATCTCCCTGGGAGAGAGCACCTTAACAGACTTAAATTTTCCTGCCTTATTCTGGATATTATCCCTTTGTCAGACGGATAGATTGCAAAAATATTCTCCCATTCTGTAGGTTGCCTGTTCATTCTGATCATAGTTTCTTTTGCTGTGCAGAAGCTCTTTAGTTTAATTAGATCCCATTTGTCAATTTTGGCTTTTGTTGCCATTGCTTTTGGTGTTTTAGTCATGAAGTCTTTGTCCATGTATATGTCCTGAATGGTATTGCCTAGGTTTTCTTCTAGGGTTTTTATGGTTTTAGGTCTTATGTTTGAGTCTTTAATCCATCTTGAGTTAATTTTTGTATAAAGTGTAAGGAAGGAGTCTAATTTCAGTTTTCTTCATATGGTTAGCCAGTTTCCCAAACACGATTTATTACGTAGGGAATCCTTTCCCCATTTCTTGTTTTTGTCAGATTTGTCAAAGATCAGATGGTTGTAGATGTGTGGCATTATTTCTGAGGCCTCTGTTCTGTTCCATTGATCTATATATCTGTAATGGTACCAGTACCATGCTGTTTTGGTTACTGCGCCTTAAATTATAACTTGATGTAAGGTAGCGTGATGCCTCCAGCTTTGTTCTTTTTGCTTAGGATTGTCTTGGCCATATGGGCTCTTTTTTGGTTCCATATGAAATTTAAAGTAGTTTTTTCTAATTCTGTGAAGAAAGTCAATGGTAGCTTGATAGGGATAGCATTGAATCTATAAATTACTTTGGGCAGTATGGCCATTTTCACAATATTGATTCTTCTTATTCATGAATATAGAAGTTTTTTCCATTTGTTTGTGTCCTCTCTTATTTCCTTGAGCAGTGGTTTGTAGCTCTTAAAGAGGTCCTTCACATCCCTTATAAGTTGGATTCCTAGGTATTTTATTCTCTTAGTAGCAATTGTGAATGGGAGTTCACTCATGATTTGGCTCTCTGCCTGTTATTTGTGTATAGGAATGTTTGTGATTTTTGCACATTGATTTTATATCCTGAGAATTTGCTGAAGTTGCTTCTCAGCTTAAGGAGATTTTGGGCTGAGACGATGGGGTTTTCTAAATATACAATCATGTCATCTGCAAATAGAGACAATTTGACTTTTTTTCTTCCTATTTGAATATGCTTTATTTCTTTCTCTTGCCTAATTGCCCTGGCCAGAACTTCCAATACTATGTTGAATAGGAGTGGTGAGACTGGGCATCCTTGTCGTGTGCCGGTTTTCAAAGGGAATGCTTCCAGCTTTTCCCCACTCAGTATGACATTGGCAGTGGGTTTGTCATAAATAGCTCTTATTATTTTGAGATACGTTCCATCAATACCTAGTTTATTGAGAGTTTTTAGCATGAAGTTTGTTAAATTTTATCGAAGGCCTATTCTGCATCTATTGAGACAATCATGGTTTCTGTCATTGGTTCTGTTTATGTGACGAATTACGATAAATCAATAAAGATTTGTGTATGTTGAAGCAGCCTTGCATACCAGGGATGAAGCCAACTTGATCATGGAGGATAAGTTTTTTGATGTGCTGCTGGATTTGGTTTGCCAGTATTTTATTGAGGATTTTCGCCTTGATGTTCATCGGGGATATTGACCTGTGAGTTTCTTTTTTTGTTGCATCTCTACCTTGGCAAGTTGTTCTAAATTTCCTTTTTATCAGCTGTAAAACAAGGATAATAAATATACTGACCTCATAAGTTTACTGTGAGGATGAAATGAGATAATAAAAATTGGCCTAAAATAAGCACTCAAAATGTTATTTTTATTATTACTCTACAAAAATAAAGCACATAGAAGAAATCTTGGGACACATCACACAAATGCCAATTTCTCTCTCAGCAGAAGAGGCATTCTTTCTCCAGTGCAAATCTTATCTATCAGAAGAGAATTTGTCTCAGATCTCAATCCTATCTTTTCTTTCCTCTCCGTCTTGCATTTTAATTTCTCTCTCTGCTCTTCCCTGCCAATTTATAAACAAATTCAAAATTTTCTCATTAATAAAAACAAACAAACACTTATTCTCCGGAATGGGGGTAATCATTTAGCTACTATTTTATCTTTCTTCTCCAAAGCCAAGTTGTTAAGCACTCCATAGTTACCCTCACAACCTCCTTTTTATAGCTTTCCCTTCTGTACTCACAACTTCAATTTTGATATTCTCCATGTTTGATCCTTGTTTCTATTTTCTCATACATTATTTACGAGATATCTTGTCAACTTCCATGGATACAAGTACCATATATATAATGAAGTCTCCTATGTAGACCTGTTCTGAAGTCCAGGCCTTTGTGGACAAATATCGGCAGAAATTTTCCCCTGGATGTTCCAGAGACATCTCAAATTCAACAAATCCAAAATTCTTACAATGGTCTATGAGTCTTTACATGACCTAACACCTCTCCCACATTCTTCTCTGACTTTCTCAATATCTATCCACTCTACTCCAGCTATGATGAATAAGTTTGTCCCTTGATCCCATAAACTACAATCCAATGTCAGAGTCTTCTATTTGTTTCCTTAGCTTTAAAAATTCTTCCCCCAAATATCTACTATTTTTCCAATATATCTTTATTCAAATCTTATCAGTTTTATGAACCTTAACCTGATTACCCTATTTTTTTTTTCACTTAATATAATTTTTTTTTTTTTTTATTATACTCTAAGTTTTAGGGTACATGTGCACATTGTGCAGGTTAGTTACATATGTATACATGTGCCATGCTGGTGTGCTGCACCCACTAATGTGTCATCTAGCATTAGGTATATCTCCCAATGCTATCCCTCCCCCCTCCCCCGACCCCTCCACAGTCCCCAGAGTGTGATATTCCGCTTCCTGTGTCCATGTGATCTCATTGTTCAATTCCCACCTATGAGTGAGAATATGCGGTGTTTGGTTTTTTGTTCTTGCTATAGTTTACTGAGAATGATGGTTTCCAATTTCATCCATGTCCCTACAAAGGATATGAACTCATCATTTTTTATGGCTGCATAGTATTCCATGGTGTATATGTGTCACATTTTCTTAATCCAGTCTATCATTGTTGGACATTTGGGTTGGTTCCAAGTCTTTGCTATTGTGAATAGTGCCACAATAAACATACGTGTGCATGTGTCTTTATAGCAGCATGATTTATACTCATTTGGGTATATACCCAGTAATGGGATGGCTGGGTCAAATGGTATTTCTAGTTCTAGATCCCTGAGGAATCGCCACACTGACTTCCACAATGGTTGAACTAGTTTACAGTCCCACCAACAGTGTAAAAGTGTTCCTATTTCTCCACATCCTCTCCAGCACCTGTTGTTTCCTGACTTTTTAATGATTGCCATTCTAACTGGTGTGAGATGATATCTCATAGTGGTTTTGATTTGCATTTCTCTGATGGCCAGTGATGATGAGCATTTCTTCATGTGTTTTTTGGCTGCATAAATGTCTTCTTTTGAGAAGTGTCTGTTCATGTCCTTCGCCCACTTTTTGATGGGGTTGTTTGTTTTTTTCTTGTAAATTTGTTTGAGTTCATTGTAGATTCTGGATATTAGCCCTTTGTCAGATGAGTAGGTTGCGAAAATTTTCTCCCATGTTGTAGGTTGCCTGTTCACTCTGATGGTAGTTTCTTTTGCTGTGTAGAAGCTCTTGAGTTTAATTAGATCCCATTTGTCAATTTTGGCTTTTGTTGCCATTGCTTTTGGTGTTTTGGACATGAAGTCCTTGCCCACGCCTATGTCCTGAATGGTAATGCCTAGGTTTTCTTCTAGGGTTTTTATGGTTTTAGGTTTAACGTTTAAATCTTTAATCCATCTTGAATTGATTTTTGTATAAGGTGTAAGGAAGGGATCCAGTTTCAGCTTTCTACATATGGCTAGCCAGTTTTCCCAGCACCATTTATTAAATAGGGAATCCTTTCCCCATTGCTTGTTTTTCTCAGGTTTGTCAAAGATCAGATAGTTGTAGATATGCGGCATTATTTCTGAGGGCTCTGTTCTGTTCCATTGATCTATATCTCTGTTTTGGTACCAGTACCATGCTGTTTTGGTTACTGTAGCCTTGTAGTATAGTTTGAAGTCAGGTAGTGTGATGCCTCCAGCTTTGTTCTTTTGGCTTAGGATTGACTTGGCGATGCGGGCTCTTTTTTGGTTCCATATGAACTTTAAAGTAGTTTTTTCCAATTCTGTGAAGAAAGTCATTGGTAGCTTGATGGGGATGGCATTGAATCTGTCAATTACCTTGGGCAGTATGGCCATTTTCACGATATTGATTCTTCCTACCCATGAGCATGGAATGTTCTTCCATTTGTTTGTGTCCTCTTTTATTTCCTTGAGCAGTGGTTTGTAGTTCTCCTTGAAGAGGTCCTTCACATCCCTTGTAAGTTGGATTCCTAGGTATTTTATTCTCTTTGAAGCAATTGTGAATGGGAGTTCACCCATGATTTGGCTCTCTGTTTGTCTGTTGTTGGTGTATAAGAATGCTTGTGATTTTTGTACATTGATTTTGTATCCTGAGACTTTGCTGAAGTTGCTTATCAGCTTAAGGAGATTTTGGGCTGAGACGATGGGGTTTTCTAGATAAACAATCATGTCGTCTGCAAACAGGGACAATTTGACTTCCTCTTTTCCTAATTGAATACCCTTTATTTCCTTCTCCTGCCTGATTGCCCTGGCCAGAACTTCCAACACTATGTTGAATAGGAGCGGTGAGAGAGGGCATCCCTGTCTTGTGCCAGTTTTCAAAGGGAATGCTTCCAGTTTTTGCCCATTCAGTATGATATTGGCTGTGGTTTTGTCATAGATAGCTCTTATTATTTTGAAATACGTCCCATCAATACCTAATTTAATGAGAGTTTTTAGCATGAAGGGTTGTTGAATTTTGTCAAAGGCTTTTTCTGCATCTATTGAGATAATCATGTGGTTTTTGTCTTTGGCTCTGTTTATATGCTGGATTACATTTATTGATTTGCGTATATTGAACCAGCCTTGTATCCCAGGGATGAAGCCCACTTGATCATGGTGGATAAGCTTTTTGATGTGCTGCTGGATTCGGTTTGCCAGTATTTTATTGAGGATTTTTGCATCAATGTTCATCAAGGATATTGGTCTAAAATTCTCTTTTTTGGTTGTGTCTCTGCCCGGCTTTGGTATCAGAATGATGCTGGCCTCATAAAATGAGTTAGGGAGGATTCCCTCTTTTTCTATTGATTGGAATAGTTTCAGAAGGAATGGTACCAGTTCCTCCTTGTACCTCTGGTAGAATTCGGCTGTGAATCCATCTGGTCCTGGACTTTTTTTGGTTGGTAAACTATTGATTATTGCCACAATTTCAGAGCCTGTTATTGGTCTATTCAGAGATTCAACTTCTTCCTGGTTTAGTCTTGGGAGAGTGTATGTGTCGAGGAATGTATCCATTTCTTCTAGATTTTCTAGTTTATTTGCGTAGAGGTGTTTGTAGTATTCTCTGATGGTAGTTTGTATTTCTGTGGGATCGGTGGTGATATCCCCTTTATCATTTTTTATTGTGTCTATTTGATTCTTCTCTCTTTTTTTCTTTATTAGTCTTGCTAGCAGTCTATCAATTTTGTTGATCCTTTCAAAAAACCAGCTCCTGGATTCATTGATTTTTTGAAGGGTTTTTTGCGTCTCTATTTCCTTCAGTTCTTCTCTGATTTTAGTTATTTCTTGCCTTCTGCTAGCTTTTGAATGTGTTTGCTCTTGCTTTTCTAGTTCTTTTAATTGTGATGTTAGGGTGTCAATTTTGGATCTTTCCTGCTTTCTCTTGTAGGCATTTAGTGCTATAAATTTCCCTCTACACACTGCTTTGAATGCGTCCCAGAGATTCTGGTATGTGGTGTCTTTGTTCTCGTTGGTTTCAAAGAACATCTTTATTTCTGCCTTCATTTCGTTATGTACCCAGTAGTCATTCAGGAGCAGGTTGTTCAGTTTCCATGTAGTTGAGCGGCTTTGAGTGAGATTCTTAATCCTGAGTTCTAGTTTGATTGCACTGTGGTCTGAGAGATAGTTTGTTATAATTTCTGTTCTTTTACATTTGCTGAGGAGAGCTTTACTTCCAACTATGTGGTCAATTTTGGAATAGGTGTGGTGTGGTGCTGAAAAAAATGTATATTCTGTTGATTTGGGGTGGAGAGTTCTGTAGATGTCTATTAGGTCTGCTTGGTGCAGAGCTGAGTTCAATTTCTGGGTATCCTTGTTGACTTTCTGTCTCGTTGATCTGTCTAATGTTGACAGTGGGGTGTTAAAGTCTCCCATTATTAATGTGTGGGAGTCTAAGTCTCTTTGTAGGTCACTGAGGACTTGCTTTATGAATCTGGGTGCTCCTGTATTGGGTGCATAAATATTTAGGATAGTTAGCTCCTCTTGTTGAATTGATCCCTTTACCATTATGTAATGGCCTTCTTTGTCTCTTTTGATCTTTGTTGGTTTAAAGTCTGTTTTATCAGAGACTAGGATTGCAACCCCTGCCTTTTTTTGTTTTCCATTGGCTTGGTAGATCTTCCTCCATCCTTTTATTTTGAGCCTATGTGTGTCTCTGCACGTGAGATGGGTTTCCTGAATACAGCACACTGATGGATCTTGACTCTTTATCCAACTTGCCAGTCTGTGTCTTTTAATTGCAGAATTTAGTCCATTTATATTTAAAGTTAATATTGTTATGTGTGAATTTGATCCTGTCATTATGATGTTAGCTGGTGATTTTGCTCATTAGTTGATGCAGTTTCTTCCTAGTCTCGATGGTCTTTACATTTTGGCATGATTTTGCAGCGGCTGGTACCGGTTGTTCCTTTCCATGTTTAGCGCTTCCTTCAGGAGCTCTTTTAGGGCAGGCCTGGTGATGACAAAATCTCTCAGCATTTGCTTGTCTATAAAGTATTTTATTTCTCCTTCACTTATGAAGCTTAGTTTGGCTGGATATGAAATTCTGGGTTGAAAATTCTTTTCTTTAAGAATGTTGAATATTGGCCCCCACTCTCTTCTGGCTTGTAGGGTTTCTGCCGAGAGATCCGCTGTTAGTCTGATGGGCTTTCCTTTGAGGGTAACCCGACCTTTCTCTCTGGCTGCCCTTAACATTTTTTCCTTCATTTCAACTTTGGTGAATCTGACAATTATGTGTCTTAGAGTTGCTCTTCTCGAGGAGTATCTTTGTGGCGTTCTCTGTATTTCCTGAATCTGAATGTTGGCCTGCCTTGCTAGATTGGGGAAGTTCTCCTGGATAATATCCTGCAGAGTGTTTTCCAACTTGGTTCCATTCTCCACATCACTTTCAGGTACACCAATCAGACGTAGATTTGGTCTTTTCACATAGTCCCATATTTCTTGGAGGCTTTGCTCATTTCTTTTTATTCTTTTTTCTCTAAACTTCCCTTCTCGCTTCATTTCATTCATTTCATCTTCCATCACTGATACCCTTTCTTCCAGTTGATCGCATCGGCTCCTGAGGCTTCTGCATTCTTCACGTAGTTCTCGAGCCTTGGTTTTCAGCTCCATCAGCTCCTTTAAGCACTTCTCTGTATTGGTTATTCTAGTTATACATTCTTCTAAATTTTTTTCAAAGTTTTCAACTTCTTTGCCTTTGGTTTGAATGTCCTCCCATAGCTCAGAGTAATTTGATCGTCTGAAGCCTTCTTCTCTCAGCTCGTCAAAATCATTCTCCATCCAGCTTTGTTCTGTTGCTGGTGAGGAACTGCGTTCCTTTGGAGGAGGAGAGGCGCTCTGCGTTTTAGAGTTTCCAGTTTTTCTGTTCTGTTTTTTCCCCATCTTTGTGGTTTTATCTACTTTTGGTCTTTGATGATGGTGATGTACAGATGGGTTTTCGGTGTAGATGTCCTTTCTGGTTGTTAGTTTTCCTTCTAACAGACAGGACCCTCAGCTGCAGGTCTGTTGGAATACCCTGCCGTGTGAGGTGTCAGTGTGCCCCTGCTGGGGGTTGCCTCCCAGTTAGGCTGCTCGGGGGTCAGGGGTCAGGGACCCACTTGAGGAGGCAGTCTGCCCGTTCTCAGATCTCCAGCTGCGTGCTGGGAGAACCACTGCTCTCTTCAAAGCTGTCAGACAGGGACACTTAAGTCTGCAGAGGTTACTGCTGTCTTTTTGTTTGTCTGTGCCCTGCCCCCAGAGGTGGAGCCTACAGAGGCAGGCAGGCCTCCTTGAGCTGTGGTGGGCTCCACCCAGTTCGAGCTTCCTGGCTGCTTTGTTTACCTAAGCAAGCCTGGGCAATGGCGGGCGCCCCTCCCCCAGCCTCGTTGCCGCCTTGCAGTTTGATCTCAGACTGCTGTGCTAGCAATCAGCGAGATTCCGTGGGCGTAGGACCCTCTGAGCCAGGTGTGGGATATAGTCTCGTGGTGCGCCGTTTCTTAAGCCGGTCTGAAAAGCGCAATATTCGGGTGGGAGTGACCCGATTTTCCAGGTGCGTCCGTCACCCCTTTCTTTGACTCGGAAAGGGAACTCCCTGACCCCTTGCGCTTCCCAGGTGAGGCAATGCCTCGCCCTGCTTCGGCTCACGCACGGTGCGCACACACACTGGCCTGCGCCCACTGTCTGGCACTCCCTAGTGAGATGAACCCGGTACCTCAGATGGAAATGCAGAAATCACCCGTCTTCTGCGTCGCTCACGCTGGGAGCTGTAGACCGGAGCTGTTCCTATTCGGCCATCTTGGCTCCTCCTCCCCTGATTACCCTGTTTAATACTGCAAACTTCTCCCAATGTTTTTCCCTCCCACCACTTTACCATTTTATTGCTTTTTAAATGTAGAACTTACCCTCTAACATTGAAATTAATTTATTCACTAATGTATCATTAATGCCTGGAACAATGCCTGTCTCATGGAAGATGTTCAATAAGTATTTGTTGAGAGAATAAATATGTAAATTCATTCTAACCCCTTAGAAAAACTTCACTGGAATCTCATCTTATGTTTTCTATTTCAGTTGGTGACACCAATATCCCATGTTTAGAAACTGAAAAATCACTCTTTTCTCATCCATATTTCTCAACAACCCCTCCAAACATTAAATCTGTCACAAAGTTGTACTGATTCTTTTATGGTTATTTCTTTACCTCTCTCTCCATTATCACTGTCTTTGTTAAGGCATTTTTTTATACAGATATATTTGATAGTCTCCTGCATTTTATTACCTGCAATCAATATTGTGCTACCAAATTCAACCTCTACCACTACAACACAAATCTTGTAATTTTTTAACAAGTAATGCTACCCTCATACCCTGATTAAAATTCTTCCAACAATTTACAATGGATTTTATTCAGAATAAAATCCAAACTTTTTAGCATGGTATACAAAGCTATTTATGAAATAATTCCTGTTTATCTCTGTAACTTAAATTTTCTGTTCTTTTCTAAGCATATTCTCTATTTATAGTTTGGAAGTTTGACCCTCCAAATCTCATGTTGAAATTTGATCCCCAATGTTGAGGGTAGGGGCTAACAGGAGGTGTTTGGGTCATAAGGTAAAATCCCTCATGAATGGCTTGGTGCTGTCCTCATGGTAATAAGCAAGTTCTTGCTCTGCTGGACCCCATGAGAGCTGGTTGTTAAAAAGATCCAGGCCTCTTTATTTCCTCTCTATTTTCTTCCTCTTTCACCACGTGATCTCTGCACATGCCAGCTCCCCTTCACCTTCCATCATGAGTGGAAGCAGACTGAGGCCCTCACCAGATGCAGATGCTGGCACCACGCTTCTTATACAGCCTGTAGAACAGTGAGCCAAATAATTCCCTTTTAAAATAAATTACCCAGTCTCAGATATCCCTTTATAGCAACCCAAATGGATTAAGACACTAATGTAGCTACACTGAACTCTTTGCAGTTATCCAAATGTGTCTCATATTCTACACATGCATGTTTTTGTACATGCTGTTTAGTTTAACAAATATTTATTGAGAACTATGCTACAATCTGGGAACAGAAAATTGAAATATGGATAGCCACTGTCTTTAAATAAAGAAGCTTTATTACCTTTTGGCTTTTTGGCTAAGATCAAGTGTAAATAAAGAAGCTTTAACCTTGGTATGTAAGACAAATATGTATACAATAAATTTCACCATAATATGGCAGAAGCAGTAATAGAGATATGTCCAGCAAGCTTTCAGAATGTAGAAGAAGGACATTTAGTTCAACCAGAGGTAACCAGGGAAGGCTTACTGGAGAAGGTAATATGAGAGATTAATTAAAAAAAATAGGTAGAAGTTAGCTATGTAAAAACAAGAGAACAGGCATTCTAGGTGTAAGACATTCTAGTATGAAACAGCATGTTGAGTACAGGTAATTACAACAAATGAAGTATTTCTAGAATATCAAATATAAGTCAGGGTAGAAATAAAAGCAGTCACCATGACATGCAGAACCTTCTGTATCATATTATTTATCTCATTTGTTATAGAGAGGAATTAAAATATCTTAAGCAGGAGAGTATTTATTTATGTATTTAGTTTTAAGTTTTGAGACAGGGTCTCTTTCCATCACCCAGGCTGGAGTGCCGTGGCACGATCTCGGCTCACTGCAAACTCTTCCTCCTAGGTTCAAGCGATTCTCCTGCTTCAGCCCCCCGAGTAGCTGGGATTACAAGCATCAAGCATCACGTCTGGCTAATTTTTGTAACTTTAGTAGAGACAGCGTTTCACCATGTCGATTAGGCTCGTCTTGAATTCCTGACCTCAAGTGATCCGCTCACCTTAGCCTCCCAAAGTGCTGGGATTTCAGGCGTGAACCACTGTGCCTGGTCCACATAGTAATAATTTATGCATATGGTATAGGTCACTTTGGCCCCAGAATGAAGGATGAATAATGGAAAATCTGGAGACAAGATTAGGAATAGACAAGAAAGCATCTATGGAAACAAAGGAAGAGGAGAACAGGGACTAAGGAATATAAGGGGCATATAGAGGGTGAAGAACCTGCAAAGGAGAGAAAGAAAAATTACTAGAGATGGAGGAAGTATATAAGAGAGTATTTCAACAAGGGATCAAGAGAAGAGAGTATTTCAACAAAAAAAGTTCAAGTAGGGAATGACTAAAATGTGTCACTTAGATTTACATGTAGATCATTTAAGATTTTGTAAAAGTTGTTTCAGTGGAGTGGTGGTGATAAAAGTCATATTTCAGTTGGTTCAGATGTAAATAATACACAAATTCAAACAGCATATATAAAAAACTAGCTTAAATAATTTGGCTGTGAAGATGAGGAAAGAGAGTGGTAATTTGTGAGGGTAGGTTTGATATATTTTTTTAAGATCTGAGAGACTTGAGCCTGATGATAGATTCTAGATGAGAAACATATGAACAGAAAGAGAGAGACTGATACAGAGAGAATGAAAATGGGAAGGTTCTTTTCAATGAAAAAATGTCATGGGAGTTATCCACCAGAATGTAAACTCCATGAGGGCAGGAATTATGTCTATCTTGTTCCCTGCTGTAGTCTTCAGAACAGCACCTATAATAATAATAGCAAATATTGAATAAGTACTTACTATGTAAGCTTACTATGTAAGCTTACTATGTAAATGTATAAGAAATATATGTATATATGTATGTGTATGTGTGTTTGTGTGGAGTGTGTGTGTGTGTCTGTGTGTACTCATTTGATTGTCACAACAATCCAATGAGCTGAATAATTTTTAAAAAGATTATGTTTCCTCAGAAATTGGAAGAGATCTCATAATTGTTTTCTAACCTCTATTGTGTTGATAAACAGTTTGATTTTAGTTTTTTTTCCAATTATTTGTGTGGAAAGTGTTTTTTTTCAGGGTTTTGAATTTTTACCCTCAGTTTATGTTTTTATTTCAAGAGTTTTTGGGGGTGCAGGTGGTTTTTGGTTACATGGATAAATTCTTTAGTGGTGATTTCTGAGATTTCAGTACACCCATCACCTGGGCAGTGTACACTCTACCCAATATGTAGTCTTTTATTCCTCACTCCCTCCAAACTTTCTCGGTTGAGTCTCCAAAGTCCATTATTTTATTCTCATGAATTTGCATCCTCATGGCTTAACTCCCATTTATAAGTGAGAACATATGGTATTTGTTTTCTCATTTCTGAGTTATTTTACTTAGAATAACGGCCTCCAGCTCCATCCACGGTTTTGCAAAAGGCATTATTTTCTTCCTTTTTATGACTGGGTAGTATTCCATGGTGTATATATACCATGAGAATATATGGTACTTGGTTTTTCATTTCTGAGTTACTTTACTTAGAATAATGGCCTCCAGCTCTATCCACTGTTTTGCAAAAGGCATTATTTCTTTCCTTTTTATGGCTAAGTAGTATTCCATGGTGTATATATGCCACATTTTCTTTATCCACTCATTGGCTGATGGGCACTTAGGTTGGTTTCATATCTTTGGCTGATGGGCACTTAGGTTGGTTTCATATATTTGCTATTGTGAATAATGCTGCTATAAACATGTGTGTACATGTGCCTTTTTCTCATAATGACTTCTTTTCCTGTGAGCAGATACTCAGTAGTGGGATTACTGGATCAAATGGTAGTTCTACTTCCAGTTCCTTAATGAATCTCCATACTGTTTTCCATAGTGGTTGTACTAATTTACTTTCCCACCAGCAGTGTAAAAGTGTTCCTTTTTCATCACATCAAAGCCAACATATACTGTTTTTTGACTTTTTAAATAATGACAATTCTTTTTTTCCTTTTCTTTTTTTTTTTTTTTTTTGAGATGGGGATCTTGCTCTGTCGCTGAGGCTGGAGTGCAGTGGTGCAATCTCGGCTCACTTCAGCCTCTGCCTCCTGGGTTCAAGCAATTCTCCCACTTCAGCCTCCCGAGTAGCTGGGATTACTGAGGCATGCCACCATGTCTGGCAAATTTTTACATTTTCAGTAGAGACGAATTTCATCATGTTGGCCAGGCTGGTCTCAAACTCCTGATTTCAGATGATCCACCTACCTCGCCCTCCCAAAGTGCTGGGATTACAGATGTGAGCCACTGTGTCTGGCCTAATTATGAACATTCTTGCAGGAGTGAGATGGTATCTCATTGTGTTTTTAATTTGCATTTCCCTGATGATTAACAATGTTGAGCTTTTTTTAAAAAAAATGTGTTTGTTGGCTTTTTGTGTATCTTCTTTTGAGAAATATCTATTGATATCCTTAGCTCAGTGTTTGATGGGATTATTTGTTTATTTCTTGCTGATTTGCTTGAGTTTTTTATAGATTCTGGATACTAGTCTTTTGTCAGATGCATAGATTTTAAATATTTTCTCCCACTCTGTGGGTTGTCTGTGTATGCTGCTGACTGTTCCTTTTGCTATGCATAAGCTCTATAGGTTAGTTAGGTCCCATTTATTTATTTTCATTTTTGTTGCATTTGCTTTTGGGTCTTAGTCATGAATTCTTGGCCTAAGCCAATGTCCAGAAATGTTACCAATGTTATCTTCTAGAATTTTTATGATTTCAGGTCTTACATTTAGTCTTTGATCAATCTTGAGTTGATTTTTGTATAAAGTGAGAGATGGGGATCCAGTTTTATCTTCTACATGTGGCTTGCCCGTTTCCCCAGCACCAGCATAGGGGGTCCTTTCCCCAATTTATATTTTTGTATGCTTTGTTGAAGATCAGTTGACTGTAAGTATTTAGCTTTATTTCTGGGTTCTATATTATCTTCCAATGGCCTTTGTGCCTATCTTTATACCGGTACCATGCTATTTTGGTAACTATAGCCTTGTAATATAATCTGAAGTTGGGTAAAGTGAGGCCTCTGGATTTGTTCTTTATGCATAGTCCAATGAGCTGAATATTAATAACCCCAATTTACAGTTGAGGAAACTGAGATAGGTAGTTAATGTAACTTGCCCAAGACACCACAACTAGTAAGTGGCAGAGTCAGAATTCAAACCCAGAAAGTCTGACTCCAGATTCTACCCTATTAACCACTATACTATTCTGTACCTCTAAATCAGTGTTGGTTTATTGAATGAATTAAATGGTCTCAGAAAATATTGACTTCTCTAGCAAGGAGATTAGCATATTAAAAAAGCATAGAAATACCTTTCCTTTCTTAAGTGTTTTAGAATGAGAGAGACTTGAGATTTTTTGTAAGCTAAAAATAAAGATAATAAAAGGAATACAGAACAAGTTGCCTGAGGAGATAGGATGAGATTCGATAAAAAAACAAAATTGTAGTGATTCTTATTGAAGAAAGAGACTATTCCACTATGAAAGGAAGGAAAGAATAATAGGCACAGAAGCCTGTTGAATTGGGCCCATTTTACAGGTTACAAACCAAAGTCAAAGAAGTTTTCTGATAAGAGGTGGAATCTCAGAAACCCTGACCTGGCAGCTTTCAACACCACACATATGCACAGACGCTTTAGTCCTATCTCTCTCTCTCTCTCTCTCTCTGTCTGTCTCTCTGTTTCTGTATGTATTCATCATGTCATCTATCACTGCCCAAACAGTGGGTGAGTGAATGTTAGGAAACTGAAGTTTCAACATTGGTTTTCCAGTGAAGCAAAACAGTTTAATCTGCTGAGAATTAAGACTATGAGACACGTGTTAGAAGATTAAGAAGAGAAGGGTTAGAATAGCTTTTGATGAGAGGTACTTAAATAGAAATACCTAAGAGTTTCTGGAAGCCTTGAGGGCCCAGCTCTGTAATTCTCTCCAGCAGCACTCTTTATTCCAGTCGAAAGAGTGGAAAGGATGAATGGTTAAATCAACTCAGGATGAGGTTCCTGCAGGGAAATTATAATAAAACAACCAATGTGCAAAAACAGAGATAATATTGAGAAAATTGTTGATTACATAATGGACAGTAGGTTCAAATTAGTTTGGGAAAAAGTGATGTCAGAAATGGGCTGAGAGATTGAAAAATACAGAAGAGCTGCTAGCCTGGGGGTATTAAGAGGGTAAAGAAAAAGGGTAAAAAAAAAATAAGTTGTATAACATATGGGTTAAATATAGGAATTAAAGATCTCAGAAGAAAGAGTCCCAGGTGATAACCAAATCTTAACCCTATTTTTCATTAGAACCACCTGCAGGGTTTTATTAACATACTAATACTACGACATAATCCTCAAGATTTCTCATTAGGGTCCCAAATATTGATAATTTTGTTTTCCAAAAACAACTTTAATCTTCATTGAGGTATTACTGAAAAATAAATATTGTACATATTAAAGATGGATGACATGATGTTTGATATATGTTTACATTGTAAAGTATTACCACAGTCAAGGCATTTAGCATATCTGTTATCTCACATAGTTACCACTTTTTGTTTTTCTGGTGAGAAAGCTTGTGGTCTACTATCATAGAATATTTCAAACCTGCAATACACTATTATTAACTAATGTCACCATTTTGTACCTTAAGACTAAAGAAATTATTCATTTTATAATTAAATGTTTATAACCTTTGATCAGTATTTCCCCTTTTAACCTGCTTCTTAGCCCCTGGTAACCACTATTCTACTCTATGTTACCATGAGGTTTTTTTTTTTTTTTTAATTAAGATTCCATTTGGGGGTCAAGATGGCTGAGTAGGAACAGCTCTGGTATGCAGCTCCAGGTGAGACCAACACAGAAGGTGGGTGATTTCTGCATTTCCAACTCAGGTACCCAGTTCATATCAATGGGACTGGTTAGGCAGTGGGTGCAACCCACAGAGAGCAAACAGAAGCAGGGTGTGTGGGGCGTTACTTCACCTGGAAAGTGCAAGGAGCCAGAGAACATCCCTTCCTGAGCCAAGGGAAGCTGTGAGGGACTGTGCTACCCAGCCCAGGTTCTATGCTTTTCCCATGGTTCTTGCAATCCACAAACCAAGAGATTCCCTCTTGTGCCTACACCACCAGGGCCCTGGATTTCAAGCACAAAACTGGGCAGCTTTTTGGGCAGACACTGAGCTAGCTGCAGGAGTTTTTATGTCCCTCAGTGGTGCCTGGAACCCCAGTGAGACAGAATCATTAACCCCCCTGGAAAGGGGTCTGAAGCCAGGGAGCCAAGTGGTCTCATTCAGCAGGTCCCACTCCCACAGAGCCCAGCAAGCTAAGAACCACAGGCTTTAAATTTTCACTGCCAGCACAGCAGTCTGAAGTTGATCTGAAATGATTGAGCTTGGTGGGGGGAGGGGCATCCCCCATTACTGAGACATTAGTAGGCAGTTTTCCCCTGACCGTGCTAAGGAGGCTGGAAGGTTTGGACTGCGCAGAATTCACCACAGCGTGGCAAAGCATCTGTGGCCAGACTGCTTCTCTAGATTCCTCATCACTGGGCAGGGCATCTCTGAAAGAAAGACAGCAGCCTCAGTCAGGGGCTTACAGATAAAACTCTCAACTCCTTGGGACAGAGCACCTGGGGAAAGGGGCGGCTGTGGGTGCAGCTTCAGTGGATTAAATCTTTCCTACCTGCCAGCTCTGAAGAGAGCAGCTGATCCTGTCAAGGGAGATTCACCCAACAGAGCATACCAGTTCTGCTAAAGGACAGACTGCTCCTCAAGTGGGTCCCTGAACCCCATGTCTCCTGACTGGGAGAGACCTCCCAGCAGGTGCTGACAGACACCTCATACAGAAGAGCTCTGGCTGGCATCAGACCGGTGCCCCTCTGGGATGAAGCTTCCAGAGGAACAGGCAGGCAGCAATCTTTGCTGTTCTTCAGCCTCCACTGGTAATATCCAGGTGAACAGTGGCTGGAGTGGACCTCCAGCAAACTTCAGCAGACCTGCAGAAGAGGGCCCTGACTGTTAGAAAAAAAATTAACAAACAGAAAGCAACAACACCAACATCAACAAAAAGACCTCCACACAAAAATCTGATCCAAAGTTCGTCAGCCTCAAAGACCAATGGTAGATAAATCCATGAAGATGAGGAAAACAAGCACAAAAACACAGAAAATTCCAAAAATCAGAATGCCTCTTCTCCAAATGATCACAATTCCTCTCCAGGAATGGCAGAAAACTGGATGAAGAATGAGATTGATGAATTGACAGAAGCAGGCTTCAGAAGGTTGGTAATAACAAACTCCTTTGAGCTAAAAAAGCATGTTCTAACCCAATGCAAAAAAAATTTAAGAACCTTGATGAAAGGTTACAGGAACTGCTAACTAGAATAACCAGTTTAGAGAGGAGCATAAATGACCTGATGGAGCTGAAAAACTCAGCACGAGAACTTCGTGAAGCCCACACAAGTATCAATAGCCGAATTGATCAAGTGGAAGAAACAATATCAGAGATTGATAAAAGAAGGTGGAAGACAAGATCAACTTAATAAAAGAAGGTTGAAGACAAGCCTCCAAGAAATATGGGACTATGTTAAATGACCAAACCTATGACCGATTGGTGTACCTGAAAGTCATGGGGAGAATGGAACAAAGTTGGAAAACACACTTCAAGTTATTATCCAGGAGAACTTCCCCCAACCAAGCAAAATAGGCCAACATTCAAATTCAGGAAATACAGAGAACACCACTAAGATACTCCTCGAGAAGAGCAACCCCAAGACATATAATCGACAGATTCTCCAAGGTTGAAAAAAAGGAAAAAATGTTAAGGGCAGCCAGAGAGAAAGGTCAGGTTACCTACAAAGGGAAGCCCATCAGACTAACAGCGATCTCTCTGCAGAAACTAGAAGAGAGTGGGAGCCAATATTCAACATTCTTAAAGAAAAAAATTTATAATCCAGAATTTCATATCCAGCCAAACTAAGCTTCAGAAGCATAGGATAAATAAAATCCTTTCCAGACAAGCAAATGCTGAGGGATTTTGTCACCACCAGGCCTGGCTTACAAGAGCTTCTGAAAGAAGCACTAAATATGGAAAGAAAAAACCAGTACCAGCCACTGCAATAACACACCGAAATATAAGTAGCAATGACACTATGAAGAAACTGCTTCAACTAATGTGCAAACTAACTAGCTAGCATGATGACAGGATGAAATTCACACATAACAATATTAACCTTAAATGTAAGTGGACTAAATATCCCAATTAAAAGACAAAGACTGGTAAATTGGATAAAGAGTCAAGACCCATCGCTGTGCTGTATCTAGAAGACCCATCTCAAGTGCAAAGAGCTCAAAATAAAGAAATGTAGAAATATTTACCAAGCAAATGAAAAACAACAAAAAAGGAGGAGTTGCAATCCTTGTCTCTGATAAAACAAACTTTAAAGGAACGGAGATAAAAAAAAAAGACAAAGAAGGTCATTACATAATGGTAAAGTGATCAATGCAACAAGAAAGTTAACAATTCTAAATATATATTCACCCAACAGAGGAGCACTCAGATTCATAAAACAAGTTCTTAGAGACCTACACAGAGACTTAGACTCCCACACAATAGTAGTGGGAGACTTTAACACCCCATTGTCAATATAAGACAGATCAATGAAACAGAAACTTAACAAGGATATTCAAGACGTGAATTCAGCTCTGGACCAAGTGGACCTAATAGACATCTACAGAACTCTCCACCCCAAATCAACAGAATATACATTCTTCTCAGCACCTCATCGGACTTATTCTAAAATTGGCCACATAATTGGAAGTAAAACTCTCTTCAGGAAATGCAAAAGAACAGAAATCATAACAAGATAGAGACACAAAAAACACTTCAAAAAATCAATGAATCCAGGAGCTGATTTTTTGAAAATATTAACAACATAGATCACTAGCTAGACTAATAAAGAAGAAAAGAGAGAAGAATCAAATAGATACAATAAAAAATAATAAAGGGTATATCACCACTGATCCCATGGAAATGCAAACTAACATCAGAGCGTACTATAAATACCTCTACACAAATAAACTAGAAAATCTAGAAGAAATGGATAAATTCCTGAACACATACACCCTCCCAAGACTAAACCAGGAAGAAGTCAAATCCCTGAATAGACCAGTGACAAGTTCTGAAATTGAGGCAGTAATTAATAACCCACCGTCCAAAAAAAGTCCAGGACCAGACGGATTCACAGCTGAATTCTACCAGAGGCACAAAGAGGAGCTGGTACCATTCCTTCCGAACCTATTCCAAACAACAGAAAAAGAGAGACTCCTCCCTAACTCATTTTATGAGCCCAGCATCATCCTAATACCAAAACCTGGCAGAGACACAACAAAAAAAGAAAATTTCAGGCCAATATCCCTGATGAACATCAATGTGAAAATAAAATACTGGCAAACTGAATTCAGCAGCACATCAAAAAGCCTATCCACCAAGATCAAGTTGGCTTCATCCCTGGAATGCAAGGCTGGTTCTATGTACATAAATCAACAAACATAATCTATCATATAAACAGAAACAATGACAAAAACCACTTGATGATCTTAATACATGAGAAAAGACCCTCAATAAAATTCAACATGCCTTCGTGCTAAAAACTCTCAGTAAACCAGGTATTGATGGAATATATCTTTAAATAATAAGAGATATTTATGACAAATCCATACCCAATATCATACTGATTGGGCAAAAGCTGAAAGCATTCCCTTTGAAAACCGGCACAAGACAAGGATGCCCTCTCTCACCACTCCTATTCAACATAGGATTGGAAGTCCTAGCCAGGGCAATCAGGCAAGAGAAAGAAAGAAAGGTATTCAAATAGGAAAAGAGCAAGTCAAATTGTCTCTATTTGCAGATGACATGATTGTATATTTAAAGAACCCCATCATTTCAGTCCAAAAACTCTTTAAGCTGATAAGCAACTTCAGCAAAGTCTCAGGATACAATATCAATGTTCAACAATCACAAGCATTCCTAAACACCAACAATAGACAAGCAGAAAGCCAAATCATGAGTGAACTCCCATGCACAATTGCAACAAAGAGAATACAATACACAGGAATATAACTTACAAGGGACATGAAGGACCTCTTCAAGGAGAACAACAAACCACTGCTCAAGGAAATAAGGGAGGACACAAACAAATGGAAAAACATTCCCTCCTCATGGATAGGAATAATTAATCTTGTGAAAATGACAATACTGCCCAAATTAATTCATATATTCAATACTATTCCCATCAAAATACTATTGGCATTCTTCACAGAATTAGAAGAAACTACTTAAAAATTTATATGGAAATAAAAAGAGCATGAATAGCCAAGACAATTGTAAGCAAAAAGAACAAAGCTGGAGGCATCACCCTACCTCACTTCAAACTATACTACAAGGATACAGTAACCAAAACAGCATGGTACTTGCACCAAAACAGACACAGAGACCAATGGACCAGAATAGGGACCTCAGAAAATAAGGCCACACATCTACAACCATCTGATCTTTGCAAAACCTCACAAAAACAAGCAATGGGGAAAGATTTTCTATTTAATAAATGGTGCTGGGAAAACTGTCTAGTCATATGCAGAAAACTGAAACTGAACCCCTTCTGTACACCTTATACAAAAATTAACTCAAGATGGATTAAAGGCTTAAATGAAAAACCCAATACCATAAAAATCCCCAAAAAATCTAGGCAATTCCATTTAGAAAATAGACATGAGCAAAATTTTATAATGTAATCGCCAAAAGCAATTGCAGCTAAAGCTAAAATTGACAAGCAGGATCTAATTAAACTTAAGAGTTTCTGCACAGCAAAAGAAACTATCATCAGAGCAAACAGGCAACCTACAGAATAAGAGAAACTTTTTGCAATCTACCTGTCTAACAAAGGTCTAATATCCAGAATTTTTAAGAAGCTTGGGCTGAGCATGGTGGCTCACACCTGTAATCCCAGGATTTTGGGAGGCTGAGGCGTGTGAATGACCTGAGGTCAGGAGTTTGAGACCAGCCTGGTAAACATGGTGAAACCCCATTTCTACTAAAAATACAAAAAATTAGCTGGGTGTGGTGGCACCTCTGTAATCCCAGCCACTCCGAAGGCTGAGACAGGAGAATCACTTGAGTCCAGGAGGTGGAGGTTGCAGTGAGCCGAGATTGTGCCACTGCACTCCAGCCTGGGTGACAGACCAAGACCTTGCCTCAAAAAAAAAAAAAAAAAAAAAAAAAAAGCAACACACACACACACACACATAAAAAACAGCATTTACAAGCAACTTAAGCCAATTTACAAGAAAATGGCAAACAACCCTATCAAAAATTGGACAAAGGACATGAACAGACACTTCTCAAAAGAAGACATTTATGCGGCCAACAAACATGAAAGAAAGTTCAACATCACTGATCATTAGAGAAATGCAAATCAAAACCACAATGAGATCCCATCTCAGTCCAGTCAGAATGATGATTACACATGTATCCTGGAACCTAAAATAAAATAAAATTTAAAAAAATTATTCCAGGCATGCAAGGATGGTTACATATATGCAATTCCATGAGTGTGATACATTCCATCAACAGAAAAAAAGGACAAGAAGCATATAGTCATTTCAATAGTTGCAGAAAATGCATTTGGTAAAATTCGACATCTCTTCATGATAAAAACTTTCAATAAACTGACATCTCTTCATGATAAAAACTTTCAATAAACTAGGCAACGAAGAAACATATCTCAACATAATAATGGCTAATATATTACAAACCCACAGTTAAAATCATATTGAATGGGGAAAAACTGAAAATCTCTTTTTTAAATTTTTATTTTAGGTTAAGGAGCACAAGTGAAAGTTTGTTATATAGGTGTACTGGGTGTCATGGAAGTTTGGTGTACAGATTATTTTATCAACCAGCTAATCAGCATCGTACCCGATAGGTAGGTTTGTTTTGTCCTCACCCTCCTCCCAACTTCAACCATCCAGTAGGTCCCTGTGTCAGTCGTTTCCTTCTTTGTGTCCATGTGTACTCAATGTTTAACTTCCACTTACAAATGAGAACATGCAATATTCAGTTGTCTGTTCCTGTGTTAGTTTCTTAGAATAGTGGCCTCCAGCTTCATTCATATTGCTACAAAGGACATAATCTCATTCTTTTTTATTGCTGTGTAATATCCAATTGTGTATATACACCACATTTTGTTTATCCAGTCTACCATTGATGGGAATTTAGGTCGATTCCATGTCTTTCCTATTGTGAACAGTGCTTCACTGAACATATGCATGCATATGTCTTTATGGTAGAACAACTTATATTTCTTTCAGTATATACTCAATAATATAATTGCTAGGTTACATGGTAATTCTGTTTTATGTTTTTTAAGAAATTAACAAACTGCTTTCAAAAATGACTGAACTGATTTACATTTTCACCAGCAGTGCAACAAGTGTGCCCTTGTCTCCAAAACCTTGCTAGCATCTATTATTTTTGACTTATAATTAACAGCCATTCCTACCTCACTGTGGTTTTGATTTGCGTTTCTCTAATAATTATGGATGTTGAGCATTTTTTTATATGCTTGTCGGCCATGTGTAGGTCTTGCTGAAGATCAAATGTTTGTAGGTTTTTGGCAGTATTTCTGGGCTCTGTATTCCGTTCCATTGTTCTGTAAGTCTTTTATTGTACCAGTACCTTGCTGTCTTGAATACTGTAGCCTTATAGTATTGTTTGAAGTCAGGTAATGCAATGTCTCCAGCTTTGTTTCTTTTGCTTAGTATTGACTTGGCTATTCAGGCTTTTTTAAAGGTTCCATAGGAATTTTAAAATAGTTTTTGTCTACTGTTTCAAAACCAATCATGCCTTCCTAACAGTCCCTCAAAGTCTTAACTTATTTCAGCATTAACTCAAAAGTCCAAGTTCAATGTCTCATCTGAGGCATCCTTCTACCTAGGATCCTGTAAAATCAAAAGCAAGTTTGTTTCTTCCAAGATACAACGGGGGAAACAGGCATTGTGTAAATGTTTCCATTTGAAAAAGGAGAAATTGCTCAAAACAAAGGGACTATAGGCCCGATGCAAGTCCGGTATCCAGCAGAACAGTTATGAAATCTTAAATCTCCAGCATAAACTCCTTTTACTCCATGTCTTACATCCAGGCCACATTGATGCAAGGGATGGGCTCCATGGCCCTAGGTGGCTCCTCTGCCCCTCTCCTGTGGCTCTGCAGGGTACAGCCCTTGTGGTTGTTTTCTCAAGCTGGTGTTGAGTGCCTGTAGCTTTTCCAAGTACATGGGGCAATCTGTCAATGAATTTACCATTCCGCTGTCTGGAGGACAGTGGCCCTCTTCTCACAGCTCCACTAGGAAGTGCCCCAGTGGGGACCCTGTTGGGGGACTCCAACCCCGCATTTCCCTTCTTCATTGCCTTAGTAGAGGTTCTCCATGAGGGTTCCACTCCTGCAGCAGACTTCTGCCTGACATCCAGGCATTTCCATACATGCTCTGAAATCTAGGCAGAGGTTCCTGTGATGGTTAACACTGGGAGTCAACTTGATTGAATTGAAAGACGCAAAGTATTGTTCCTGGGTGTTTCTGTGAGGGTATTGCCAAAGGAGATTAACATTTGAGTTAGTGGACTGGACAGACAGACACATCCTGAATCTGGGTGGGCACCATCTAATCAGATATCAGCATGGATAGAATAAAGCAGGTAGAAGAAGTTGGAAGGACTCGACTTGCTCAGTCTTCCAGCTTTCATCTTTCTCCCGTGTTGGATACTTCCCACCTTTGAACATCAGACTCCAAGTTCTTCAGGTTTTGGATTCTTCGACTTGCACCAGTGATTTTTCCAGGGGCTCTTGGTCCTTCAGCCACAGGCTGAAGTTTACACTGTCCATTTCCCTACTTTTGAGGTTTTGGGACTCAGACCGTCTTTCTTGCTCCTCAGCTTGCAGACAGCCTATTGTGGGACTTCACCTTGTGATCGTGTGAGTCGATTATCCTTAATAAACTCCCTTTCATATATACATCTATACTATTAGTTCTGTCCCTCTAGAGACCCTGACTAATACAGATTTTTGTAACAGGACTGGTTCTATAGGAACAGAATTTTTAAAATGGATTTTTTTCATTGATTTTGGGGGTTTTGGAGTTGGCTGCTTAATATCATTACACCCCAAAATGTTAAGGCCTCTACTTTTAATAGTCTGGAGACCACTGATGATAGTCCTTGGCATGAACTGTTTAGAGAGTTATAAAAAAATGCCCTTGATACTTTTGATTCACCATTCATGAAAGGCAATGAGTTTACTGACTCAATATGTAATACTATTGACCATATGTATCAAACCAAGACATATAATGAAGTTGGTTGGTTGCTCCTATATTTGCTGAACAAAATGAGGAAAGGAAAGGATGAGCTAAGCAATTCTAACATCTGGCTTCAGAAGCACATACTAAGCCTCAAGTCTTCTAAGATTGTCCTTAATGAAAATCTTATCTCCTATAGACAGAAAGCTGAAATTGTGGAAAATCAGACACAAGTTCCTATCATTAGAGTGGCTGACCTGCAACAAAAGGTACACATTCAGTCTTGCCAGGTGTCTACTTTTAAAGTGAGAACATTAATTGGGAAAGAATGAGACCCTGCAACTTGGAATGGGGACCTGTGAAAAAACCCTGACAAAGCTGGTGGCAACATTCCCTCCCCTACCCATGCTGATATTAGCCTATCCACATTTGTCTGAGAACAATTTAATCATGCACTGTCCAATGAAACAGTGATGGCCTACCCTGAGGCAATTGCCAAGTAAGACAATGCTGATTCTTTTCAGGACCCACCCCAATACCCCTGTTTGCTTCTAGACCTATAACTAGACACAAGTCCTTGCATGCCCCTAGAGGTGAGGTTCAGAGTGTGACCCACAAGGAGGTTTGCTACACTTCAAAATGACTGCTTGAGTTTTCTAATTTCTTATTTTTTTTATTATACTCTAAGTTCTGGGTTACATGGGCAGAACGTGCAGTTTTATTACTTAAGTATACATGTGCCATTGTGGTTTGCTGCACCCATCAACCCGTCATCTACATTAGGTATTTCTCCTAATGTTATCCCTCCCCTAGCCCCTCAGCCCCCACAGGCCCCGATGTGTGATGATCCCCTCCCTGTGTCCATGTGTTCTAATTGTTCAATTCCCACTTATGAGTGAGAACATGAGGTGTTTGCTTTTCTGATCTGGTGATAGTTTGCTGGGAATGATGGTTTCCAACTTCATCCATATCCCTGCAAAGGACATGAACTCCTTCTTTTTTATGGCTGCATAGTATTCCATGGTGTATATGAGCCAGGTTTTCTTAATCAAGACTATCACTGATGGACATTTGGGTTGTTCCAAGTCTTTGCCATTGTGTATTGTGCCACAATAAAGATATGTGTGCATGTGTCTTTATCGTAGAATGATTTATAATCCTTTGGGTATATGCTCAGTAATAGGATTTCTGGGTCAAATGGTATTTCTAGTTCTAGATCCTTGAGGAATTCCCACACTATCTTCCACAATGGTTGAACTAATTTACACTCCCACCAACACTGTAAAAGTGTTCCTATTTTTCCACAACCTCTCCAGCATCCATTGTTTCCTGACTTTTTAATGATCGCCATTCTAACTGGTGTGAGATGGTATCTCACTGTGGTTTTGATTTGCATGACCAGTGATGATGAGCATTTTTTCATATGTCTGTCGGCTGCATAAATGTCTTCTTTTGAGATGTGTCTGTTTATATCCTTTGCCCATTTTTTGATGGGGTTGATTTTTTCTTGTAAATTTGTTTAAGTTCTTTGTAGATTCTGGATATTATCCCTTTGTCACATGAGTAGATTGCAAAAATTTTCTCCCATTCTACAGGATGCCTGTTCATTCTGTTGATAGTTTCCTTTGCCGTGCAGAAGCTTTTTCATTTAATTAGATCCAATCTGTCAATTTTGGCTTTTGTTGCCATTGCTTTTGGTGTTTTAGGCATGAAGTCTTTGCCCTTGCCTATGTCCTGAGTGATATTGCTCAGGTTTTCTTCTAGGATTTTTATGGTCCTAGGTCTTACCCTTAAGTCTTTAATCCATCTTGAGTTAATTTTTGTACAAGGGGTACAGAAAGGGTCCAGTTTCACTTTTCTGCATATGGCTAGCCAGTTTTCCCAACACCATTTATTAAATAGGGAATCTTTTCCCCATTGCTTGTGTGTGTCAGGTTTGTCAAAGATCAGTTGGTGGTAGATGTGTGGTGTTATTTCTGAGGCCTCTGTTCTGTTCCATTGGTCTATGTATCTGTTTTGGTACAAGTACCATGCTGTTTTGGTTACTGTAGCCTTCTAGTAAAGTTTGAAGTCAGGTAGCATGATGACTCCAGATTTGTTCTTCTTGCCCAAAATTGCCCTGGCTATGTGGGCTCTTTTTTGGTTCCATATGAAGTTTAAAGTAGTTTTTCACAATTCTGTGAAG
This sequence comes from Homo sapiens, assembly GCF_000001405.40. Taxonomy (NCBI): domain Eukaryota; kingdom Metazoa; phylum Chordata; class Mammalia; order Primates; family Hominidae; genus Homo; species Homo sapiens. The sequence continues at coordinate 56,678,328 of NC_000023.11, read as the reverse complement.
AAAGTCAGTGGTGGCTTGATGGGGATAGCATTGAATCTATAAATTAATTTGGGTAGTAAGGCAGTTTTCATGATATTGATTCTTCTTATCCATGAGCATGAAATGTTTTTCCATTTGTGGCCTATCTTATTTCTTTGAGCAGTGATTTGTAGTTCTCCTTGAAGAGGTTCTTCACATCCCTTGTAAGTTGGATTCTTAGGTATTTTATTCTCTTTGTAGCAATTGTGAATGGGAGTTCACTCATGATTTGGTTCTCTGTTTGTCTGTTATTGGTGTATAGAAATGCTTGTGATTTTTGCACACTGATTTTGTATCCTGAGAATTCGCTGAAGTTGCTTATCAGCTTTAGAAGATTTTGGGCTGAGATGATGGGGTTTTCTAAATACACAATCATGTCATCTGCAGACAGAGACAATTTGACTCACTCTCTTCCTATTTGAATACCGTTTATTGCTTTCTCTTGCCTGATTGCCCTGGCCAGAACTTCCAATAGGAAGTGGTGAGTGAATAGGAGTGGTGAAGTTGAATAAGAGTGGTGAGAGATGGCATCCTTTTCTTGTGCTGGTTTTCAAAGAGAATGCTTCCAGTTTTTGCCATTCAGTGTGATATTGGCTGTGGGTTTGTCATAAATAGCTCTTATTATGTTGAGATATGTTCCATCGATACCTAGTTTATTGAGAGCTTGTAGCATGAAAGGCTGTTGAATTTTGTCAAAGGCCTTTTCTGCATCTATTGAAATAATCATGTGGCTTTTGTCATTGGTTCTGTTTATGTGATGGATTCCATTTATTGATTTGTGTATGTTGAACAAGCCTTAGATCCCAGGGATGAAGCCAACTTGATCATGTTGGATAAGTTTTTGATGTGCTGCTGGATTCGGTTTGCCAGTATTTTATTGAGGATTTTCGCATTGATGTTCATCAAGGATATTGTCCTAAAATTCTCTTTTTTTATTGTGTCTCTGCCAGGCTTTGGTATCAGATAATGATGGCCTCTTAAATGAATTAGGGGGGATTCCCTCTTTTTCTATTGATTGGAATAGCTTCAGAAGGAATGGTACCAGCTCCTCTTTGTACCTCTGGTAGAATTCAGCTGTGAATCCATCTGGTCTTGGACCTTTTTTTTTTTTTGGTTGGTAGGGTATTAATTATAGCCTCAATTTCAGAACCTGTTATTGATCTATTCAGAGATTTAACTTCTATCTAATTTAGTCTTGGGATGGTGTATGTGTCGAGGAATTTATCCATTTCTTCTAGATTTTCTAGTTTATTTGCGTAGAGGTGTTTATAGTATTCTCTGATGGTAGTTTGTATTTCTGTGGGATCGGTGATGATATCCCCTTTATCATTTTTTATTGCATCTATTTGATTCTTCTCTCTTTTCTTCTTTATTAGTCTTGCTAGCATTCTATCTATTTTGTTGATCTTTAAAAAAAACCAGCTCCTGGATTCATTGATTTTTTGAAGTTTTTTTGTGTGTGTGTGTCTCTATCTTCTTCAGTTCTGCTCTGATCTTAGTTATTTCTTGTCTTCTGCTAGCTTTTGAATTTGTTTGCTTTTGCTTCTCTAGTTCTTTTAGTTGTGATGTTAGGGTGTCGATTCTAGATACCTCCTGCTTTCTCTTGTGGGCATGTAGTGCTATAAATTCCCCTCTACACACTGCTTTAAATGTGTCCCAGAGATTCTGGTATGTTGTGTCGTTGTTCTTACTGTTTTCAAAGAACATGTTTATTTCTGCCTTCGTTTCGTTATTTGCCCAGTAGTCATTCAGGAGCAGGTTGTTCAGTTTCCATGTAGTTGAGCAGTTTTGAGTGAGATTCTTACTCCTGAGTTCTAATTTGATTGCACTGTGGTCTGAGAGACAGTTTGTTGTAATTTCTGTTCGTTTACGTTTGCTGAGGAGTGTTTTACTTCCAATTATGTGGTCAATTTTAGAATAAGTGTGATGTGGTGCTGAGAAGAATGTATATTCTGTTGATTTGGGGTGGAGAGTTCTGTAAATGTCTATTCGGTCTGCTTGGTTCAGATCTGAGTTCAATTCCTGGATATCCTTGTTAATTTCTGTCTCATTGATCTGTCTAATATTGACAGTGGGATATTAACATCTTCCATTATTATTGTGTGGGAGTCCAAGTCTCTTTGTAGGTCTCAAAGAATTTGCTTTATAAATCTGGGTTCTCCTGTATTGGTTGCATATATATTTAGGATAGTTAGCTCTTCTTGTTGAATTGATCCCTTTATCATTATGTAAGGGTCTTCTTTATCTCTTTTGATCTTTGTGGGTTTAAAGGCTGTTATAACAAAGACCAGGATTGCAACCCCTGCTTCATTTTGCTTTCCATTTGCTTTGTAGATCTTCCTCCATCCCTTTATTTTGAGCCTATGTGTATCTTTGCACGTGAAATGGGTCTTCTTAATACAGCACACCAATGAGTCTTGACTCTTTATCCAATTTGCTAGTCTGTGTCTTTTAATTGTGGTATTTAGCCCATTTATATTTAAGGTTAATATTGTTACGTGTGAATTTGATCCTGTCATTATGATGCTAGCTGGTTATTCTGCCTGCTAATTGATGCAGTTTCTTCATAGCATTGATGGTCTTTACAATTTGGCATGTTTTTGCAGTTGCTGGTACTGGTTGTTCCTATCAGTGTTTAATGCTTCCTTCAGGAGCTCTTGTAAGGCAGGCCTGGTGGCAACAAAATCTCTCAGCATTTGCTTGTCTGGAAAGGATTTTATTTGTCCTTCACTTATGAATGTTTGGCTGGTACAAAATTCTGTGTTGAAAATTCTTTTCTTTAAGAATGTTGACTATTGGCCCCCACTCTCTTCTGGTTTGTAGCATTTCTGCAGAGAGATCTGCTGTTAATCTGTTGGGCTTCCCTTTGTGGATAACAGGACCTTTCTCTCTGGCTGCCCTTAACATTTTTTCCTTCATTTCCACATTGGTGGATCTGACAATTATGTGTCTTGGGGTTGCTGTTCTCGAGGAATATCTTTGTGGTATTCTCTGTATTTTCTGAATTTGAATGTTGGCCTGCGTTGCTACGTTGGAAAAATTCTCCTGGATAATATCCTGAAGAGTGTTTTCTAACTTGGTTCTATTCTCTCTGTCACTTTCAGGCACGCCAATCAGACGTAGATTTGGTTTTTTCACATAGTCCCATATTTCTTGGAGGCTTTGTTTGTTTCTTTTGCCTCATTTTTCTTTAATCTTGTCTTCTCAGTTTATTTCATTAATTTGATCTTCAATCACTGATATCCTTTCTTCCACTTGATTGAATCAGCTATTGAAGCTTGTGTATGCTTCAGGAAGTTCTCGTACTGTGGTTTTCAGCTCCATCAGGTCATTTAAGCTCTTCTCTACACTGGTTATTCTAGTTAGCTGTTCGTCTAACCTTTTTTCAAGGGTTTTAGCTTCCTTGCAATGGGTTAGAACATGCTCCTTTAGCTCATAGAGGTTTGTTATTACCGACCTTCTGAAGCCTACTTCTGTCAATTCATCAAACTCATTCTTCTTCCAGTTTTGTTCCCTTGCTGGCAAGGAGTTGTGTTGCTCTGGAGGAGAAGAGACATTCTGTTTTTTGTTATTTTCAGCCTTTCTGCTCTGGCTTCTCCCTATCTTTGTGGTTTTATTTAGCTTTGGTCTTTGATGCTTTTGACCTATGGATGGGGTTTTGGTGTGGATGTCCTTTTTGTTGATGTTGGTGCTATTCCTTTCTGTTTGTTAGTTTTCCTTCTAACAGTCAGGCCCCTCAGCTACAGGCCTGTTGGAGTTTGCTGAAGGTCCACTCCAGACCCTGTTTGCCTGGGTATCACCAACGGAGGCTGCAGAACAGCAAATATTGCTGCCTGATCCTTCCTCTGGAAGCTTCATCCCAGAGAGGCACTCACCTGTATGAGGTGTCTGTCAGCCCCTACTGGGAGGTGTCTCCCAGTCAGGCTACATGGGGGTCAGGGACCCACTTAAAGAGGCAGCCTGTCCATTATCAGAGCTCAAATGCCATGCTGGGAGAACCAATGCTCTCTTCAGAGCTGTCAGGTAGGAACGTTTAAGTCTGGAGAAGCTGTCTGTTGTCTTTTGTTCAGATGTGCCCTGCCCCCAGAGATGGAATCCAGAGAGGTAATAGGCCTTGCTCAGCTGTGGTGGGCTCCACCCAGTTTGAGCTTCCCTGCCACTTTGTGTACACTGTGAGCATAGAACCGCCTACTCAAGCCTCAGCAATCGTGGATGCCCCTCTCCCTGCCAAGCTTCTGTGTCCCAGTGAGCAAGGTTCCATGGGCGTGGGACCCACTGAGCCAGGTAGAGGAGGGCATCTCCTGGTCTGCCAGTTGTGAAGACCATAGGAAAAGTGCAGTACTTGGGCAGGAGTGTACTGCTACTCCAGGTACAGTCACTCATAGCTTCCCTTGGCTAGGAAAGGGAAATCCCCTGATTCTTTGAACTTCCTGGGTGAGGTGATGCCCTGCCCTGCTTTGGCTTGCCCTCTGTGGGCTGAACCCACAGTCCAACCAGTCCCAATGAGATGAACCAGATACCTACATTGGAAATTCAGAAATTTCCTGTCTTCTGCATTGATCTCGCTGGGAGCTGTAGATCGGAGCTGTTTCTATTTGGCCATCTTGGAAGTGACTATGTTTTCTAATTTATATAAGCAGAAATCTGGAGAACAGGCACAGGAATGGATATTAAGGGTGTGGAAAAATAGTGGAAGGAAAATAAAGAGGGATCAGGCTGAATTTATTGAAATATAGATCAAAAGATAGCCCATTGTGAGCATGCTGGAAATGTCTGCTCTCCCTTGGTTTAATGTAGAGGGACAGATCCAAAGGCTTAGGGAGATTGGAATGCTAGAGTGGATTCATCACTTTAGACCTACTCATCCTGGGCGGGGGTGGGGGGAGAGTCCAAAAGACAAAGCCTTGACCAACACTTTGCAAAATAGATTTGTGAGGGCAGCACCTGCATCCTTCAAAAGCTCTGTGATTGCTCTTCTCTGTATGTCAGATCTTACAGTGGGAACTGCAGTCACTCAATTACAAAATTTAAGTGCAATGGGAATAATTGTATCCCGGGGAGGCAGAAGCAAAGTGGTAGCACTCAGCTGTCAAAGGCTACATGGGTATAATTACCATAATGGACAGCAGAGGCAAAACAGCAATCAGAATAGTCTGACATGTGTAGAGCTCTGGCACTGGCTAATTAATCACAGCGTTCCTACAATGAAATTAATAGGAAGCCTACTGCATTCTTACTTAATTTATATAAGCAGAAATCTTCCAGGTCAATTGGACAAAAGACTAATTTGAACTACAAAAATAGAGAATCATGGCCCCTCAGTGAATTTCCAGACTTGAACCAGTTTACAGACCCAGAACTCCTTGAATGAAGAGGAGGTGTCCCCTTGAGGTAGGGTCCCACTGCTCTACTGACAGTTTATACTGTTAATCTTTCTTCCATTTTCCCCAAGGAGACCTTCAGCCTTTTACCAGAGTAACTGTATATTGGGGACACGAGAAAAATCAGATTTTTCGGGAACTACTGGACTCTGGCTCTGAATTGATGTTGATTCCACGGGACCCAAAGTGTCATTTTGGTTCTCCAGTTAAAGTTGAGGCTTATGAAGGTCAGGTAATTAAATGGAATTATAGCTCAGGTTTGATTTACGGTGGGTCCAGTGGGTCTCTGTAATCATCCTGTGGTCATTTCTCCAGTGCCAGAATAGATAATTGGCATAGACATGGACTTAGCAGGTGGCAGAATCCCCACATTGGCTCCCTGACTGGTAGGGTGAGGGCTATTATGGTGGGAAAGGCCAAATGAAAGCTATTGGAGCTGCCTCTACCTAGAAAAATAGTAAGTCACAAACAATATTGCATCCCTGGAGGGGTTGCAGGGCTTAGTGCCACCATCAAGGACTTGGAAGATGCAGGGGTGGTGATTTCCATCACATTCCCATTCAGCTCTTCTGTTCGGCCTGTGCAGAAGACAGCTAGATCTTGGATAATGACAGTGGATTATCATAAGCTCAAATGGTGACTCCAATTGCAGCTGCTATACCAGATGTGGATTTATTGCTTGAACAAATTGACACATGACCTGGCTGGTAAGGCCAGCAATATACATTTATTGTCCTACCTCAGGGGTACATCAACTCTTCGGGTTTTGTAATAATCTTGTTTGCAGATATCTTGATTGTTTTTTCCTTCCACAAGATATCACACTGATCCATTACATTGATGACATTATGCTGGCCAGGCATGGTGGCTCATGCCTGTAATCCCAGCACTTTGGGAGGCTGAGGCGGGTTGATCACCTGAGGTCGGGAGTTCGAGACCAGTCTGATCAACATGGAGAAACCCCGTCTCTACTAAAAATACAAAATTAGCCAGGCACGGTGGCACGTATGCCTGTAATCCCAGATAATTGGGAGGCTGAGGGAGGAGAATCACTTGAACCTGGGAGATGGAGGTTGCAGTGAGCCGAGATCAATCCAGCCTGGGCAACAAGAGTGAAACTCTTTCTCAAAAAACAAACAAAACAACAACCACAACAAAAAAGAAAACTGATGGATGACATTATGCTGATTGGATTCAATGAGTGAGAAGTAGCAAACACACTGCACTTGTTGGTGATAAATTTGCATGCCAGGCAATGGGAAATGAATATAACTAAAATCCAGGGACCTTCTACCTCAGTAAAGTTTCTAGGAGTCCAGTAATGTGGGGCCTGTTGAGATATTCCTTCTAAGGTGAAAGATATGTTGCTGCATTAGGCTCCTCCTAAAACCAAGAAAGAGGCACAACGTGTAGTTGGCCTATTTAGATTTTAAAGGCAACACATTCCTCATTTGGATGTGTTAATCTGGCCCATTTATTGAGTGACCCAAAAGGCTGCCAGTTTTGTGTGGGTCCAGAACAGGACAGGGCTCTGCTACAGGTCCAGGCTGCTGTGCAAGTCACTCTGCCACTTGGGCCACATTAGCCCAGCAGGTCCAATGGTGCTTGAGGCATTGGTGGCATATACGGGTGCTGTTTGGAGACTTTGGTAAGTCCCTGCAGGTGAATCACGGTGGAGGCTTCTAGGAATTTGGAGCAAGGCCCTGCTATCTTCCACAGATAACTACTCTTCTTTTAAAAGACAGTTCTTGGCCTATTACTGGGCTTTGGTATAAACTGAATGTTTGAGTCATCAAGTCTCCATGTGACCTGAACAGCAGTCTGAATAAGCATATCATTGAACTGGGTGCTTTCTGACCCATCTATCCATACAGTGGGTCATGCACAGCAGCATCCTATCATCAAATGGAAGTGTTATATAGGTGATTGGGCTTAAGCAGGCCCTGAGGGCACAAGTAAGTTACATGAGGAAGTCTCACATATCCGTGGTCTCCCCTCCTGCCATCCTGTCTTCTCTCCCCCAGCCTGCACCAATGGCCTCACGGGGAGTTCCCTATGATTACTTGACAGAGGAAGAGAAGGCTAGGGCCTGTTTCACAGATGGTTCTGCATGATACGCGGGCACCATCCGAAAGTGAACACCTGCAGCACTACAGCCCTTTCCTAGGATATCCCAGAAGGAGAGAGGTGAAAGGAAATCTTCCCAGTGAGAAGAATCTCAAACAGTACACCTAGTTGTGCACTTTGCTTAGAAGGAGATGTGGTCAGATGTGCAATTATTTATTGATTCATGGGCTGTAGCCAATGATCTGTCTGGATGGTCATGGATTTGGAAGAAGCATGATTGGAAAATTGGTGACAAAGAAATTTGGGGAAGAAATGTAGATGGACCTGTCTGAGTGGTCAAAAACTGAATATATTTGTATCCCTTGTGAGTGCTCGCCAAAGTTACCTCAGCAGAGGAGGATTTCAATAATCAAGTGGATAGAATGACTTGTTCTGTGGACACCACTCAGCCTCTTTCCCCAGCCACCCCTGTCATTTCCCAATGGTCATGGTGGCAGAGATGGAGGTTACACATGGGCTCAGCAACATGGACTTCCACTCACCAAGTCTGACCTGGCTATGGCCACCACTAAGTGCCTAATTTTCAAGCAGCAGATGCCAACATTGAGCACTCGACATGGCACCATTCCCTGGTGTGATCAGCTACCTACTTGGTGGCAGGTTGATTATATTAGATCTCTCCCATCATGGAAAGAGCAGTGGTCTGTCCTCACTGGAATAGACAATTACTCTAGGTATGGGTTTGCCTATCCTGCACTCAATGCTTCTGCTAAGACTACCATCCATGGACTCACAAAATGCCTTATCCACTGTCATGGTGTTCCACACAGCATTGTCTCTGACCAAGGCACTCACTTTACAGCTAAAGAAGTGCAGAAATGTGCTCATTCTCATGGAATTTACCGGTCTTACCATGTTTCCTATCATCCTCAAGCAGCCAGATTGACAGAATGGTGGAATGGCCTTTTGAAGTGACAGTTACAATCACAACTAGGTGACAATGCTTTGCAGGACTGGGGCAAAGTTTTCCAAAAGGCTGTGCATGCCCTGAATCAGTGTCCAATTTATGGTACTGTTTCTCCCATTGCTGGGATTCATGGGTCCAGGAATCAAGGGGTGGAATTGGAAGTGGCACTACTCACCATCACCCCTAGAGACCCACTAGCAAAATTTTTGCTTCTTGTTCGCACACTATGTTGTGCTGACCTAGAGGTCTTAGTCCCAGAGGAGAAATGCTGCCATAAGGAGACACAACAATGATTCCATTAAACTGGAGATTAAGATTACCACCTGGCCACTGTGGGCTCTTTCCACCTCTAGGTCAACAGGGTAAGAAAGGAGTTAGTGTTGGCTGGGATGATTTATCTGGACTATCAAGATGAAATCAATCTACTACTCCACAATAGAGGTAAGAAAGAATATGCATGGAAGATCCCTTGGGGTGTCTCTTAGTAGTTCCATGCCCTGTGATTAAAGTCAATGGGAAACTGCAACAACCCAACGCAGGCAAGGCTACAAATGGCTCAGATCCTTCAGGAATAAAAGTTTTGGTCATTCCACCAGGTAAAAAACCACAATTCACTGAGATGCTTGCTGAAGGCAAGGAAAATACAGAATGGGTAGTAGAAAGTAGTTATCAATACCAGCTATGACCATGTGACCAGTGGCAGAAATGAAGACTGTAATTTTCATATTTCCTCCTCATTTTGTTAAGAACATGTTTGTGCATGTATACACTTGTACTTAGAAAATATCTTCACTTTATTTCCTTTTTCTTATCATGTGACATAAGATTTATCATGTGACATAAGACTTCGTATCAGCACTAAAGTGTTGTTAACTTTATGTAATAGCGTTTAGGTTAAGTGCGCTTCTGGTTGTACAAAGGATAAGTGTACTACGTTAGGCGTATTTTTTATTATTGTCTTTATCTGAAGATTATGTGTGATTTCAGGAGATGAGTGTTGGTTGAAGTTGACCGGGGTGGACTTGTGATGGTTAATATTGAGTGTCAACTTGATTGAATTGAAAGATGCAAAGTATTTTTCCTCTGTGTGTTTGTGAGCGTGTTGCCAAAGAAAATTAACATTTGAGTCAGTGGACTTGGAAAGGCAGAACCATCCTGAATCTCGGTGGGCACCATCTAATCAGTTACCAGTGTGGCCAGGATAAAGCAGGCAGAGGAAACTGGAATGGGCAGATTTGCTGAGTATTCGGGCCTTCATCTTTCTCCTGTGCTGGATGCTTCCTGCCCTTGAACATCAGACTCCAAGTTTTTCAGATTTTGGACTCTTGAACTTACAGCAGTGATTTTCCAGGGGCTCTTGGGCCTTTGGCCACAGACTAAAGTTTGCACTGTCAGCTTCCCTACTTTTAAGGTTTTGGGATTCGGACTGGCTTTCTTGCCCCTCAGCTTGCAGACAGCCTGTGGTGGGACTTCACCTTGTGATTGTGTGAGTTAATAATCCTTAATAAACTCCCTTTCATGCATACATCTATTCTAGTAGTTCTGTCCCTCTAGATAGTGCTCACTAATACTCCCACTTTTTTATTAAGCTGATTTGTTTCTTCCTTGTTAATTTGTTTAAGATCCTTATAGATTCTGGATATTAGACCTTTGTCAGACAATGTTTGTAAAATATGGACTAACCTTCAATTCTGTAGGTTATCTGCTTACTCTGCTGATAGTTCCTTTTGTTGTGCAGATCTTTAGCTTACTTCGGTGCCATTTGTCAATTTTTGGTTTTGTTGCAATTGCTTTTAGCATGTTTGTCATGAAATCTTTGCCAGGGTATATGTCCAGAATGCTCTGTTTTATGTTTTGTTCAAGGGCCTTTTTAGTTTTGGGTTTTAAGTCTTTAATCCATTCTGAGTTATTTTTTCTATATGGTGTAAGGAAGATATCCAGTTTGATCTGCATATGGCTAGCCAGTTATCTCAACACCACTTATTGAATAGGAATTCCTTTCCACCTTACTTGTATTTGTCAACTTGGTCAAAGATAAGATAGTCATAGGTGTGTGGTTTTATTTCTCAGATCTCAGTTCTGTTCCCTTGGTCTATGTGTTATTTTTGTTCCAGTTCCATGCTCTTTTGATTGCTGTATTCTTATAGTATGATTTAAAGTTGGATTATGTGATGCCCTTAGCTTTGTGGGGTTTTTTTTGTTTTGTTTTGTTTTTACTTGGGTCACAATTGCTTTGGCTATTTGGGCTCTGTTTGGTTCCATGTGAATTTGAAAAGTTTTCTTTAGCTCCTTAAAAAATGCAATTGATAGCTTCATTGAAATAACATGAAATCTGTAAATTGTTTTGGGCAATATAGCCATTTTAACAATATTGATTCTTCCTATTCATGAGCATTTAAGAGTTTGTTTCATTTCTGATTTCTTTCAGCAGTATTTTGTAGTTGCATTGTAGAGGTCATTCACCTCCCTAGTTAGCTGTATTCCTAGGTATATTTTTTTGTGTGTGACTATTGTTAAAGGGATTGTGTTCTGGATTTGACTTTCAGTTTTGATGTTATTGGTGTATAGAAATGCCACTTATATTTGTACATTGATTTTTATCCTGAAACTTTGCTGGAGTTGTTTATCAGACCCTAGGAGCCTGAATTTTTTTATTTTTTCATATAGTTTATTACATCTCAATTTCTTAGTTCAACTTTGGTTTTGCTTATTTTTTTTCTCTACTGCTAGCTTTAGGCTTGATTTGCTATTGTATTTCTAGTCCATCTATATTTAATATAAAATTGTTAATTTGAGATTTTTCTGCCTTTTTTGATGTGGGCATATAGTGGTATAAACTCTTAACACTGCTTTCACTGTGTTCCCAAGATTCTGGTATGTTGTATCTTTGCTTTCATTACTTTCAAACAACTTCTTGATTTTTGTCTTAAACTCATTGTTTACACAAAAGTAATTATGTAACAGGTTAATTTCCATGTAATTATTAGGTTTTGAGTGATCTTCTTAGTATTGATTTTAATTTTTATTTCACTGTAGTCCAAGAGTGTGGTTAGTATGATTTCAGTTTTTTTGAATTTTCTGAAAATTGCCCTATGGTTCAGAATGTAGTTGATTTCAGAGTATATTCCATGTGCAGAGAAGAAGAAAGTATAATTGAACCCTCAGCACAGCACAGTGGCTCTTCAAAAATGTGGCCAGACTGCTTTTTGAAGCAGGTCTCTAATCCCATTCCTCCTCACTTGGTGACACCTCCCAACTAGAATCTCCAGCTACCCCAACGGTGTTCTCCAGCTGACAGAGATTTCAAACCTCCTTGGGACAGAGCACCCAGGGGGAGGAGCAGGCCACGATCTTGGCTGTTTTGGTGATGGAGCCATTCTGGTCTTTGGCCTTTGGAGAGTCTGAGAAAATTGGGGTCTGAAGTAGACTCCAAGAACAACAGAGCTGCTCTACGAAAATATGGCCAGATTACTTTTTAAGTAGTCTTGGTTTCTGATTCCATTTCTCTTCACTAGCCAGGACCTCCTGTATTAATCTCTTATCTTGTTGCTTATAAAGCCATACCTGAGAGTGGATAAATTATAAAGGAAAGAGGTTTAATTGACTCACAGTTCCACAGGGCTGGGGAGGCCTCAGGGAACTTACAATCATGGAAGAAGGGGAAGCAAACACGTGCTTTTACACATGGTGGCAGCAAGGAAAAATGCAGAGTGGAAAGAGGGAAAAAGCCCCTTCTAAAACCATCAGATTTGTGAGAACTCACTCACTATCATGGGAACAGCATGGAGATAACTGCCCCATGATTCAAGTATCTCTCACTGGTTCCCTTCCACGACATGTGGGGATTATGGTAACTGGAGTTTGAGATGAGATTTGGGTGAGGACATAGCCAAACTATTTTATTCCACCCCTGGTTCCTCTCAAATCTCATGTCCTCACAATTTAAAACACAATTTTGCCCTTCCAACAGTCTCCCAAAGTCTTAACTCATTCCAACATTAACTCAAAAGTCCAAGTCCAAAGTCTTAGCTGAGGCAAGGCAACTGCCTTCTGCCTATAAGCCTGTAAAATTAAAAGCAAGTTAGTTACTTCCCAGATACAATGAGGGGACAGGCATTGGGTAGATCCACCCATTCCAAATGGAAGAAATTGGCCAAAACAAAGGGGATACAGGCCCCATGCAAGTCCAAAATCCAGAAGGGCTGTAATTAAACTTTAAAGTTCCAAAATAACCCACTTTGGCTCCATATCTCACATCCAGGATATGTTGATGCAAGAGATGGGCTCCCACTGCGATGCAAGAGTGGGACTCTTATGGCCCTGGGCAGCTCTACCCCTGTGGCTTTGCAGGGTACATATCCCCCTTCTAGCTGCTTTCACTTGCTGGCATTGAGTTTCTGGGATTTTCTAGGTGCACAGTGGAAGCTCTCAGTGGTCTGGAGGATGGTGGTCATCTTCTCACAGCTCCACTAGGAAATGCCCCAGTGGGAACTCTGTGTGGGTGCTCCAACTCCACATTTTCCTTCCATACTGCCCTACCAAAGGTTCTCCATGAGGGCACTGCCCCTGCAGCAAACTTCTTCCTGGATATCCAGACATTTCTATAATCCTCTGAAATCTAGGTAGAGGTTCCCAAACCTCAGTTCTTGACTTCTGTACACCTGCAGTCCCAACACCACATGAAAGCTGTTAAGGCTATGGGCTTGCACTCTCTGAAGCAATGGCCTGAGCTGTACCTTGGCCCCTTTTAGCCATAGCTGGACCAGCTGGTATACAGAAAACAAAGTCCCTGGGCTGCACACAGTGGGAGGGCCCTAGGCTCATGAAACCATTTTTTCCTCCTAGGCCTCTGGGCCTCTGATGGGAGGGGCTTCAGTGAAGTTTTCTGACATGGCTTGGAGACACTTTCCCATTGTCTTGGTGATTAACATTCAGCTCCTTGTTACTTATGAAAATTTCTACAGCAGGCTTGAATTTCTCCCAAGAAAATGGATTTTTCTTTACTACAGCATCAGCAGGGGATGTTTCCCAAACTTTTGTGCTCTGTTTCCTCTTGAATGCTTTTCTGCTTAGAAATTTCTTCAGCCAGGGGACACAACAAAAAAAGAGAATTTTAGACCAATATCCCTGATGAATATCGATGTAAAACTCCTCAAAACAATACTGGCAAACCGAATCCAGCAGCACATCAAAAAGCTTATCCAACACGATCAAGTTGGCTTCATCCCTGGGATGCAAGGCTGGTTCAACATATGCAAATCAATAAAGGTAATCCATCATATAAACAGAACCAAAGACAAAAGACACATGATTATCTCAATAGATGCAGAAAAGGCCTTTGACAAAACATTCCATGCTGATGGATAGAAAGAATTGATATTGTGAAAATGACCATACTGCCCAAGGTAATTTATAGATTCAATGCCATCCCCATCAAGTTACCAATGACTTTTTTCACAGAATTGGAAAAAACTACTTTAAAGTTCATATGGAACCAAAAAAGAGCCCGCATTGCCAAGACAATCCTAAGCCAAAAGAACAAAGCTGGAGGCATCATGCTACCTGACTGCAAACTTTACTAGAAGGCTACAGTAACCAAAACAGCATGGTACTGGTACCAAAACAGAGATATAGATCAATGGAACAGAACAGAGCCCTCAGAAATAATACCACACATCTACAACCATCTGATCTTTGACAAACCTGACAAAAACAAGAAATGGGGAAATGATTCCCTATTTAATAAATGGTGCTGGGAAAACTGGCTAGCCATAAGTAGAAAGCTGAAACTGGATCCCTTCCTTACACCTTGTACAAAAATTAATTCAAGATGGATGAAAGACTTAAACGTTAGACCTAATACCATGAAAACCCTAGAAGAAAACCTAGGAAATACCATTCAGGTCACAGGCATGGGCAAGGACTTCATGACTAAAACACCAAAAGCAATGGCAACAAAAGCCAAAATTGACAAATGGGATCTAATTAAACTAAAGAGCTTCTGCACAGCAAAAGAAACTATCATCAGAATGAACAGGCAACCTACAGAACGTGAGAAAATTTTTACAATCTACCCATCTGACAAAGAGCTAATAATATCCAGAATCTACAAAGAACTCAAACAAATTTACAAGAAAAAATCAAACAACCCCATCAAAAAGTGGGGGAAGGACATGAACAGACACTTCTCAAAAGAAGACATTTATGGAGCCAACAGACACATGAAAGAATGCTCATCATCACTGGCCGTCAGAGAAATGCAAGTCAAAACCACAATGAGATACCATCTCACACCAGTTAGAATGGTGATCATTAAAAAGTCAGGAAACAACAGGTGCTGGAGAGGATGTGGAGAAATAGGAAAGCTTTTGCACTGTTGGTGGGATTGTAAACTAGTTCAACAATTGTGGAAGTCAGTGTGGTGATTCCTCAAGGATCTAGAACTAGAAATACCATTTGACCTGGCCATCCCATTACTGGGCATATACCCGAAGGATTATAAATCATGCTGCTATAAAGATACATGCACACGTATGTTTATTGTGGCACTATTCACAATAGCAAAGACTTGGAAGCAACCCAAATGTCCATCAATGATAGACTGGATTAAGAAAAAGTGGCACATATACACCATGGAATACTATGCAGCCATAAAAAAGGATGAGTTCATGTCCTTTGTAGCTACATGGATGAAGCTAGAAACCATCATTCTCAACAAACTATCACAAGGACAGAAAACCAAACACCACATGTTCTCTCTCATAGGTCGGAATTGAACAATGAGAACACGTGGACACAGGGTGGGGAACATCACACACTGGGGCCTGTTGTGGGTTGGGGGTGGGGCATAGCATTAGGAGACATACCTAATGTAAATGACGAGTTAACGGGTGCAGCACACCAACATGGCACATGTATACATATGTAACAAACCTGCACGTTGTGCACATGTACCCTAGAACTGAAAGTATAATAATAAAAAAAAGAAAGAAATTTCTTCTGCCAGATACCCTAAATGACCTCTCTCAGGTTCAAAGTTCCACAGATCTCTAGGGCGGAGGCAAAATGCTGCCAGTCTCTTTGCTAAAGCATCATAAAGGTCAACTTTGCTCCAGTTTCCAACCAGTTTATTATCTCCATCTGAGACTACCTCAGCTTGGATTTTATTATTATTATTTTTTTTGGTCAAAGCCATTCAACACTTCTTTAGGAAGATCCAAACTTTCCCACATCTTCCTGTCTTTTTCTCAGCCCTCCAAACTGTCCCAACCTCTGTCTGTTACCCAATTCCAAAGTTGTTCCACATTTTGGGGTATCTTAATAGCAGTATCCTACTCCTGGTACAAATTTACTGTGTTATTCCATTCTCATGCTGTTAGTAATGATATTCCTGAGACTATATAATTTATAAAGGAAAGAGGTTTAGGGCCAGTCACCGTGGCTTATGCCTTTAATCCCAGCACTTTCAGAGGCTGAGGCGGGTGGATCATGAGGTCAGGAGTTCGAGTCAAGCCCGGTCAACATGGTGAAACCCCGTATCTTCTAAAAATACAAAAATTAGCTGGGGGTGGTTGCAGGCACCTGTAATCCCAGCTACTCAGGAGGCTGAGGCAGGACAATCGCTTAAAACCAGAAGGTGGAGGTTGCAGTGAGCTGAGATCGCTCCATTGCACTCCAACCTGGGCAGCGAGAGTGAAACTCCATCTAAAAAAATAATAGTAATAGAAAGAAAAGATGTTTGATTGGCCTACAGTAGTTCTGCATGGCTGGAGAGGCCTCAGGAAGATTACAATCATGTCAGCTTACAAAGCCATCAGCTCTCATGAAAACTCACTCACTATTATGAGAGCAGCATGAGACAACTGCCTACATGATTCAATAAACTCCCGCTAGGCCCTTCCCACCACATGTGGAAATTATGGAAACTACAGTTCAAGATGAGATTTGGGTGGAGACACAGAAAATTATATCACTTCCCAACAAGGGTTTCCAGCTAAACCTCCCAGTGTTCTCTGCCTGATGGAGATTTCAAACCTCCCTGGAAGGGAGCTCCTAGAGTTAGGGGTGGGCCTCGATCT
The DNA here is from genome assembly GCF_000001405.40 of Homo sapiens. Classification (NCBI taxonomy): domain Eukaryota; kingdom Metazoa; phylum Chordata; class Mammalia; order Primates; family Hominidae; genus Homo; species Homo sapiens. The sequence goes on along the minus strand of NC_000023.11, from coordinate 56,661,817 downwards.
TTGCTGCTTGGGTGATATAGCCATTTCAACCTTCAGGTTTTGAAGAGTCCTAGGTCACTAGGGGCTGGGGTAGATCCCCAGCACAGAACAGTTGTTCTAGGAGAATGTGGCCAGACGGCTTTTTAAAGGGGGTCCCCAATCATGTTTCTCTTCACTCGATGGGACCTGCCAACAAGGGTCTCCATCCACCTCCTACAAGTGTGTTTAGATCAGCAACATGTTCATACATCCATGAAACAGAGGTCCCAGAGGAAAGGGAAGGCCGACACCTTGACTGTTTCACAGCCTTCACTGTTAATACCTCCAGGTACTGCAATATTCAAGGCGACTATGGACTGGAGTAGAACCCCAGCATATTACACAAGGCATACAACAAAAGTGGACAGACTGTTGCATGGGTGCCCATTCCCATAACTCTTCACCAGGCAGATCCTCCAGGCCTTGGCCTCTAGTCATCCCTTGCCGGGTTATCGAGCCATTAGCAGCTCTGCAACTCCTTGAACAGAGCTCCTGGGGAACTGAAAGCCTCTCTGCCACCACCTCTGCAGTGAAACTTCCCTTGCTACCCTCATACTAATGAAGGAGCAAAGACACTAAGTGCCTTATCCACACCTCCAACAAGCTGCAGTCAACCCAAGAAGAGGAGGCCAGTCCATCTCCCATGGGATCCAACTACTTCTCCACCTGCTCATCACCAAACAGCACAGACCCTTCATGCTGAGCTGATTTCACTGAGTGATTGCTGACAAGCAACTCCATGAGGTGGAGGCCCTAGGAGAGAGGCGAAGGCCCTTGGCCACAACCACTACTAAAGTCTCTTCATCTGCAGCTTCCAAGCTAGAGAAAGAACACAAATTTTGAAATTGTCCCAGAGTTTCACTGGGTAGCCCAGGAGTACCAGGCCACAATCTACAGTCATCACTCACGGGGGAGAGTAGCCCACCCTTCTAGATATCTGAGATGGAATACAGTTGCAAACTATGAGGAAACATAGCGGAGCTACACAGCTGAACAACAGTCTATCAACTGACCAAAAAGCCTAGGCACCAACTACTGGATCAAGCTCCCAAAGCTTCAACACCAAAAATAACTCATGGAAATACCCTCCCAGTGAAAGCAAATATAAGAAGTCAGCTTCAAATAAAGACCTGGCACAAAGTTTTGACCCTGCAAAAACATCCAGAAAAGAAGTCTATTGACTTTACTCAATCTACATTGCAGCTAAAAGAACACCCACATGCACAGATGAGAAAGAACCCATGCAGAAACTCCAGTAACTCAAATAGCCAAAGTGTCATATGTCCTATAAATGACCACACCAGTTCTCCAACAGATCTAAACTAGGCAGAGCTGACTGAAATGACAGAAATAGAATTTGGAATATGGATAAAAACAAGGATCACTGAGATTCAGTATGGCAGCAAAACCCAACCCAAAGAAACTAAGAATTACAATAAAACAATACAGGAGCTGAACGATGAAATAGTATACATATATATATATATATATGTATATGTATATATACACACACATATATATGTGTGTGTGTATATATACATATACATATATATATATATATATATGCCAACAAACCTGAAAGGGTCAAAAAACACAATAAAATAACTTCACAATGAAATCACAAGTATTAACAGCAGAACAGACCAAGCTGAGAAAAAGAAATTCAGAACTTAAAGACTAGCTCTCTGAAATAAGACAGTCAGACAAAAATAGAAAATAAAAAATGAAGAATGAACAAAACCTCCAAGAAATATGGGATTATATAAAGAGGCTAAATCTACGAATGCTTGGCACCCCTGAAAGGGAGAGGGAGAAAGCAAACAGTGTGGAAAAGATATTTCAAGATATTGTCCAAGAAAACTTTGCAAACTTGCTAGAGAGGCCACCAATCAAATTCAAAAAATACAGAGAACTCCTGCAAGATTCTACATGAGAAGATCATTCCCAAGACATCTAATAGTTAAATTTCCCAAGTTAAAATGAAGGAAAGAATGAAAAAGGCAGCTAGAGAGAAAGGGCAGGTTGCCCTCAAAGGGATCCTCATCAGACTAACAACAGACCTCTTAGCTGAAAAACCTAAAAGCCAGAAGAGATTGTGGGCCTGTATCCAACATTCTCAAAGAAAAAGTATCTTCAATCAAAAACTTTATATCCAGCCAAACTAAGATTCCTAAGGGAAGGAGAAATAAGATTCTTTTTAGAGGGGGTGGGGACAAGATGGCCAAATAGAAACAGCTGTGGTCTGCAGTGCCCAATGAAACTAATGCAGAAGGCAGATGATTTCTGCATTTCCAACTGAGGTACCCAGTTCATCTCATTGGGACTGGTTAGGCAGTGGATCCAACCCACAGAGGGCAAGCAGAAGCAGGGTGGGGTGTCGCTTCACCTGGGAAGTGCAAGGAACCAGGGCCTTCCCTCCCCAAGCCAAGGGAAGCCGTGAGGGACTGTGCTACACAGCCAGGTTACTACGCTTTTTCCACGGTTTTTGCAATCTTCAGATCAGGAGGCTCCCTCATGTGCCTACACCACAAGGTCCCGGGGTTTCAAGCACAAAAC